>NC_000015.10:27822328-28125358 GCF_000001405.40 Homo sapiens | reverse complement strand
CCTAAAGCAGACATTCATGTCTAGGTCATATGTAAAGTTGACAACTAGGTCAACACCAGCTGAAGGGCAGGGAGCGTTGGTGCTGTGTGTGGTGGGAAGACACTGGCAGCCATGCGTTTGTTGGCCCTAGTATACAGGTTCTGATTCTAAATTCACTTCATTCAGGTGAGGTTTATACATGGGGCGACAATGATGAGGGACAACTGGGAGACGGAACCACCAATGCCATCCAGAGGCCTCGGTTGGTAGCTGCCCTTCAGGGTAAGAAGGTCAACCGTGTGGCCTGTGGCTCAGCACATACCCTCGCCTGGTCGACCAGCAAGCCCGCCAGTGCTGGCAAACTCCCTGCACAGGTGAGTCCGGGCAGGTTGGGTGGGTCGGGGGCAAGCAAAGTGTGCTCCTGTCACATGCTGCATCCTGTCGTTGTGTGTTTACAGAGGCTTCTTGGTGAAAATAATTCAGGCTCAGTAAATGTTAACCACACAGTGCATTTAAGAACCTTGATATTTGGCTGGTTGTGGTGGCTCACACCTGTAATCCCAACACTTTGGGAGGCCAAGGTGGGCGGATTGCTTGAACTCAGGAGTTCAGGACCAGCCTGGACAACATAGCAAAACCCTGTCTCTACAAAATTAGTCAGGCATAGTGGCATGCACCTGTAGTCCCAGCTACCTGGGAGGCTGAGGGCTGAGGTGGGAGGATCACTTGAGTCTGAAAGGTCCAAGCTGCAGTGATTGCACCACTGCCCTCTTACTTGGGTGACAGAGTGAGACCCTGTCTCAAAAGAACCTTGAATGTTCATGCCAGCCAATATTCTGTGTGTACAGTGTGTATCACCTTCTATATCTTATAACCCACACCAAACTCTTCCACACCAAACTGTTCTGCTAGTACATGCCTCACATTTCTTAGTGAATTTATTTGTATAGACTAATTTTTTTTACAGTCAAACTGGACAGAATATTATTTTAAAAGCAGCACAGTGAGGTTGTGCAAACCAAACTCAGACACCATAGTGCTTCTCTGTATTTGAAACAATTGTTTTCAGAATCCTTAATGGATGCCACACTGGCCCCCGTGTGCCTTTGGTGCCTGAGGGGCTGAAGGCCATTTCTGTGTTCTAGGTCCCCATGGAGTACAATCACCTGCAGGAGATCCCCATCATTGCGCTGAGGAACCGTCTGCTGCTGCTGCACCACCTCTCCGAGCTCTTCTGCCCCTGCATCCCCATGTTCGACCTGGAAGGCTCGCTCGACGAAACTGGACTCGGGCCTTCTGTTGGGTTCGACACTCTCCGAGGAATTCTGATATCCCAGGGAAAGGTATTCAAGTGGCAATCTTTGCTCTAGGGGAAACTGGTGTCTTCAGTACATGTAACCCAATAGAATTCCTATACTGGGAATAGAACACATAGAATACAGCTCATTCAGCAAATGTTCACGGAATGCCTCCTGCATGCCAGGCTCTGTTCTGGGTACTTTATATCAATGAGAAAACAGACAAAAATCTGTTCCCTTTTGGAGTTTATATTAAAAGCAAACAGTAAGATGCTGCATCTCTCCTTCATAATCTCTGCCTCTCACTGCTCCAGAAGGATGAGGTGGGGCCTTCATAAACTAAGCCTTTGTTCCTGCGGTCCTTCTCTGCCTGCCTGGCCTTGTGGCTATGGCAAGTCCCCACTGACACAGGAAGGCCGGCGATTGGGCTGTTTCTCTCAGGATGTCCAGCAGAGGGGGCCAGGAGTCACAGATATATCACCTCGAAGGTCCGTGCCTGAATGTGTAGAGATTGCTGGCCAAGTGAGAATTAACAGGTGGTGAATAATACAGTCATGAGTGAGGGCATCTGAAAGTCACCAGGCAGGTTTTGACCTGTAGATGTTGCTAATAGTTGGAGCTTTCTAGAAGTTGGGTTAGTTTCTGGCAAGCAGCTTGACAAGATGATCTTGAAGGGGCTAATTACCATACGGTAGGGGCATCTCTGTATAGGGAAAAGTTATAGAATTGGATTGAGGACCACTAATCCTGATTGTGATTCTCTAATGTATTTTGTTGTCGAATATTATGGCCCATTCTTAGTGATTTAATAAAATTGCAATGTTTTGGAGTCCTGTCCCAGCAGGTTACTTTTTAAAGACCGGCTTTGTTTCCACTTGGCTAGAACGATTTCTGCTGAACAGGACTGGTACATTCATTTTACTTTCACGTGTGCCTGAGGGTGGAAGTGGTCAGGCTTGTGTTTAATGGAAAGACCATCTCTCTGATGAGAGAGGCAGAAGAAATCTTGGGCAGGTAAAATGGATAGGAAACATAATTTCAATTACTGTTCAATAATAAAAAGTAGCAAACGATTAATTTTACCTTCTTTTTTTAATCCTTCAAAGTGGTGATGATAATAGGCAGCACAGAGGAAAAAAACCTTTCTTTGTAGGGAGAAAAAAAGTGAGAGGCAGGGCACGTCCCACCTGGCCCTGTGTGAGCGTTGTGCAGGCTGTGAGCGGGGCATGGGTGGGAGCTGGTGTGTGGTAGGGGAGCGGTGGGCAGCAGCATCTGGCACCTGCTGGGGCTGCAGGAGAGCAGGGGAGTGCTGAGGGCGTCTGAAAGGTACCTCTGGTCAGGGAATGTGTAGGCAGCCTCGGTTCTGGTCCTGGTTATGGTGAGGATCGGCCTCAGAGAGTGGGTGTTACTACTCCCGGTCCAGAGCACCAAAATGGACTCTCCAGGAAGGTGGGCGGGCTGGTGACTGGGAGGAGAGGGGAGTGCTCCTGTGGAGGGGGAGCCGCCCTGAGGTCCAGGCAGGGCCTCTGGGAGCAGGATGAGTCTGGGCTGTGCGAGAGGCATGGGGCTGGGGTGCCGCCAGGATACCCTTTCTGGGTCTCCTCTGGCGCTTGGGGCCCTCACCTCCTGCCTTCAGGGCTTGGAGTTCTTAGGCTTTGAGCTGGGCAAGGGCTCAGCCTCCACTGAGGGACCCTTGTGCTCCCACAGCCCACCCCTAACCGAAAGAAGGCACGATTGCCTCCTTGGCCAAGAGAGCTGAGACCCCTGCTGACCTGTCTCATCCCTTTCCATTGGCACGGCTGCGTGCCGCATCCTCTGCCCTTTCCCCACGGGCATGGCCGACCTGCTCCCTCCTGGGGAACGGCTGGGTCCTCACCGTGGTGCTGATGTTTGGCCACGCCCTGCTGTCTTCACCCCAGGCACTCCCGATTTCTTTTAGTGTGATCCCAGCCAGGACCTTGTTTCCCCTCCCCGGTCTGTCTTTTCTGTCCCGATCCAAGGTCTGGCTGGCTGCACGGTGCTCCCTGGCCCCGTGGCTGCTGTATGGCAGGCAGTGGCGATCCAAGGTCCGGCTGGCTCCGCGGTGCTCCCTGGCCCGTGGCTGCTGTATGGCAGGCAGTGGCGATCCAAGGTCCGGCTGGCTCCGCGGTGCTCCCTGGCCCGTGGCTGCTGTATGGCAGGCAGTGGCGATCCAAGGTCCGGCTGGCTCCGCGGTGCTCCCTGGCCCGTGGCTGCTGTATGGCAGGCAGTGGTTTAACAGCAATCCCTGCCACGGGTGGGCTTGCTTGGCAGGGAAACCTTGACTTCAAGACCTGAGTCAGAGCAGGTGCTTGCCAGGCCCAGCCCTCCCTGTTCTGTGCCCTGTGTGTGCTGGGCTCTTCCAGCCTCCGGAACGCTGCTGGGTGGAGGTAGTTTCCTGAGGGACCTGCCTCTTGCCCGGCCATTGGCACTACCTGCCTGGCCGTCTGTCCCTGTGTGCTTCGGGGCCAGCCTGTTCCCCTGCACCCTCACAACTTGAGAAAAGGGAACTGGCAGTTTTCTGTCCTTAAGAAGGTCTTCAACACAGATTTTAAACAAAACTATGTGATGATTTCTTCAGGAGTGATGCTTTCCATATCAGATTCTAAATTTTGTCTGTTTGATGTGTTTTAGGAGGCGGCTTTCCGGAAAGTAGTACAAGCAACTATGGTACGCGATCGTCAGCATGGCCCCGTCGTGGAGCTGAACCGCATCCAGGTAGCACATGGAGATTACTCTCCAAGTCTGACAGCCTTAGAAGTGATGCTTTCGTGGGTACCTGGGCTGGGACGAGAGCGCTGGTAGCCTGCCATCCTGTGCACCCCAACTTTAAAGAGCAGGTGCCACCTTCCTTTTTGTGGGCTTCCTGTATGTGATGTGCTGGGGCTTCCAGGAATGTCAGTGTGTTTCTTTATACAGAAGTAATGAAGATTTATGTCAGATAGTCCAAAAGCACAAACACAGGTCAGCAAGAATGGGGAAAATAAAATCAGCCCTCTTCCCACTGCATGATGATAACCGCTGCTGTTACATTGGGAGGTGTGTGTCTATTTGTTACAGCCAAAGCAGGATCACTGCCTTTTGAAATTTGCTGCTCTCCTCCCTGCCATGGAATAGGGTCCTGTGGGGCTGCTTGTGTTTGGCAGCTGCCTGCAGCCTGCTCCTCTCTTGCAGGGGTGTGTCCTGGTTTACTCTGTCAGATTTCTCTGATGGTGCTGGGGGGCCGTGCCCACTTTTCTGTGGTACAGGCAGGGCTATCTGGGTGTATCTTCGGTCACCCCTTTTGTTAAGTTCTGAGAAGTGGAGTGGGTCAGAGGCCCAGTGACAATTTGATGATACATCCGATTATAGGTTATAACAGTTCATGTTCCCACCATCCTCACACCCTCCCCACCACTGGTAGTTTTCTTTGCCAATTTCATAGGCCAGAATTACTAATACTGTCTCATGGGTAGTAATCAAAGAAACGACAAGTAGACCATTTCTAAATGTATACTGCTTCAAGTGTATATAAACTCACAGTTAAAAACAATTAATTAAAAACAAAGAGAAGCCTCGGCCCCTGATGATGATAGCGTGCAGAACTTGACATTTAATGCTCAAATGAAACTGGCCTCGCCTCTTGGATCAGACACAGAGAGCCATGAAGAACAAATTCTTTGTTCCTGTACCTTTGTATTAACACATGATTTTTACCCTGATGTTGATTACAAGACTAGAAATGTTTTCAGAGTTATACTTGGGGGCATTTTGAATTAAGACACGAAACTCTTGTCCTTTGTTGGACAGCTCATGTGACCACATTGATGGAGCTGGTCTCTTCACTGACGTCAGAGTGTTTAATGCTAAGCTGTACGTCAGTCACGTCCTCACATAAATAGGTTGTTTAACTAGGTTCATAAAAAAGCTTTTATTTCCCTACCTTGGACGATGGCTTCAGTTTGCTGTGCATCATAAACATTATAGCTTGTAGGCAAGGCCAGCTGATGGCTTCTGCGTTGTCTAACCCCCGCGATTGAGTGCACCTTGACTTGCACCTCCCTCAAAACCGCACGCAGACTTTTTGGGCCAGGGGCTCTCAGGGTGGGTATTCAAGCCTGGGGGACTCTGGGAATCAGTGAAGTTTTGATAAACTAGGATGCAGGTTAGGCACCCTTGTTTCTGTCTTTGTATCATCTGAAATTTTTAAGAAGTCATTACATGCTGAGCACCTCTTTCTTACTCATCTTGCTATCCCCAGCTTGTGTTACAAAAACGTTCAGTATGCAATTGAAAAAACAAACTGGGTAAATGGCAAACAAATTTATATTAGTCGTTGGTGGTGGCTCATGCCTGTAATCCCAGCACTTTGGGAGGCTGACGTGGATGGATTGCTTGAGCCTAGGAGTCTGAGACCATCCTGGGCAACGTGATAAAACCCCATCTCTACAAAAAATACAAAAATTAGCCTTGTGTGGTGGTGGGTGCCTGTAGTCCCAGCTACTTGGGAGGCTGAGGCAGGAGGATTGCTTGAGCCCGGGAGGCAGAGGTTGTAGTGAGCCGAGATCATACCAGCGTACTCCAGTCTGGGCGACAGAGCCAGACACTGTCTCAAAGCAAACAAAAAACGACAACTTATATCAGGCCTTTTTTTTTTTTTTTTTTTTTTTTTTTTTTTTTTTTTTGAGAGGGAGTCTTGTTCTGTCGCCCAGCCTGGAGTACAGTGGTGCAATCTTGGCTCACTGCAACCTCCACCTCCCAGGCTCAAGCAATTCTCTTGCCTCACCCTCCTGAGTAGCTGAGATTACAGACGTGTGCCACCATGCCAGGCTAATTTTTTTTTTTGTATTTTTAGTAGAGACAATTTCACCATGTTGGCCAGGCTGGTCCCAAACTCCTGACTGCAGGTGATCCACTCGCCTCGGCCTCCCAAAGTGCTGTAGGCATGAGCCACCGCACCCAGCCTTTTTTGTATTTTTAGTGGTGACAGGGTTTCACTGTGTTGGCCAGGCTGGTCCTGAACTCCTGACCTCAGGTGATCCACTCACCTCAGCCTCCCAAAGTGCTGGTATTATAGGCGTGAGCCACCGTGCGTGGTGTCAGGCCTTCTTAAGAATCAGATAAACACCCTTCAGCCTAGTGTGCAATGTGGATTGACGTCTGGGGGCTGCTCTGGCTCAGCCACGGCCCCGGGTGCCAGAGGTGGCTCCTTCCCGTTCAGGGTAGCATGCCCCTCCCAAAGCGAGGAAATTTTCTACAGATGTAGAAATAGAAGTGATTTTCTGCCTAAAAATGAACATGGAGAAAAACATTGTTTGAATTCAGGGTGTGCACAGGACACCAGCACGGAGCCAGGAAGGCTGCACAGGCGCCTCCAACCCGCCACCCCATGGCTGCGATGATGGGCTCAGGGACACGCCTCCCAAGAGGATGCCATGGGAGGGACTCTCACAGCTGTCTGGATAGTTTCAGAGACTCCAGAACACAGGTCATCTTACTGGAAGGTTTTGTTTGTTGGGAATTTTATTTAGTTTTATAGCAGGATCTGAACATCACTACATAAAAACTTTTTTATACTTAAAAATTTATTACAGAGTTATTGCATGCACATTTCTGAAAATTTAGGGAATTCAGATTAAAGACAGTTAAAATCATCTGTGTTTCTATTGAGCAGAGAAAGTGCTGTCCCGCAGGAGCCTGTCTGCCTCCAGCCTTATGGCTGCTGTTTTCTGCAGCCTCTGAGTGCAGACAGCCTCTACTAGTGGGTGTCGTCATGGAGGAGAGGCAGCCCCGTGGGCTTCGGGGAGCTGGGTGCACCTCTCCTCTCACACAGCCGCCGTGACATAGGGCATGTCCTGTTCTTTTCTTGTAGCCTAGTCTCCTCTGGGCATGATGGAGCCTTAACAAGCTGCCGCGAGTTTCCAGGAACTCACGTCTGTGAACACTAGCCGTGTGTGTGGCACGCAGACAAGTTCATTCTACAGGCAACTGTGGCTCCTGTCATTCTTCTTGTATTTTTAGTCTTGGTTATGGCAGCCTGCTCTGTAAGCTGTTTAAACTCAACTTTAAGTGAGCTAAAGGTGAAGAGAGCTTCACTGGAGGAGTCATCAAAATACATTCTCAGGACCATTTTTTCTTCAATTTTTCTTTTTGACATCCTTCCAGACTGGGCTTCCCAGATGATTCTGATGCACAGCCTCGGCCACCTGCCCTCCGATGTGCCGAGGTCCTGCTGCGGCGGGGCCCTAGGGCTCCTGCCCTGGTGTCTTTGGGAATTGGAGGCCCCTGAGCCTTTAGCAATTGTAGCTTAGGATGAGAAGGATGGGCAGGGAGTGACTGCCTGTGTTGGGGAGGCTGAGTGGCCCCAAGGCTTGGAAATGGGATGGGTGGAAGCAGATGTGGGGAAGGGCTGGTCCTGGCTGAGGCACTCACTCACTGTGTCTGCTTCAGTCTCAGGGGCATTGGGTTGAATCTTTGAGTGCCGGGAGTCTGTTCTGGTCTGCTGGGGGAGCTGCTTTTGGAGTTCCTGGTGTCTTATTTCATGAGGTCGTGGCAAGATGGTGAAGTAGCAGCAGTGCTTAGGGTGTGAGGATGGTCCGTGCCAGGGTGGTGCTGCCGGGCCGCAGCTGTGGACGTGGTGGTGGTGTGTGTCGTGTTGGAAGGTGTGTTTGTTCAGACACACTAGTCCTGGGGGCTGCTGGGCACATCACTGGCGACATGCCCAATGGGGTGAGGCAGCGGTCTCGGGTGTCCACAGTCGAGCGCCCCAGACGGCAGGGTCTGCCTGGCGTCCACACAAGCAGGTGTGTGACCAGGGAGGGGCCCATGCACGGTGCCTCCTCCTCGTGCATTCGCCAGTGCCGCATATCCCCGACTGTGTGCTTCCTGCTGCGGCAGCGGCCTCACGCTTGCTTGCTTCCTCCTCTCCAGGTCAAACGATCAAGGAGCAAAGGCGGGCTGGCCGGCCCCGACGGCACCAAGTCTGTCTTTGGGCAGATGTGTGCTAAGATGAGCTCGTTTGGTCCCGACAGCCTCCTCCTTCCTCACCGTGTCTGGAAAGTCAAGTTTGTGGGTGAGAACTTGCCACGTGCTGGAGCACCTGTGTCCCCGGCAGTGGTCGCCTGAGCCCACAGGGAGCACAGAGGCCACATGGTGTGGGAGCGTTGGGGCTCTCTTTACACAGGACTGTGTGAGGGGACTTCGAGTGGCTGCTTCTCCCCTGCAGGTGAATCTGTGGATGACTGTGGGGGCGGCTACAGCGAGTCCATAGCTGAGATCTGTGAGGAGCTGCAGAACGGACTCACGCCCCTGCTGATCGTGACACCCAACGGGAGGGATGAGTCTGGGGCCAACCGAGACTGCTACCTGCTCAGCCCGGCCGCCAGAGCACCCGTGCACAGCAGCATGTTCCGCTTCCTGGGTGAGCTTCTCGGCCGCTTGAGACTGTGTCGCTGTGGCCTGTGCCTGCTCTTGAGTTAAAATGTACTATCTGTTTGAGGAGTGACAGTAGATATCTTGAATATCTGCTTTTAGTTTTTGAGACTGTTACCAATAAAAATGACTTTTAGGGTGAGGCGCGGTGGCTCACGCCTATAACCCTAGCACTTTGGGAGGCTGAGGCAGGCAGATTGCCTGAGGTCAGGAGTTCGAGACCAGCCTGACTAATGTGGTGAAACCTCGTCTCTAGTAAAAATACAAAAAAAATTAGCTGGCTGTGGTGGCATGCACCTGTAGTCCCAGCTACTCAGGAGGGTGAGGCAGGAGAATTGCTTGAACCCGGGAGGCGGAGGTTGCAGTGAGCTGAGATCGTACCATTGCACTCCAGCCTGGGCAACACTCTGTATCAAAAAAAAAAAAAAAAAGAAAAAGAAAAGACTTTTAATATTGATCGTGCCTTTCACCAACATTGTGGAAGCGAACGAGGTGCTGTTGACTTCCGTGCCTAGCATTGAGGGCCTGACGGTGGTGGACCGTCGGAAGCTCTGTGCACAGCTGCAGGCACTGGCAGAGCCAGCCCCGGCCACGTGCTGAGGACTGGAGACTGCCTCGGGTACTCAGAAGATGGGAGATTCTGTTTCTGCATCTTCAGTGTTTATCTGAGACTTGGGATCAGAGTGGGGTGAGGTCTTCGCCATTGGCCAGTCCCTCCTTCCTGTCCCACTGAGGGTGTGCAGGGTGTCCTCGGCTGTGCGTCCCACCACAGCCAGCACCTCCTGGGCAGGGCTGTAGCTCCCTGGAGGACACTCCCGTGGGGAAGTTCCAGCTCTTTGCTGTCATAAGAAGAAGAATTGGCCACTGTGTGGCTTAAACTAGTGTGCGTGCAGAAAGGATGTGAAGAGTTAGAGGCTTTTAGGCACAAAAGGATAGATTTAGAGCAGGACAGGCGGTCTTGAGGAAGGGCCTAGACCTATGATGTGGGTGTTGCTGCTTCAGAAGGCTCTGAGTCCTGAGTGTGGAGCTGCTGTCAGTGGCGTGTGTGAGTGAGCGGGAAGTTTTGTCATCCTTTTGAAGTGTCCTCTGTCACTTGTGTCCTGAATGATCAGGTGTGTTGCTGGGCATTGCCATCCGAACCGGGAGTCCCCTGAGCCTCAACCTTGCCGAGCCTGTCTGGAAGCAGCTGGCTGGGATGAGCCTCACCATCGCGGACCTCAGTGAGGTAACTCCCTGGGGCGGCAGGCGGGGCCTCTAGGGTCTTGTTAACAGGCACAGTCTGTTCTGCGGGTCCGGTCAGGCTGTGAACTCTGGCCTAATCTCAGTGCCCAGGTGACGCAGAGGCTGTTGGCTGTGGACCACCTTTGAGTAGCAAAAAAAAAAAAAAAAAATAGACCATCTATTTTCTGGTGTTTTGTAACATACACTGTCTTGTCAGATAAGGAAGCTCACTGCCTCCCCTGTGAAGAAGCTGAGCTTTTGGGCAGCTGGGGGCCGTGAGTCAGGCTTGCACGGGAGGCTCTGTCCTGGGGCGACCACAGCCAGCTCATTCCCCATGGCTGTGTTGTGCCTCGGCTGCAGGGAGGGAACCCTTGCTAGCCAGTTGCTGTAACTTTCTCGGTGGTTAGTTTTAAGCATTTGGCTGAATTGTGAATTCTTCGTTCAGCTCCTTGGGTGAAGTACTCTCTCGTTGCTCCTCTTATATCTTGGTGTGTGCCATGCACTTGCAGCCTCGAGATGCACTTGAGGCTGACCCTGGTTCCTGCTTGACAGAGTGTGCTGGGTGGACTGGAGTCTGGGATGGAGATGAGCCGTGAGTCGACACATGGGCTTTCTTTTTCTCCTTAAAAGGTTGATAAGGATTTTATTCCTGGACTCATGTACATCCGAGACAATGAAGCCACCTCAGAGGAGTTTGAAGCCATGAGCCTGCCCTTCACAGTGCCAAGTGCCAGTGGCCAGGACATTCAGTTGAGCTCCAAGCACACACACATCACCCTGGACAACCGCGCGGAGTACGTGCGGCTGGCGATAAACTATAGGTTGGTGGTCATCCGTCTCTGTTGCATTGACATAAATAGCAAAAGTAGCAGAACGTGGTTGTGTGGACATGTGTGTTTTTCAGGAGTGTCATACACAGTAAAGTAATGGATTTGGCTCCAACTATTGCTGATCTGTGGGTATAAAGCTTATTTTGTGATCAGGGTCGGTATTTATTACTCTGACATTCCTGGCTCTAACCAGAATACCAAGATCAACAAAATCCACCCATTTGGGTCACTGCACCTGGAGAGGCCATAGTTTTTGCCCCTGTGTGCTTTCTTTGTTGGCTTCCCTGGGACAGGGCTGTGTCTGGGGCTGTCTCAACCCCCTCCAGGCTGCTTGAGTGACACAGAGCAGCCTTTGCCAGGCGCCCAGGTGTGACTGTGCACGGTCCTTTGGGTGCCGTGATTCAGGCTTGGCAGGTCATTACCACCACCCACAGCTTCCACTGCTTGTCCCATGTCCCCTGGAAGCACCTGAGAGTGTCTGGGTGAGGCCCCGTGTGGCAGGTGGGCCCTGTGGGCTCTGGTGGGGGTAGTCCTGGCAGGTGTCCTGGGCGGTGCTGTCCCCCGTATCGTGTCTGCTGTGGGTCAGCACAGTGTCTCGGGCCTGGGGCGGATGCACATGTGTTTCCCCTCTTGGTGCTGGCTTCTCCTGGGGTGTCCTGTGGGTACTGAGAGTGGCGTCTTGGGGTGTGCATAGCTGTAGGTGGTCATTAGGCCGTACCCTGTCGGCTGGACGAGATGAGCCCAGTGTCAGGAGAAGCTCTGCAGTGCCGAGCTGCTAAGCATGCTCATGCCATCTGGAGCTGCTCCCTCTGTTCTCCCAGCTGGGACGTGTGCGGCCACAGTGCTGCATGCCAAGGCTTGGTGTGAGCAGCATAAAGTCAGTGTCACTGAAGACAGAAGTGTAAAGTGAGCTTTTTCTTCCAGACTCCATGAATTTGATGAGCAGGTGGCTGCTGTTCGGGAAGGAATGGCCCGCGTTGTGCCTGTTCCCCTCCTCTCTCTGTTCACCGGCTACGAACTGGAGACGATGGTATGCCGACCCCCAGGTGGGGCTGCCCTGCAGCTGCCTTTTGCCTGCTGACCCACAAATCAGTGACAGCAGTTAGAGTCAGAACCTTGCCCTGTGTGTTGACTGAAGGGAGTGCACTCTGAGCGCGTCCCTCCACCCGCCTGCAGGAGGCTGTGTGTGGGCCCACCCAGAGCCCCCAGACCTTTCCCCACCCCAAACAGGCCTTGGTGTAGAGAGGGAGCGTGACGGAGTCTTGCGGAAATGCCAGGGTGGGAAGCATCACGCGGCCCTGACAGACATCCTCCCGCAGGTGTGTGGCAGCCCTGACATCCCGCTGCACCTTCTCAAGTCGGTGGCCACCTATAAAGGCATCGAGCCTTCCGCATCGCTGATCCAGTGGTTCTGGGAGGTGATGGAGTCCTTCTCCAACACAGAGCGCTCTCTTTTCCTTCGCTTCGTCTGGGGCCGGACGAGGCTGCCCAGGACCATCGCCGACTTCCGGGGCCGAGACTTCGTCATCCAGGTAGGCTCCTGGCTGGGCTTGCCGGCCCTGGGCTGATGTCGGCCGACGGTGGGTGGCTGGCTCCTCACCCACAGTCCTGCAGCACATGGAAAACGAGCCTCTTGAGTCTTTACAGAAATGAAAATGGAAAACATCGAACTTCTCTGATGTGAAGGCTCAAAATGTTATGATTATGTGTTTTGGGTACCATTACCTATTTTTTAAAAATGTATCTGGCCATCCCCAGAATACATCACTGCTGTGTCAGCCTGCTCTAGATTTCAAACACACGTAAAGCACTCATTCAGTTATCTGGTCGAATTAGGTGAGTCACTAAGTAACATCCTACATACCGAGAAAAATGAGGCCGCTCGTTGGATTGAGAACAAGGGTTTTGCTTTGGGTTCCAACTCTGTGGGCCGGTGGTCAGAAACAAGCTCAGTGGACCTGCCGGGTCACTGAGAGGGGATGGCCTAATGCCCCCACTCTCTGTTGGGACCGTAACAGCAGTGCCTGGGCGGATGGATCGATGGGGTCCACTGTTCCCAGCATGTGTCCAGCACAGCCTGACCTGCGTCTCTGCCAGGGTTAGAAAAGTGGCCGTCTTTCAGGGTCACCTTGGAGAGCATGCATAGTTTTCTATCTTAGAAGGTCAGTAATTCTTAGTTTTTGTCCATAATTCTTGCCGTTTCCTAGTATCTTAATCTGTAGGGGTCAAAGTTGGGCTGGTAGACTCATGAAGAGCTCTCCCGTGGTCACGTGCCTGGTCCTCCGCCAGCCAGGCCGCCCCGCATCCACACAGGTGGTGTGGTCCTCGGGCCCTCTTCCCGGGATGACAATAGAGAGCCATCATCTCCATAGTGAGGTGCTGTTTCTTACTCCAAGTTCTAGGAATTAATTGCTCCTCGTTACTCCTAAAGTTGTTTGGATTATGTTTTCTGCTGTTTTGTTCTTAGCAAAAAATATGGTTTTGTGAGCACGAAGAGTCTAATGAGCACAGTAAAGTAAACTGCAGCCGTACTCAATTTCTAATCACTTCATGTTTCTGCTCAACAGGTGTTGGATAAATACAACCCTCCAGACCACTTCCTCCCTGAGTCCTACACCTGTTTCTTCTTGCTGAAGCTGCCCAGGTATTCCTGCAAGCAGGTGCTGGAGGAGAAGCTCAAGTACGCCATCCACTTCTGCAAGTCCATAGACACAGATGACTACGCTCGCATCGCACTTACAGGAGAGCCAGCCGCCGACGACAGCAGCGACGATTCAGATAACGAGGATGTCGACTCCTTTGCTTCGGACTCTACACAAGATTATTTAACAGGACACTAAGATGGGGAAACGTCCTCGTGAGATGAGAGCCTGAGCCAGGCAGCAGAGCGCTCGCTGCTGTGTAGACTGTAGGCTGCCTGGTGTGTCTGATGAGAAGCGTCCGTCCTCGAGCCAGGCGGGAGGAGGGAGTGGAGAGACTGACTGGCCGTGATGGGAATGACAGTGAGAAGGTCCGCCTGTGCGCGTGGAACACTGTGGACGCTCGACTTCCAAGGGTCTTCTCACCCGTAATGCTGCATTACATGTAGGACTGTGTTTACTAAAGTGTGTAAATGTTTATATAAATACCAAATTGCAGCATCCCCAAAATGAATAAAGCCTTTTTACTTGTGGGTGCAATCGATTTTTTTTCTTTCTCCTTTCTTTCAAGTGTCGTGAGTCGTCTTGATTGTATATTGGAAATAACTGTGTAACAAATCGTATTATAAATATTTCAATTAATTTTACTCTGAATTTGTTTATTAAAAGACTTTTGAACATGAAATGATTAGTATTACTTGAATGCATCCAGAGGATATTTAAACCAAAATGAAAAACCAGAAGGCCATTTGGTGTCCCCCCTCCCAGGTGTCCCCTTGTAGCATATGCATTATGTCATCTGAATTGAGGCCTTTCTGTGAACAGCATCATAACTTCTATCATGGAAAGTGTACTATATATAATGTTTGTGTCATGTATATGCCTAAATTTTAATTATCTATAAATAAAACATCTGACATAAAAGTGTAGGCTGAGCTTTCTTAACCAGTACAACCAAAAAATCAATTAGTTCTTGATATAGCAGTAGTAAAGATTTCAGCCAAGTTGAGATTATTTTTTTGTTAAACCAAACTCAAGTCACAAAGAAGTGATTAGGAGAATGGAAGATTCCACGGGACCAGCTGGTGGCAGGGGCTGAAGGGCTCTGGAGCCTTCAGAGTTTCCTCCGACTTCCTCCCCAGCCCCATCTGTCTGCACAGCCTTGGCTTCTGCTTTCATTGGCCTGGGCTGAGAGTCTTCCGTCCAGGCAGCCATGGTACACGGTTTGGGCTGCTTGTGTATGGCACGCACTCTGCAAAGGGTAGAACTGAGAACAGGCTAGGAAAACTGGCTGGCAGGTCTAACGCATTAGAGCTTGAGCTGAAGACTATCAGATTGAGGCAAAACTATGTATTTCACGTTGGGAGACAGTTTATTCAGGGACACGATGTTTAGCACTGGCACAGAAGATCCAAAGAGGGAAAGTTTTATTTTTTTTCTGGGAACCTTTCCAGAACTGAATTGGTAAATGCCAGGATTAGTCTATTTTCAGCTTAGCTCAAAACGTCCATAAGCTGTGTGGTATTATTTTTGTTAATATCACCAACCCTTTTGTTGTCAGCTTTTGCGGCATAACAGAATTGCCCCTGAAGTCAGTGAGAAGCAGCGTTTCTCACTCGCGCGCCTGGCTGGGCCGGCCTCTGCTGAGTGGCTCTGGGCCCGCGGTTAGGAGGTGTC
The DNA here is from genome assembly GCF_000001405.40 of Homo sapiens. Classification (NCBI taxonomy): domain Eukaryota; kingdom Metazoa; phylum Chordata; class Mammalia; order Primates; family Hominidae; genus Homo; species Homo sapiens. Next base: position 28,110,286 of record NC_000015.10, on the reverse strand, counting down.
AGGCTTCACATCTCTCTTCTCGCTTTGGGCGTGTGTATCACGGTGGTGACACAGGTGTAAGAGGGCCCAGAGCTGCACTGTCCCCTCCACCCACTTTCCATTGGCCAACCCCCAAATCAGGCTGGCAAATGCCTTCTGCCTCTAGAATGTGGGTTCTCAAAGTCCTGGCTGAGGACCCCTGGAGTTCCTGAGGCCCTTTCAGGGTGTCCATGAGAGCCTCTATCTCCTACTACGTCTCTCTGTGAGGCCAGATTTTCTTCAGCTCCTTCCACCAAAACTTCACAATGTGGGGATGCACAGACAGAAATGAGAATTCACCTGTCTTCTGTGAAAGGAAAGAAAATCTCCACCCGCAAGCCCACTAGGCCAGAAGAAAAGCGTGAGCTTGGAAACGGTCACACGGGAAACTGCCTTTTCATTGTGTGCCTGAACAGGTATCTCCCCAGGTGGCCTCCCGGACCCAGACTATGTAAAGTCACAGCTCATCGCTCCGTAAGGGATAGAGACTAGAAATTGTCTGTACGCCCATTCCCAGACTAATGCATATTTGACTTCTTCCTCGACTCTAGGTTGACTTTATCTGATGTAAAGTGCAGATTTACTGAGCGTGAGCCGAATGTATAATTGACTCTTCCTCTGCCCCCTGCGATTCAGCGAGCACTCATCAAAACCTCACAAGGGTGTGCCCCACTTCTCTCACTTTTCCTACCCTCCCTCCTTTTTATTCTTTCCTCCTTCCCCTCCTGCCTTTTTCCCCTTTAAATATTGAAATCCTCAAAGCTCTTTGGAAGAAGCCCCGGACACAGAGCCTACTGTGGCTTGTCTCTTTCCCTGGCACGTCCTCAGCTGTGGCAAAATCAACCTCTAAGTGGATTGAGGCCTGTCTCACTTTTTTTTTGAGACAGAGTCTCGCTCTGTCGCCCAGGCTGGGGTGCCGTGGCGCGATCTCTGCTCACTGCAAGCTCCACCTCCCAGGTTCACGCCATTCCCCTGCCTCAGCCTCCCGAGTAGCTGGGACTACAGGCACCCGCCACTACGCCCAGCTAAATTTTGTATTTTTAGTAGAAATGGGGTTTCACTGTGTTAGCCAGGATGGTTTCGATCTCCTGACCTCGTGATTTGCCTGCCTCAGCCTCCCAAAGTGCTGGGATTACAGGCGTGAGCCACTGCGCTGGGCCACTTTTTTTGGTTTACACTTCCATTAAGCCAGACAGTTAAAGAGGCTAATAAAAGTATTAATGCCATTGTCACTAATTTGTTTTCGTTTTGGAAAACGATTTTTCAAAATTGTGTCCATGTTAACAAGTCATGGGTTTGTTTTTATTCTAAACGTATTCAATATTTTAAATTTTTTCAGTTGTAATTTCCAATGTGATAGGTAAAACCCAGACGAAAATGATTGAGGATTGAGAGCTTTCGTATAAGAGTCCTGAGGGGGAAGCTAATGTGCCAGAAGAGGCCGGCCGCAGACACCAAGGCGGGACCCCCATGCAGCTGCCCTGCGGGGGCTGTGTCTCTGCTTTCTGCAGTTAGAAGCAATGGCGTAAGTGTTATGGTTTTTTTGTTTGTTTGTTTGTTTGAGACGAAGTCTCACTCTGTCGCCCAGGCTGGAGTGCTGTGGCGCCATCTCGGCTCACTGCAAGCTCCGCCTCCGGGGTTCTCGCCATTCTCCTGCCTCAGCCTCCCGAGTAGCTGGGACTACAGGCGCCCGCCACCACGCCCGGCTAATTTTTTTTTTTTTTTTTTTTTGTATTTTTAGTAGAGACGGGGTTTCACCGTGTTAGCCAAGATGGTCTCCATCTCCTGACCTCGTGATCCGCCCGCCTCTGCCTCCCGAAGTGCTGGGATTACAGGCGTAAGCCACCGCACCCGGCCTTTTTTTTTTTTTTTTTCTTTTTTTCTTTTTTTAACTAAAAGCATACTAGAGGGCACTTCATTCCCACAAAAAAAAAAAAAGTGATTTTTGTAGCCACAGCTTCTTCATGTTTGGACAGGAGGACTCTCTCGGACAGTTCCATGTCACCTTCAGTTTAACTTTTTACTCTCATCCAACTTCCAAAGCCTGAAGTTATATAGTTCACTTTGACAGACAAATGTGTGCAGCCGAGACCATTAAACTGTAGAAAAGACAGACGACCCATCTGTGCTAGGAGTGGAAACTTGTCACATTGACAATTGTTTGGAAGCTCACCAGCATTGTGAATTGTGGATTAATTGTGGTTTCCTGCCTGTTTGCTTTTCTGCTGATAGAATCGGTGACAGTGGCTGTGCCCTTATGATGTGCATGAAACTGCAGTCTGCTTAGAGTTAGGAGAGCTTTACATGGTGCCCGACACCGTGGGCACCCTTAGCGTCTCCGACAGGAACTTCTGGTGGTGTCCGAATACGGCCCCCCGCGTTGTCCCCAGGGGCGGACTGCCTCCCCTCCAGGACTTTCTCCTGAGCCGGTGGGCCATGCCTTCTCCCCGCCTGTCGGGCATATCTTTGTGCACAGCCCGTGCGGCCTGGCCTGGCTCTGCGTCCCACGCTGCCGGTCCATCTTTCCCCCCAAATGCAGCTCCACAAGCGAGGCGGGATCGGCGCCAGTGCCCAGCCCGGGATAGCCCGGGGCAGGCGGCCACCCACCAGCAGGCCCTGGCGCGGAGGCATGCGGGGTGGGCTGAGCGCGGGGCCCCTGCGCGGAGGCTTATCCACGACCTCAGAAGGGGCTTCCGGCGCTGCTGTCGCTGGAAGGCATTTTGTGCTGGGCCCTGGCTGGCCCGGGGCTGGCCCCTGCGGCTGCCCGGGCTGTTGGAGGAGGGAGAGGTGGCGGCCTGGCCGGCGCGCACTTGCTGTTTCCATTCTCAGCGGACCCGCGCTGGGGTGGCCGCCGGCGGCAGCGGTCTTTCGGGCTCACCCTCAGGTTTAACCAGAAATCCGGGAGTAGCTGAGAGAGCTTCGGAGCTCCGTGCACTGTGCGCTGTCCTGACTTGCCAAAAAAGAAAGCAGAAAAACACCCAAAGCACGTTCGAGAAGAGAAGGGGGAAATCTGGGGTCTGCCCTTCCTTTAGAAAAGCCGAGGTTCAGGGTGAGAGCCCCTCTGAGCGGTCCTTGGTTGAGCTAGCGGAGCGGGGAGGCTCCCGGCGCCCCTGCGATGAGACCCCACCCTCACGCCGGCTGCGCCCCGGGACCTCCGCGAGGATTCGTCCGGCGGGCGCGCGAGCGAGCGGGGTCTCTTCGGGTTTCAAGCGGCCCCGGGGCCGGCGCCTCGTGACCCTGCCGGACTCTCCCTCCCCGCGCGGCAGCGAAGCGCATCACCGAGGCTGGGGCCGGGCTCACCGTGGGGCCAGAGCCCGCTCCCAGCAGGATCTCGGCGAAGACCAGCCCCCGCACGCCAGCCCGCCGGGTGGAAGCCCGGGGCACCAGGACAGGCCCGGAGGCGGCCGCGGGGCCCGGTACTGCCTGCGAGGAAGTCGCCTCTGCCCGGCCACGCCGCTCCTCCCGCAGCGGTGCTCCCGGGGTTGCGACCACAAACCTCGGCGCTCTCGGGGTGATGCCTGCTCCGCCACCAGGGCCCCCGCGCGCACAGCCCCCTCCCTGCGCTCGCTGTTGCCGGCAGCCGTGGAGGTTCAGGCATTTGGCGTGGCCGTGGTCGTGGGGAAATTCCCCGCGTGCGCCCGGTGCCCCCACCCTGCTGTGCGCTCCCCGCTCCTCATGCCAGGCGGGGCCGGAGGCCGGGGCCCGGAGGGTGGAGAGACCCTTGGGGACAACGAGGTCTCAGAGCACAAACGCTCAGCACTGCGGGTGACACCCCGGGTCCCAGCCCGGGAGCCCGCGGGTGGAGCCGCTCAGCCTTGCTCCTGGCTTGGCCCAGTCTGGCAACACTGCCTTGGGTACAGCCTCCTCCTGGGTGAGGGAGTGAGAGGCAGAACCCCCACCACACGCATGCTCCCCGCACCCCAGACGCGCACACACACCCACACACATGCATACACACACACCCCCAACACATGCACACACGCGCGCGCACACACACACCCCACACGCACACACACCCCCGACACATGCACACACACACCCCACACACACATGCACACACACCCACACACGCACACACACCACCCCAGACACATACATACACACACCCCACACACATGCGCACACACACACCCGAGGCACGTACACACACCCCTACAAACCTCACACACGTGAACACACCCCACAGAACTCCCCACACACATGCACACACACATACACTTCTCACACCCCACATGCACACACACCCCAGACACACATGCACACACACATCACAGACATGCACACACACACCCACACCCCACACATGCACACACACTCCACATCCCAGACACATGCACACACACCCCACATCCCAAACACATATGCACACACACCCCACACCCCAGACACACATGCACACACACCACACACATGCACACCCCCCACACCCGACACATGCACACACACCCCACACACCACACATGCACACACACCCCACACACCACACATGCACACACCACACACATGCACACACACACCCCAGACACACATGCACACACACCCGACGCACCACACACCCCCACACCACACACACACCACACACATCCTCACACCATACACACACCACACCCCCACACCACACACACCCCCACAGCACACGTACATACACACAACCTACACACATGCACACACACCCCACACCCCGGACACACATGCACACACACCCCACACACGCACACACACCCCACACATGCGCGCACACACCCCACCACACACACCCCCACATCCCACACACATGCACACACCCCAAACACCCCAGACACACATGCACACACACACCCCACACCACACACACACCGCACCATACACACACCACACCCACACACCCACATCACACACCCCCACACCACACACACACCCACACCACACCCCCACACCACACACACTACACACATGCACCCCCACACCCACACATGCACACACATGCGCACATAACCCACACACTCCAGACACACATGCACACACCCCCCATACACCCCCCCACACACATACCCCACACACACCAGACACATGCACACACCCCACATAAACACCAGACACACATGCGCACACCCCACACACACCACACACGCACACACACCCCACACACCAGACACACATGCACACACCCCACACACACCAGACATACATGCACACACCCCACTCAAACACCAGACACACACATGCACACACACCCCACACACACCAGGCACACGCATGCGCACACACTCCCATACCCCACACATGCACACACCCCACACAGATGAACACACACCCACCACACACATGTACACACACACCCATGCGTACACCCTCCCCCCACACCCCAGACACAAATACACCAAAACACACCCACACACCCACACGTACACCAACCCCAAACACACGTACACCCTATACACATACACATATACCCCCCACACACATACATCCCTTACATACAGCCCGTCACACACACCCCCCACAGACATACACACCTCCTAAACACATAAATCTTGGCCCCTTCACATACACTCACCCTCACACACACCGTCTTCCCTACCCTCTCCCCACCCCATCCCCCTCCCCATGCTGCCTGCAGCTGGGCAGGTGGGCAGGATGCGGAAGGAGAGCGCTGGGCCTCTGAAAAATTGGAACAAGGAAGGCCCCTGACAGGCCTGCCCTGGGTGGCCTGGACAGGAGGGTCGGGGCCTGAGGACATTCCTTGTCACTGCCAGGGACATGCCATGATGGCTCACCATGTCAGGAAGGGCCAGGCCCACTGGCAGCCAGTCTGGCGAGTGAGTCCTACTCAGGGTCCTCCAGGCCGAATCGCGCAGACCTCACTCCTCCCCGATAGTCAAGATAGTCAACACTTCAAACAGGGAATCGCTCAGGGCTACAGTGAGCTATGACCATGCCCCTCCCTGCAGCCTGGGCTGCACAGAGGGACCCCGTTTCTAAAACAAGAAAATACAAAAGATCGTTTTAAAAAGGTCTTCGAATGGGTCCATTCTGCATGGAGGCCAGCTCCACAGGGTGGGAGGCTTTTGTCTGCAGGACCTCCTGGGCCTCATGTCTCATGGGATCCAAATGCAAATGGAAACACACACGCACAGAGATACCAACTACTCAACATCCAGAAGCAATAGCAGGCACCTTCGTCCCTCAAGCTGCAGACTCCCGTGTCCAGCTTCGCTCCCCGCTGGAGCACCAGCTCTCAGGACCCCACTTTCTTCCCACCCCCACGGGCCTGGCCTCCCCATTCTCCTGCCACCCAGGGCCGCCCCTCCGCATGGAGCCTTCAGCTCAGGATGACCCGGGACTTGGGCCAGCCCCTCCCAGTCACAGGACCCACCCTCTTCAGGATGAAGTTTATAATCGTTTTTATTCCTGAGTCAGTCCTGGAGTTTTTGCCCATCCCACTCACTTTTCAAAATTGATTTTTTCCCCACAGACAAATGAGACTTTCTATTTTCCTCTAATTCATTAAAAGAAAGACATTATCGATCAGATGGTACAGAGAAGTCCCATATACACCCACCCCACACATGTAGCTTGCCCCAGTGCACATGCTGCCCACCAGATTGGCCCATGGGTTACACCAACACACCAGCATTATCCAGAGGCCTCGGGTTACATCGAGGCTCACTCGGGCAGTGCCTTCTGTGGGTTTGCACGAATGTTTAATGCCCTGTATCCGCCTTACAGTATCATACAGACTAGGGCCGCTGCCCTGAAATCCCCTCCAGCTAGTCATCCCTCCGCTCCCCACTAGCTCCTGACAGCCACCAATGTTTTTACTGTCTCCATAGTTTTACCTTTCTAGAAAGTCATCTAGTTGGAATCAGGCAGTATGCAGCCTTTTCCGATTGGCTTGTTTTACTTAGTAATCTGCATTTAAGGTTCTTCTGTGTCTTTTCATGGCTTGATAACTCATTTCTTTTTAGCTCTGAATAATAAATATTCCATTGTCTGAATGTACCCTAGTTTGTTTATTCATTCACCTCCTGAAAGGCATCTTGGTTGTTTCCAAGTTTTGGCAATGACAGATAAAACTGCTATAAACACCCGTGTGCAGATTTTGGGTGAACATAAGTTTTCAAATCATTTAGGTAAATACCAAGGAACATTGGTTGCTGCATCATATTCTAAGAGTGTTTAGTTTTGTAAGAAACGGCCCAACTGTCTTCCAAAGTGGCTGTACCATCTTGCGGTCCCACCAGCAATGAATGGGAGTTCCTGTGACTCCACAGCTCATTACATTTAAACATGTCTTTAAAGTCCGGAATTTAAGTTCAGAAGGTAGCATCATGCCCTCATGTTATGCAGCTCCTGCCTCCTAAAGCCGTGGTAACTTTAAAACATGGCTCTGGCCGGGCGCGGTGGTTCACGCCTGTAATCCCAGCACTTTGGGAGGCCGAGGTGGGCGGATCATGAGGTCAAGTGATCGAGACCATCCTGGCCAACATAGTGAAACCCCATCTTTACTAAACACACAAAAATTAGCTGGGTGTGGTGGCGCCCACCTGTGGTCCCAGCTTCTCAGTAAGCTGAGGCAGGAGAATTGCTTGAACCCGGGAGGCGGAGGTTGCAGTGAGCCAAGATCACGCCACTGCACTCCACCCTGGCGACGGAGCAAGACTCCGTCTCAAAAACAGAAACAAACACAAAAAACATGGCTCCAATGTTCTTTGACATTCCTCCCCTCAAGAACTGGTGTCTGTGTCCTTCCTTGGGCTCCTTGACTGCTTGGCCAATAGAATATGGCAGAAATGACACCTGCCAGTCCTGGGTGCAGGCCCTAAGGAACTGGTGGCTTCTGTTTCCTGTCTCTTGGGCCCCAGCTGCCATGCTGTAAGGAAGTCCAAGAGCTGGTGCAGGGGCCACGTGGCAGAGCCGACAGACCCGCCCTAGAGTGAGCAAGTGCACCTCCGGATCCTCCAGACTCCAGTCATTTCCAGCTTTCACATTGCCCTGGCTGCAGTGGGGAGCAGACGAGCTGTTTCCACTGTGCCTTTCTGAATTCCAGACCCGCAGGATCTGGGAACTTGACAGAATGCTTGCTGAATCAAGCCAACTTCGGGCAGGGGTGGGTGCATAGGGTTTGTGGGCTGAACCATGGCAGGAACAGGCAGAGACTGGGGACTGCAGAGGCCTGCACAGCAGGTGGCCCCGGGGACCCCTGGGGAAGGATTCATAAAGGGAAGCTGTAGACAGATTTCCCCATGACGGGGCTGGAGGGCTGGGCTGGGAGGCGCTTTCTTCTCTCTGGATGCTGTGGTCTGGGGAGGCAGCGCTTTCCTGCACCCTCAGGCCTGCCCAATTCTGAGAGCTTCTCACTTTCCTGGACCATTGTCCTCTGAGTCACAACTGCCTGTCCAGGGCAAGAAGCCAAGGGTGCCTTCACTGGGTCACCCACAAACATAAAATATGCACATACACGTACACAAAAGCGACACCGCATCCCAGCCCTCTGCTTGGAAATAGCCACCTTTGGCTTTTATATCTGATTCCAATGGTGCTGTTCTTTGCCAAGAACATTTAGGGGGACCTTATTTTGGGATTTCCTTCTGGAATTTCCTTGGCCAGCCAAAAAAGTATAATTCTATATCATATCTTGTTTGGGACCCAAATCTTCATGCTCAGGAGAAACCACATCATTTCTGAGACTGGCCCCAATCACTTGTAACTGAAGAAGCACGGTGCCCCTTGAAGGCAAGTTTGGCTGTTCGAGTCACACACAGGCTTCCATTGATGCATCTGCAGGCAACACTCACTCTCAGCCACCAGGAAAGGAAACCCCATCTGGCCCTGAGGGTCAATCAACCAAGGGGACTGATTGACGGCAGCTAAGAAGCCCAGAGACAGTGAGCATGTGGCTGTGCTGGGTGTGGGTGCCTGTCGGCTCGCGGGGGGGCTTTGTCACCCCTCAGCTGCCGCCAGGGCTGGGACACATAGATTTGGCTCACCCGAGCCAGTCCCTGGCATGGAAGTTGGGTTTCCTCCATTACTGTGGCCACTCAGGGTCTATCCCTGGAGCTGGGGTAGGGTTGCTCCTTCCCCATACATTCAGCAGTTACACAAAAACAACTGTGACCTGCAAGGCACAGAGAGCCACACGCTTGGCCGCAGCTGTCCTGCTGGCGTTTCAAAGCCCGCATTTCGACAGATCTGCGTGCACACCAAGAGCCTTCTGCCCACTCAGGGAGCCTCCCCCGGGCTCTGTGCCCCAGCCCCTTCCCGCCCTGTAACAGTGTCCCTGAGGCACTGGGAGGGGAGCAGGTGCAGTGATGAGCGAGGAGGAGACAGTATTTCTGGGACGGGAACTGGTGCATCGGTGGTCACAGGCTCCCTGGAGCCGCCATCCCACAAGGATGGGGGTCACCATGCAGGCTGCTTGCCAGCCATATCCACACCTAACGCACACGGCGGTCTGAACTGAGGGGTCTGCACATGCGACAGTGAATGTGGTCTCAGAGATCTCGGGCTCTCCTGCTGTCAGGGCCCTGGCTGGGAACTTCAGTGTCCTGGAGCCTGCCATGCCGAGGACATCCTCGGTCCCTGCTACCAGGGCAACCCCTGGCCCACCCTGTGGCTGTGCAATGTGCTCTGTTATAAGGCATGAGATCTCTTTCAGCTCTGCTGTTACACTGTGGATGGAGCCTCTTACTTCCTGCCAATTCCTGTGCAGGGCCTGGCCACTGCAGCTGTGTGTGTGTCTGTAGCTGTGTTGTCTCCATGTGTTTGTGCGTGTATCTGTGTGTGTGTCTGTATCTGTGTGTGTATCTGTGTGTGTCTGTGCGTATATCTGTGTTTGTATATCTGTATATGTGTATCTGCGTGTGTGTCTGTGCATGTATCTGTGTGTGTGTCTGTATGTGTCTATGTATCTGTGTATCTCTGTGTCTGCGTATCTGTGTGTCTGTGTATCTCTGTGTGTAGATCTCTGTATCTGTGTGTATCTGTGCATGTGTGTATCTGTGTGTCTGTATCTGTGTGCCTGTGTATATCTGTGTCTGTGTATCTCTGTGTGTGTCCGTGTGTGTATCTGTGTGTGTCTCTGTATCTCTGTATCTGTATGTATCTCTGTATCTGTATCTGTGTGTCTGTACCTGTGTCTGTGTATCTGTGTCTGAGTATCTGTATATATTTGTGTGTGTCTGTGTATCTGTGTCTGTGTGTATATCTGTGTATCTGTGTGTATCTCTGTGCCTGTGTGTGTGTCTCTGTGTATCTGTGCATGTGTCTGTGTGTATCTGTGTATGTGTGTCTGTGTATCTGCATGTGTCCTTGTGTGTCATCTGTGTATCTGTGTCCTGTATCTGTGTGTCTGTGTATTGCTGTGTCTCTGTGTGTGTCTCTGTGTATGTGTATCTGTGTATCTGTGTCTGTGTATATCGTGTCTATCTCTGTATCTGTGTGTGTGTCTGTGTGTATCTGTGTGTGTCTGTGTATCTGTGTGTGTCTGTGTATCTCGTGTGTGTGTCTGTGCTGCAGGAGGGGCTGTCGGCAAGTGTAACCTTGGCGTCCTAGCTGGAGGGCCTCTCAGTGCCCGCTGGGAGAGCTCTGAAGGGAACAGAATGTTCACTGAGCATTTCCCCGTTCTTGTTCATAGGGAAAAGCCTGTCCGCAGTCCTGGGCCGCCTCTTTAGAGGTAAAGCTGGAAACTATCCCCGCGGAGAGCGCTGTCGGGGACGCCGGGGCGGCGTGGCCTTAGACGGAGCTGCTCTCAGCCCGCGCCGCCGGGGGCTGGGGAGCTGAGGGGCCGGGGGTGCGGAGCGGGCGAGCTGTGGGCGGGGCCATGTGGGCAGCTTTGTGGGCGTGGCCGGGAGGGGCGTGCTACGGGCGTGGCCGCACTGTGGGCGGGGCCGAGTGGGGAGTGCTGTGGGCGGGGCCGGGCCGGGGGCGTGCCTGGGTGGGGGACCCGCTGCGGGAGCGCCGAGCTCCCTCTGAGTTCTTACTTCGAAGGCTGTGCTCCGCTCACCATCCAGAGCGGAGGTGCGGACCTTAAACTCACTCCTGGAGAAAGATCTGCAAGTGCGCAGGTAAAGTGCACGTGCTCCGCGGTCGGGAGGAAGGAGGCGAGGAGCCAGACTAGCCTGGGAACAGGCAGGGAGGGTTTACACAGCCCCGGCTGAGTCGCGGCTTAGGAAGCAAGGCAAGTTCCCCTAAAGGTTAGTGTGCACAGACGGGTGCGACGGAGCCGACCTAGCGCGGCTGAGTCCGCCTGGGCCTGCAGCAGCTGCCCCCTGAGCACCCCCTCCGGCTCTCTGCCAGGCGACCCAGGAAAAAGTCGCCCCCTGGTGGGCCATGAGGTCATGGGTGGGGGGAGTTTGGAAAGGTTCAGACAGCAAATGTTCCACTTGAACTCCAGGGCAGCATCTGGCACTGCGGGGCCTCCTAGCCATGAGCCGTGGTCAGGCGTTTCCTTAGAATGGAATGCACTGGAGTGAAAACACTAAATCCCTCAAAGCTGCTTCTCTTTACTGTGGTCACACACAGTGAAATCAATGGGCATTAGTGCAGCTAGCTCTTTTCAAGGACACAATGTTAAGCACAGGAAGCCTGGTATGTGGACGCTCTGGGTTTGCAGAACCAGGCAGGGGCCAGGGGCTCAGGACAAGTGCCCGGTGCTCCCTTCCCATTGGGCGAATCAGAGCCTGGGGCCCGGCGGTGAAGCTCCCCAGGTGACTCTAATGTGCAGTGCACTTTGAGGAGCACTACTTAGACCAATGTGACAGTCTACAATGTGTAGATTTAGGGTGAGTGATTCTGAGGAAAAGAAACCCGAGGCTGTTAGCAGTTGTGGGCAGCTGCTGTCTACCTAAACCAGCTGCGGTTTGCTTGCTTGGTGAGCCTGAGCTTCGCGGGGCGGGCATGGCATCTGCCATCCAGGACCCTGGGACGGGGCCTGCCAGGGCAAGGAGCTGAGCATTGAACGCATCTGGGGATAACTATCTCTCATAGAAGAACTAATGAGGATTGAACCTGAACACAGAGATGAAAGAGCTGAGTAGACTGCAAAGAATTGCACAAAAACTGCTTGTTCTGCAAATTTAGTTTACAACAATTTGAGTGCAGTTCACATTGGTGTAATGTGATTTAGGATCATAAGTCCCTAAAGTTTCATTACACTGATGAAAAGCAAATGCCTATACTGTTCTTGTTTTATGAGAAGAACGCAACCTCCAGCCCCTGGAGCAGCTGAGATCTGAGGATATCAGGAATACCAGGAATGGGGAGGTCCTGGCTGTCCCTGGAAACCCAGCGGCATGACACCTGTGTCACCTGGGTCCCCGTTTCTATGCTGGAGTGGCAGGCAGCAAGGAAATATTTTGAGTTTGAGGCCATATGCATTTTGGAAAGATCACTGTGGCTGGGGGGTTGGGAGCAGCTGGGGAGTTGAAGAAAGCCACTGCCAAGGCCTTCCCACTGAGTGTGGTTGCCAGGCCGGGGCAGGGAAGCACTGGTGAGCTGCAGGGGGGATTCCCAGTTGGTGATGGGTGATGGATGGTGGGATCAGTGGGCCCCTGGGAAAGGCCAGGTGTGGCTTCAGCACTCTGGGAGTTTTGGGTACCTTTATGTCTAGGGACACAAAGAGGTAGATGGACACAGTGGTTTGAGCTGCAGAAGAGAGTTGGGCGGCCACCTGTCCACAGGTGAGGATGAGGTTTCTTGGGAGAGTAGAGAGAAAGGGGAGGCTTTTAACTGTTAGTAGTGGAAAGATGGCTTGCAATGGAGATAAAGGCTACCACAGAGGGGAGGAAAGCCCAGAGCCTGGAGGCCAGGGGGCAGGATCTGGGGCAGGGGCTGACCCAGTGTGGCATTCTCCATATGCTGGAAATGTGAGAAGAGACTCCACAAGCCGGAGCTCCCTCAGCTCCTTGGGGCCGCTGGCTCTACCAGCTCACTCGCTGGTTGTTGGGTTTCCGCAGTTTCCATTTGGGGTTCTGTCACTGACCTGCAGGCAGCCGGCTTGTCGCGGGCTGTGGCTCTTGCGCCGGCCACCCGCGGGACCCGCGCAGTTTCGGCGGAGCGCGGCGGGGTCCGTGTGGGTCCGACCCGTGGGGAGGTGTGGCTGGCGCGCCTGTGCTCTCGGCCCGGCCACCCACTGAGGCGCCAGGAGGCGCATTCCGCAGGGCGGCGGGGAGCAGGTCCGGTGTTTCGAGGAGCATGGGACACAGTTTCCAAGCTGGCCTGCAGGATGGGCGAAGGGACACCGAACTACAGCGGCACAGCGCCGGGCCAAACTGCCCGCAGCTGGGGTAGCAGAGGAGGCTTGCGGCAGCGGCGCCGCGGGGAGGGGTCCTGGCCCCGGGCTGGGAGCGGGGCTGGGCGGCCGCGTGCCCGGCTGCGCGTTTGCTGGCGCTGCTCGTTTCTCCCCGAGAGGTGCGCCTGGCCTGCCGCGGGGCCGCCAGTCCCGGGGGGCCCTGCGAACGCGGCCCTCGGCAGAGCCCACCCGCGGCCTCCCGAGGCCCTCTCCCGGGCCCCGCCCCTCCTCCCAGGCTGGAAGGAGGCGTACTCTTTCAAACAAGAACAGAAAACGGATGGAAAGCCACGATGTTTGGCTTAACGTTCTAGAAGCTTTTAACCAAGTTCACATGTTGAAAAATCCACCTGAAGGGATATACGGTCACACTCGCGGTCTCGGTCCAGGCCCGAAGTGGGGTGGGGGCACCGCACCCTACACTGCCCTCAGCGGGACACCCCTGTCTCAGCCCAGGACCGGCTGAGGAGGAGGCTGACCCCTGGACGGGCTTCTTCAGGCCTTCTTGGCCGCAGGGCTTCTCCTGCCCCCTCCCTGGGATCCGGGAACTAGAAGGAATGCTTCAAATGCAACGGTCACAGCATCGCTCCTGCGGACACCGCCAGGCTCCCGAGACACGGCTACGCCTCCGGCTCACAGTCACGCCCGACACAGACAGACCACCTCCAACGAAAAGCCACGCCCCCGGAGACACGACCACACCTCGGAGACAGGCCATGCCCCCGGAGACACTACCAAGCCCCAGAGACACGACCACGCCCCAGGAGACACAACCACGCCCCGGAGACAAGCCATGCCCCCAGAGACACGGCCACGCCTTGGAGACAAGCCACGCCCCCGAGACCAGCCACCTCCCGGAGACACGACCACGCCCCGGAGACAAGCTACGCCCCCGGAGACACATTGACGCCTTTGCAGACGCAGCCAGGCCCCCGGAGAGAAGGGCCGTGCTCCGAGAGACACAGCCATGCCCTGTGGACCCAGCCAGGCCCCTGCAAGCATAGCCAGGGGCGGTTTCTCGCTCAGAGGGACGCCTTGGGGCTGAGCAGCGCATTAGGGACGATTTGGGGCCAAGCAGCGCTTTGTGGGGAGGGGAGCGTTCAGTGACGGGTGTTTTCTCTGGATGTTAGACACTGTCCACCAGAGGGGAGTTGGCTGCAGAGGGACTGCCTTTCAACAGCCAAATTTTCACCTCAGCGCCTAAACCTGGTGCTTCTCGTTCCTTGCCGGTATTATGTCAGATATTTAAAGAACTCGAAGAACAATGTTCTTTTTTTTTTTTTTTTGAGACAGTTTCGTTCTTGTTGTCCAGGCTGGAGTGCAATGGCGCCATCTCGGCTCACCGTCACCTCCACCTCCCTGGTTCAAGCGGTTCTCCTGCCTCAGCCTCCCGAGTAGCTGGGATTACAGGCACGCGCCACCACGCCCGGCTAATTTTTGTATTTTTAGTAGAGACGGGGTTTCTCCATGTTGGTCAGCCTGGTCACGAACTCCTGACCTCAAGTGATCCGTCCGCCTTGGTCTTTCAAATTGCTGGGATTACAGGTGTGAGCCACCGCGCCCGGCCACAATGTTCTTAAGATTTACGAAGAAGCTGTTTTCCACACGCTGTTGATCGCCGCCACTGTGAAGTCGGCGTGCGGCGCCTGCTGCCGGCTGTCGTTTCACAGGGGCGGGGTGGGAGGGCCGCGGTCCCCCGGGCGCACCCGGGCGGGGAGTGCGCAGGGCGGCCTGGCTGGGCCACTCCTGCCCTCCCGCCGGGCGCCAACCGGGGATCCGCCAGCTCGAGCTCTGCTCCGAGTCCCGCAGACCCACCATGCCCGGAGCACTCAGCCGTGCGGCCACGGGCGTGCCAGTACCAGCGGGAAAGGCCGGGGCTGCCTGGACCTGGGCAGGAGGCGGTGACCCGGCCTAGCTTGAGCGCCGGCAGCACCGCTCTCTTGGCTGCTGCTCATTCACACCCGCAGGCCTGGAGCCTTTTCTTGGGCCGAGCAGGTGACCCAGGCTCCTGTACGCAGTGGAGAAGGGCCCAGGCGTGGAACGCCGTCCCCTTCCCGGCAGGGCAGGTGTCAGGACCACGCCCGGCGCCGCGCCCTGGCCTCTGTCGGTCCTGGCACCGGTGCCGTCGCCCCACTCCGCCCTGGGCACGGCTGCGGGAGGCGGGGCTCGGGCAGGCTTGGTGAGCGTCTGGCGCGCTCTGAAGGCCACGGCACGGCGGGGCGTTGAGGGCCTCGGAGAGAACGGTGCTGGCAGCAGGGGCGGCAGGAGGGGCCCGGGCCCACCCCCACCTCGCAGGGCCCGAGTTCGGGGGCACGGTTGCAGGCAGAAAGAGCGCAGAGCCGGAGAGAGGGCCGGCAGTAGCCCACACGAACGATTTGGGGTTGAGTGTGAGGACTGGAAGGTTCCACCGACTCTGAACCATCTATTTTTTTTTTCTAAAAATAAGCCACAACTATCTATTTTTTCTTTCTAAAATTTGGTGACTTCGGTGTGAGTCTTGCTTGGAAGGAGGGTCCTGGGCGCCATCGCGGGGAGGACCTGGAGGGGTGGGTTGGGGCTGTGGCATACTCCGCCCTGTGCCGCCGGCTTACAGCTCCCCTACCCCTCTCCCGCCAGCTGCAGGTGTCCCTACGGGCGGGAGCTCTGCCCAGGGTGGCCCTGCCCTAGGCAAGTCAAGCGCATGGGGCCCAATAAAGCAAAGCCAGGCTGAAGCTGTGGTTCCCGTGAGAGTGCAGCCACGGGCTGGGGTGAAGGGAGGGTCACCCCAGAGGACGGGCTGTGTGCTAGTGTGTTGGGGTCCCCCAGAGGTAGGCTGTGTGCTAGGGTGTTGGGGTCCCCTAGGAGACAGGCTGTGTGCTAGGGTGTTGGGGTCCCCTAAGGGACAGGCTGTGGGATTGGAGTGCTCCATCATCTGCATGAGAGGCGATGACCAGGTGGGACTAGGAGGAGTTAGGATGTGTTTGGAAGAACTGGATGAGGAATGTGTGAGAAAGAGGGAGAGTTCTGGGTGAGCAGAGGCCTCTGTCTCCCAGGGAAGAGGCAGGAAGTGAGGTGGAACGAGAGCCCCTACTCAACCCCGGACAACCACTAACCTGTTCCCCATTGATATAACTTTGCCGTTTCAAGAATGTTGTAGTCATGGAATCAGAGTAAATAGTCTGTTGGAACTTGCTTTTTTTCACTGAGGATTTTCACTCTGGATTCCTCTACGTTGCTGTGTATGAATTGTCTGTTCCTTTTGATTGTGGCGTGGTCTTCCCGGCATGCATGC
Source organism: Homo sapiens (assembly GCF_000001405.40). Taxonomy (NCBI): domain Eukaryota; kingdom Metazoa; phylum Chordata; class Mammalia; order Primates; family Hominidae; genus Homo; species Homo sapiens. Next base: position 28,093,730 of record NC_000015.10, on the reverse strand, counting down.
ACCGCAGCCTATTTCACACTCCCCTACGGACAGACGGCTGCGTGGCTTCCAATTTTTCATATAGCTTCTATGACCATTTGCGTGTAGGGTTTTGTGTGAATGAAAGTTTCATTTCTCTGGGATTAATGTCCAGGAGTGCAATTGTTGGCTGGTAGTTGCAATTTTAGTTTTTTTTTAAAAACTGTCAAACTGCTTTCCAGAGTGGCTGTACAATTTTACATTCCCATTGGTGATGCAGGAGTGAACCACCCTCTCGAGTCCTAGGCAGCTGGCGGTGTTGTCTCTGTTTTCTTTTTTCTTTCTTTCTTTTTTTTTTTTTGAGACGGTGTTTTGCTCTTGTCGCCCAGGCTGGAGTGCAGTGGCTCACTGCAACTTCCACCTCCTGGTTTCAAGTGATTCTCCTGCCTCAGTCTCCTCGGTAGCTGGGATTACAGGCGCCCGCCACCACACCTGGCTAATTTTTGTATTTTTAGTAGAGGCGAGGTTACACCATGTTGGTCAGGCTGGTTTCGAACTCCTGACCTCAGGTGATCTGCCTGCCTCGGCTTCCAGGTGTGAGCCACTGCGCCTGGCCTGTTTTCTATCTCAGCCTTTCTGATAGGTGTGCAGTGATAGCTCATAGTTTTAATTTGCATTTCCCTAATGGCTCACGATCTTGAATGTCTTCTCACGTGCTTAGTTGCCGTGTGCATATCCTCCTTAGTGAAATCTTTGCCCATTTTACTTTTTTTTTTGTTTACTTTTGAATTTTGAAAATTGTTTAGGAGTGGTGAGAGGGAACATTCTTGCCTTGTCTTCCTGAGAAAGCTTCAGGTTTCTCACCATTAGGCGTAATGTTAGCTCTATGTCTTTTGCAGATGTTCTTTAATAGGTCTGAGGAAGTTCCTCTCTATTCCTAGTTTTCTTAGAGTTTTTGTTTTATCATGCATAGGTGTTGGATTTTGTTAAATGCTTTTTCTGCATCAATTGATATCACCATGTGATTTTTCTTCTTTAGCTTTTAATATGGTAGATTACATTGCTTGATATTTTTCACAGTTCTATTGAGATTATAATTAAATACCATATAATTCACCCATTTAAAGTGTACAAATTCATACCTGTAATCCCAGGACTTTGGGAGGCTAAGGTGAGAGGATCACTTGATCCCAGGAGTTTGAGACCAGACTGGGCACCATAGTAAGACCCCATCTCTACTAAAAATAAAAAATTAGCTGAGTGTGGTGGTGTGTGCCTGTGGTCCCAGCTACTTGGGGGCTGAGGTGGGAGGATCACTGAGCCTGGGAGGACAAGACTGCAGTGAGGCGTGATTGCACCACTGCACTCCAGCCTGGTTTACAGAGAGAGACCCTGTTTCAAAAAAAATGTACAATTTAATGTTTTTTTTCAGTATATTCACTGAGTTGTGTGACCATCACCATGATCAATTTTAGAGCATTTTTATTAACCCAAGTGAAACTCCACATTCATTAGCATTTGTTCTTCATTTCCCTCCAACCCTATCCCCTCCCCTAGCCATAAGCAGCAACTAATTTATTTTATTTTATTTCCCTATGGATTTACCTGTTCTGAAGATTTTATATATACATGGAGTCAGGCAATATGTGGCCTTTTGTGACTAGCTTCTTTCACTGAGCATGTTTCCAAAGGTTATTCATGTTTTAGCATGTGTCAGACACCATTCATTTTTATTGTCAAATAATCCACTGTGTGTATATACCACATTTTATTTATTTAGTAATGGACATTTGGGTTGTTTGTACTTTTGTTTTTTTGAGATGGAGTCTTGCTCTGTCACCCAGACTGGAATGCAGTGGCACGATCTCAGCTCACTCCAACCTCCGCCTCCTGGATTTAAATGATTCTCCTGCTTCAGCCTCCCAAGTAGCTGGGGTTACAGGTGCCCATCACCATGCCTGGCTAATTTCTGTATTTTTAGTAGAGACGAGGTTTCGCCGTGTTGGCCAGGCTGGTCTCAAACTCCTGACCTCAAGTGATCCTCCTGCCTCAGCCTCCCAAAGTGCTGGGATTACAGATGTGAGCCACCGTGCAGGGCCGGGTGCTTTCCACTTTTAGGGTATTATGACTAATGATCCTATTAATGTTATTGTACACATTTTTGTGTGGACATATGTTTTCATTTCTCATGGGCATATTCCTACAAGTGGAATTGCTAGGTCATATGGTAGCTCCATGTTCAACATTGATTGATTTTTGAACATTGAACCAGCCTTGCATTCCTGGAACAAACCCTACTTAGTTATGTGTGTAGCTCTTTTGATATATTACTGAATTCCCTTTGCTAATATTTTGTTAAAGATTTTTGCACCATATTCATAAGAGATATTGGCCTGTAGTATTTTTTCTTTGTACTGTATCTGATTTTGGTATCAGGGTAATATTGTCTTCATAAAACTCACTGATGAGGTATACCTCATTTTCTATTTTCTGGAAGAGATTGTATAGAATTGGTGTTAAATGTTTGGTAGAATTCTCTAGTGAAACCATCTGACCCTAGAGATTTCTTCTGTAAAAATTCAAATTTAATTTACTTAATAGAAATTACAGAGCTATTGACATTACCCATTTTATATTGGGTGAGTTATAGTAATTTGTGCTTTTTGAGGAATCACTAAGTTTTCCAAGTTATGTATGTAAAGTTGTAAAATGGCAATCTGATATACCACTATTATTCTTTGATGTCTTCAGGGTCTGTAATGGTATTTCCTGTTTCACTCCTGACATTAATAACTGTCATTCTGTTTTTTTTCTTTGCCAGTCTTGCTAGAGGATTGTTAATTCCATTGATATTTTCAAAGAAGTAGCTCTTGGTTTCATTGATTTTTTTCTACTGTTTTTGTTGATTTGTTTTCTATTTCACTGATTTTTAATCTCAGCTTCATTATTTCTCATTTCTGCTTGCTTTGGGTTTATTTTCCTCTTCTTTTTCTAGGTTCTTGAGATGAGAGCTTATATTATTTTTGAGACTTGCTCTCCTTTTGATACCAGCATTTATGCTGTAAATTTCCTCCCATCACTGATTTAGCTGTGTTCTGTCAATTTTGATATGTTATATTTTCACTTTCATTCAGTTCAATATAATTCTGATTTCCCTTGAGACTTTCTTTTTGAATCCTGGATTATTTGGAAGTATGTTTAATTTCTAAGTGTGCAGATTTTCCTCCTCTCTTTTTGTTACTTATTTCTGATTCGATTGCATTGTGGCTACAGAATACTCTGTGTGATTTCAATTCTTTTAAATTTGTTGAGGTTTGGTTTATGGTCCAAAGTGTAGTCTATCTTGGTGTATGTTCTGTAGGCACTTTGTAAGAATATTCTGCTGTTGTTGGATGGAGTGTTCCATAAATATTGATTATATTCTATTGGTTGATGGTGTTGTTCAGTTCTTCTATAACTGCACTGATTTTCTGTCTAGTTCTATTAATTGCTGAGAGATAAATGTTTAAGTCTCTAACTATAAAACTATACTATAAATGTGTCTTTCTCCTTTTAGTTCTATTAGTTTTTGTGTTAGATATTTTGCAGCTCTGTTGTTTTGTGCATATGTGTTTAGGATTTCTATGTCTTCTTGGTAAAGTGACCTTTTTATCACTACAAGATGTCTCTCTCTGTGCCTGGTAATTTTCTTTGCCTTGAAGTTTAGCATATATTACGTGAATATAACCGCTCCTACTTTCTTTGGATTGATGCTTGAATGATATATCTTTTTCCATCCTTTTACTTGCACCCTACCTATATTGTTATTTAATTTTATTTTTCAACTTTTATTTTAGATTTGGGGCTACATGTGCAGGTTGTTACAAAGGCATGTTGTGTGACACTGAGGTTTGGTGTACCACTGAACCTGTCACCCAGGTAGTGAGCACAGTCCTCAATAAGTAGTTTTTCAAGCCTTGACCTCCACCCTCTTTCCCTGCTCCAGTAGTCCCCAGTGTCTGTTGTTCCCATCTTTATGTCCATGTGAACCCATATACTGTTATTTTAGAAGTAAATTTCTTATAGACCTTGCATAGTTGAGTCATATTTTTAAATTCACTCTGCCAATCCGTCTTTTAGTTGATGTATTCAGACCATTTACATGTAATGCATTTTTTTCTGATATGTTAGGGCTATGGGTAAATTGAACATTTTTTTTAGAATTCCATTTTGATTTGTTGTTGCGGGAAGTCAGGGACCCCGAATGGAGGGACCAGCTGAAGCCATGGTAGAAGAACATAAATTGTGAAGATTTCATGGACATTTATTAGTTCCCCAAATTAATACTTTTATAATTTCTTACACCTGTCTTTACTGCAATCTCTTTACATAAATTGTGAAGATTTCATGGACACTTATCACTTCCCCAGTCAATACCCTTGTGATTTCCTATGCCTGTCTTTAATCTCTTAATCTCATCATCTTTGTAAGCTGAGGATGAATGTCACCTCAGGACCCTGTGATGATTGCGTTAACTGCCCAAATTGTTTAAACAATATGAAATCTGGGCACCTTGAAAAAAGAACAGGATAACAGCAATGTTCAGGGAGCAAAGGAGATAACCTTAAAGTCTGGTGGCCTGTGGGCCGGGAGGAACAGAGCCATATTTCTCTTCTTTCAAAAGCAAATAGGAGAAATATCGCTGAATTCTTTTTCTCAGCAAGGAACATCCCTGAGAAAGAGAATGTGTCCCTAAGGGGAGGCCTCTGGAATGGCCACTTTGGGGACGTCTGTCTTTTACGGTTGTCGATGAGGGATGAAATAAGCCCTGGTCTCCCGTAGTGCTCCCAGGCTTATTAGGATGAGGAAATTCCCACCTAATAAATTTTGGTCAGACCGATTGTCTGCTCTCAAACCCTGTCTCCTGATTAAGATGTCATCAAAGACAACATGTGCCTGAAACTTCATTAGCAATTTTAATTTTGCCCTGGTCCTGTGATCTCGCCCTGCCTCCATTTCCCTTGTGATATTTTATTACCTTGTGAAGCATGTGATCTCTGTGACCCACACCCTATTCATGTACTCCCTCCCCTTTTGAAAATCACTAATAAAAACTTGCTGGTTTTACGGCTCAGGGGGCATCACGGAACCTACCGACATGTGATGTCTCCCCTGGATGCCCAGCTTTAAAATTTCTCTCTTTTGTACTATTTCCCTTTATTTCTCAGACCAGCCGACACTTAGGGAAAATAGAAAAGAACCTACATGAAATATCGGGGGTGAATTTCCCCCGATAATTTATCCATAATGTTTCTTGGTGTATCTCTTTTAAAGTCATTGTTCTAGGTATTAAAGTATATATACATGTTACTTGTCACAGTCTACTGATGCCATCATTTTATCAGTTTGAGTAAAATCAAGAAAACGTACCTCCTTTTACATCCTTTACCTCTCTCATTTGTTATAGAATTGTCTTGATGATTCCCTCTGCATACATTAATAAACACATCAAGGAGTGTTAAAATTTTTGCTTCAAACATTCAACAGAATTTAGGAAAATCAAGAGGAGAGGGAAAACATATTTACCTACGTATAAATGTTATTCAATAGCATGCTATCAACAGTAGATGACAGAATTATTTCCATTAAGCACTTGCATTCTCTGAATGAAAACAGCACATGATGCATCTGTTAAGAATCTTGCTTGGACTTACCTTTTTTTTTTTCCTTTGAGATGCAGGTTCGCTTTCGCTGCCCAGGCTGGAGTGCAATGGTGCAGTCTCAGCTCACTGCAACCTCTGCCTTCTGGGTTCAAATGATTATCCTGCCTCAGCCTCCCAAGTAGCTAGGATTACAGGTGTCTGCCACCACGCCTGGCTATTTTTTGTATTTTCAATAGAGATGGGGTTTCACTATGTTGGCTAGGCTGGTGGCAAACTCCTGACCTCAGGTGATCCACCCACCTCGGCCTCCCAAAGTGCTGGGATTACAGGTTGTGAGCCACCGTGCCCAGCCTGGACTTACTTTTTATTTTATTATTATTTTTTGAGATAGGGTCTCACTCTGTCACCCAGGCTTGAGTGCAGTGGCACAATCCTGACTCACTGAAGCCTCGACTTTCCTGGCTCAGGTGATTCTCCTACCTCAGCCTCCTGAGTAGCTGGGACTATAGGCATGCACCACCATGCCTGGCTAAGTTTTTGTGTTTTTAATAGAGATGGGATTTTGCCATGTTGCCCAGGCTGGTCTCAAACTCCTGGGCTCAATGAATCTGCCTGCCTTGGCTTCCCAGAGTGCCAGGATTATAGGCGTGAACCACCATGCCTCTCCTTACCTATATTCTTTTACCTTCCTGATGTTCTAAAATGTATTCTTTCATTTTCCCTTTCTATTTAGAGAACTTCCTGTAGCCATTCTTTCAGGGTAGGTCTGCTGGCAATAAATTTTTAGTTTTCTTTGAAAACATCTTGATTTTTCTTTCACTGGATATAGGCTTCTGGCTTGACTGTTCCTTCCTCTCATTACTTGGAAAATGTTATGTCATTTTCTTCTGGCCACCATGGTTTCTGTCATCTGAATTGTTTTTTCCCTGTAGGGACATTTTAATTTCTCTCTTTAAGACTTTTTCTTTGCTTTTAATTTTTAAAATTTTGCCCACTATATATGTTGGTGTGGATTTCTTTGGGATTATCTTGTTTGGGGTTTGCTCAGCTTCTCAAATCTGTAGGTTTATGTCTTTTGCCACATTTAGGAAGTTTTCAGCCATGAGATCGTCAAATACTTTTTAAGCTACATACTCTTCATCATCTTCTTCTGGCATTTGGATTATATGAAAGTTAGGTCTTTTGTTATGGTCCCATAGGTCTCTGAGGTTCTGATAAATTGTTTTAGACTATATTTCTCTATTGTTCAGGTTGAGTAATTTCTATTGTTCTATCTTCCACTTATTGATTCTTTTCTCTGTCCCCTCCATTTTACTGTTGAGTTCATTTTTGCATTTTGAATTTTGCTATTGTGTTTTCAGTTTCATTTGAGTCTTATTTGCTGAGACTTTCTGTGTTTCATTTGTTTCAAATGTGTTTATTTCTCTTTGAAACATTTTTATTTTGGCTGATTTAAAAATATTTTTTCAGATAATTCTAACATCTCCATCATCTTGGTGTCATCATCTATTTTCTTTCAAGTTGAGATTTTCCTGGTTATCACTATGACAGGTGGTTTTGAGTGAAACCTGCATATTTTGAGTATTGCTTTATAAGACTCTAATCACCACTTAAACCTTCTGTTTAGGTGCCTTCCTTTGACACCACGCCAGCAGAAGGGCCTGACACTGTCTCATTGCTGCCAGATAGGGTTAGAAGTTCAGGTTCCCCAAGATGGGGAAGGATTCCACCTTATTGCTGGGTGGTTGTGGGACCTCTGCCTCTCGCTAGGACTCTGCTGATATCACCCTGGCTGAGTGGGGTGGGACACCTCATTACTGCTCATTACTGACCTCTAGTGACACCACTGGGGAGTGGCCTCATTACTGCTGAGCAGAAGTGAATGCCCTGACTCTCCATTTGGCCTCCTCTGACACCCTGTCAGCAAGGAAGGAGAGGGGTCCCTTTTCTGCAGGGCAGGGATGAAGTCCAGCCTCCTCACATGGTGGTCCCCACTTAAGCCATTGGGGGAGGAGTGTGTAGGGAGGAGGTGGAACTCCCTAGCACTCAGCAACGGTGAATGTCCAAACTCCCTACTCAGCCTTTTGCGAAGCATCCCTGTGAGGACTGGGGGCCAGGCACTGTGTAATAGCCTTTGGAGGGTGCCCACTCAGCCTTTGCTCTCCTGAGTGGATGTGGGTCTGCAGTATTAGGCTGCAGTAGAACAGATATTGTCTAAAAGCTTTCTGTCTTGCTAGGCTACTCATTTCCTGGTCCTTTGGCTGGGGGCAGGCTTCTTTGGGGCTTTTTGTTCTAAACATCAGGTTTTTAGTTGTACTTAGCAGGAAGAACAGGGAAAAGTAGGTCTTCTCTGTCTTCCTGAAGGCACCAGTCCTGAGCTGTATATTTTTAGTGTTGGCAGATAGGACAGTATGTTTGCATGCCAGCTTGTGAGGTTTGGGATGGGGAGGAATGCAACAGTGCAGTCTGGGCGGGGGTGGGAGCAGGTGGGCTCCACTGTACCTGGCAGGGCTGTAGACAAGTGTGTCCTTGAGAGGCTGGGCTTTTATTCTCATTGCTTCTAGTTTTGCCAGCACAGCCATTCTGGGACGTTTTGCTCTTGGAGACATTCCTCACTCTTGCCCTACTGTGTTCTGAATCCCAGTGTCTGACTCCAGCTTGGGCTCTGGCTTGAGTTCAGCCAATAGGAGACTCTTCTAGAAGATTAGGGGAGGGAGGATGCCCCACTCTTCTTTGGGGCATCTCTTCTGGGGCTCCAGCTCCTTCTAGAAGTTCTCAGAGTAGCTTCTATTTCCTTCTTGGACCCCGGCTGATTCAGGCAGTGAAGGGAGCAAGAGGCAGAGGCAGCAGCTGGGAGTGAAAGGGGGAAGGGTGTGTGGGGTTTAAGTGGGGAGTGAAGGAGAGCAGGCGCGTACACTGTCTGGGGAGGTGCGGTGGGATTGCTGGGCAGTACTGGGGCCCACCTGGGGTTCCTAATATGATGTCATCTGCAGGCATAGGCAGCAAGGAAGGTTTTCTACAGCCATGTTCAGCTGCTGAGCAGGGTTGGGATTTGGCCACAGGTGGCAGACTCTAGGGGCCCATGGTCCCCACCTCCTGGTGTTCACACCCTGGTTTAGTCCCCTCCCTTTGAGTGTAGGCAGGCAGGACCCAGGACTGACCTCCAGCTGACAGAATACAGCAAAGTGGTGGATGTCCCCCTGACACGTAATAGCCTATAAAACTCTGCCTCACTGCTGCTCGCTCTCCAGATGCTCCTTGTTGCCTGAAAAGGCAAGCCAACATACTGGAGGAGCCCACATGGTGAGGATGCAGGAGCCTGTTGGGGTGAAGGGGGCCTCTGAGGGGGCCTCCTGTAACAAAACACCATAAACTTCTTGCTGGCCCACAGCCAGCAAGAAGCTGCAGCCCTGAGTCATGCAGCCACGAGGACATGGATCCTGTCTGCACTGAGTGACCTTGGCAGCAGATTTTTCCCCAGTTGAGCTTCCAGATGAGATCACAGCCCAGTGGCCCCTTGAGATCCCAAGCAGACAACCCAGTTGAGCCACCCTGGCCTTGACCCACAGAAACTCTGAGATTATACACGTGTGTGCTTTTTAACAGGTACACTTTGTGGTGATTTGTTTTGCAGCAATAAAAAACTCGTTTATCAGGTAAGTTTGAGAGAATGAGTTGGGGCAAGTAAGAGGAGGGTGTTTGCTGGACCAGAGAGGCTCCACTGGGAAAGAGGGGAGTGAGGTCTTGGAGAAGGGACATGGCCTGAAAGAGAATGGACATTTGTTGCACTAAGGGTGGGTGGTATGTTCCTGTGTGAGTCCATTCATGCTGCTGTAACAAAACATCATAAACTGATGACTTATGCCACAAACATAATTTCTCACAGTTTGGGAGGCTGTGAAGTCTCAGATCACAGCACCAACAGATTCCGTGTCTGGGGAGGCCCACCTCCTGGTTCACAGACAGCATCTTCTCGCCGTGTCCACACATGGTGGAGAGAGGAGCTGAGCTCTCCCACGACTCTCAGAAGGGTCTGGAGCTGATTCATGAGAGCTCTACCCTCAGGGCCTCTCCAAATCCCAGTCACCTCCCTGAGACCCCACCTCTGAATACCATCCCATTACAGGGCAGGGTTTCAGCCTCTGAGTTTGTTGGAGGGCACATACACATTCAGTCTGTGGCAATTCCAATGGCATGTTCTTCTAAAGAAGCTGGGTGTTTTAGGAGGGGCAATGGCGCCCTGGAATTGTCAATGGAGAGCAGGAGGACCCCCTCTAAAGTCTCAGCAGGACCAGTTACATAATTTGTGAGGCCCTTTGTTCAAAAACCAGGGAAAATGCCATTAATGGTAAGGATAAAGTTTTCTCCTTTCTTCCATAGTCTCTCTCTCTTGGCTTGTCATGGTGCTTTTAAATTGGTATTTAATGTCATTATTCTAAATAAAAAAATTTAAATTTTAAATTGTTAGCATTACTTTTACTAGTCATCTTTATATCATGCCACATCAGTTTCAAATGCAAATATTGAAACATTTAGCTCATGCGTGGAATTTGTGAAATCAGACAACTTTTTTATAGCTGGTATGTACATTTGTACTTTGTTCTTACCAGGTAGTGGAGCCACTGTCTAAAACCAATGCAACTGTTTTATCTCACTTTTATGATACAAGAACATTCTGCCGACATGGCCTGCCTTCGGCTCACTGGTTTGTGAGTGATCACTCTCAGCATAAGTGGTTGGTTAAAGCAGGGAAATAACAATGGTGAGAAGGATATATGGACTTCCTTGGTCGTTCAGGTTTCTTCGAATGTCATGTTTTTCTATATTTGAAGTAAGTTCTGGCTCCACCAGGAAGTGTGCGTCTGGGGCTGTCAGTGCTTGGCTTACTCAGCTGTAGCCATCACACGTCTTGTACTTGCTTTGAGTCACAGCAAACTCCTTTCATCCTGGGTCCACTGGAATTCTGTGCTCATGGGGCATTGTGAAGACTGTATGTGAAACAGGCGATTAGGAGTGGTGATACACTACTGTGCTAACTCCAGCCCCAGCACGTGCCTCTGCATCTCAGCGCCAGACATCCTGCATGGCCAAAGTGCACAGTCAGTCCTGGCTTCCCAGCAACCCTGGACAGCAAACCAAGTGGCTGCAAGGCCAAAGGTCATTTCTGGTGCTGTCGGCTGCTTGAAAATGCAAAAAATAAAATGGTGAGTGGTTTGAAATATAAGCCCCAAAGTAGGACAGCATTACTTTAGAGGTATAGGAATAGTTCTTACTTTTATTGTAGGTATTATTATATTCTCACCAGAATAGTATTAATTTGCTAAATGCAAAAAATGTGAAAATCATAGATCAAACAAAACCAAAGAAAAAGGACCCCCGTGGGCACTTTCGCCATCCAGAGGTAGCCATGTTTTGGAGGGTGTGTCTTTTGGGCCTCTGTTGTATGTATGTAATTTATACATATTTATTTCAATAAAAACATCACAGTGTACCACTTGTCCTTATTCTTTACACATCCATAGCATTTCCCAATAACAAGAACCATCTCTTAGATCATTTTAAATGTAGCACAGAATTTCATGCTGTGCACACATCACAATCTACTTAACTAGCTCTCTGTTGCTGAACACTTAGGCCACTGCTAGGGTGTCCGGAGTTGGTTCCTTCTGGTGGGTTCTTGCTCTCACTGACTTCAAGAATGATGCTGCAGACCTTCCCGGTGAGTGTTACAGCTCTTAAAGGTGGCACAAACCCAAAGAGTGAGCAGCAGCAAGATTTACTGTGAAAACCAAAACATCGAAAGTATCCACAGATTAGTAGGGGAGTCCAGCGTGTTGGGGTAGCCAGCCTTTTATTCCCTTATTTGTCCCCGCCCACGTCCTGCTGATTGGTCCATTTTACAGAGTGCTGATTGGTCCACTGTACAGAGTGCTGATTGGTCCATTTTATAGATTGCTGATTGGTGCATTTACAATCCTCTAGCTAGACACAGAGTGCTGATTGGTGCATTTACAATCCTTTAGCTAGACAGAAATGTTCTGCAAGTTCCCACTCCACCCAGGAAGTCCAGCTGGCTTCACTTCTCACTAGGGTGAAATGCTCTTGCGTGGTTAGGATGCTGGAACTCTGGGACCGCCTCCGAAGAAGCAACCTTCCTATTGTACGGACTCCCAAGGTGCAAACGTTAGTCTCAGTGTGCCTTTCATGAAGAGTGGTTTCTTTCTGGCTGCCCTAGAGAGAAGACTGGCAGTGGAGCATGCATCTGGAGGGCAGAGACGGCAGGCGGTACCCCGGCGCGCCGGCGGTGGAGCTCCTGCAGACGTCCGTGCCCAGCGGACTCGCTGAACTTGTGGCCGGCAAGCGCAGGCTTCCTCGGGGAGCCGGTGGAGCTGACCCCTCGCACTCCTGCCCCAGGGGGGCTGCCGGGCAGAGCTCTTGGGCTCCTGCAGGCCAGGAGTTTGCTTCATTCCTCACAAAAGGGAGGTGAGTTTAAAATAGTGCCATCTTGTAAATGTGGACTTCACACAGATTGGGTTTCCATGAGCATCGTTCCCCCACGTTTGTTGTGGGAAAAATTTCCAGAAATTTTGCAAGAATTTTTCCAGCATTAGATCACTTTCCTGGCTTAGTTTTTGATGACTGATATTTGTAAAATATGATGAACTTAATTTAGCTCCAAAAGATAATAAAAATAGAAAAAAGAGTTTGTAGCATGAAGACTTAACACTTAATATATTATTTAAAGTATTGCAATTATTCTGCAATTTTGGAAAGCGTATGTCTCTGAGGGCATGCCTTATTTCTATACATATAGCAAGTGAATTAACTGAGTATTGTTTTTCATGTCAGAAAAGTCAGAATTTACATAAAAGGAAATTTAAAAATAATTTCAACTTTTATTTTAGATTCAGGGGTTAAATGTGCAGGTTTGTTACCTGGGTATATTGTGTGATGCTGAGGTTTGGGGTACGACTGATCACCCGGGTAGTCAGCATGGTACCCAATAGTTACTTTTCCACCATCCCTCCTCCCGCCCCTGTGTGGTCCGAGTGTTCCCTGCTGCCTTCTTTATGTCCATGTGCACCCGGGGGTTAGCGCCCACTTGTCGTGAGAATATGTGGTATTTGGTTTCCTGTTCCTGGGTTAATTCGCTTGGATAATGGCCTCCAGCTACATCCATGTTGCTGCAAAAGACATGATTTCATTCCTTAAGAAAAAATTTGATACATCTTTAAATATTTACTTATGTAAAGACAATGAATGGTTTTTACATGTCAATGCTTATACTGCAAACCCATAATTTGCAGTTCACATAGATGTCCTTGTAATGAGAAAAGCAGCATCCTATGAGTAGGTGTCTCTGACTGTCTTTGTTGGGCCATATCGATTACATGGCAGATCTGAGGATCCTCGTTCCCACAGCCAGAGCTCCGACCCCTGCAGTACTGATGGTCTCTCCAGCCTTTAACAAAGCACCACAGAATTGCATGCGGGTGTGGTGCATGCTGCTGCTGTCATCCTGCCCGCTCCAGGGGGAGCTCCCCAGCTTGCGTGCTCATGCTTTCACTGAATGTTTCTATTGACTTACAGTCTATGCTGTCCTTTTGCAAGTGGTGAAACTTTGAGTTGCTCTCTTTGGCAATGTGTTTTGAGGTTTCTTTGTGCTGATGCCTGTAGCTCTCGTTCATTCGTGTGAACTCCTTGCATAGAATTTCATTATGTGAATATGCTACCATTAATACATGTTCTCCTGTTGGCGGCTTTTCAGTTTCTGCTCCTCATCCCCCAGTATGTGCTATTAAAAACAGCCTGCAGCAAATGTTCTCTGTTATACACTGAATGTGTCTGTTCCCCCCAGATTCATATGGAATATTCTGAGTATTAACTTTCTCTGGTCCCATGTTGCAGGATCTTCTCCCAGCGAGGAGCTTGCCTTTTCCTTTTCTTTAAAGAGTGTTTTGTTGGGAAGTGTCTAATATGGCCGGAAGGACTGTGTGGCCTGTGCATGGGGAGGCAGATGAGGCAGCAGGATTGTCCCAGCCAGGATGTGAGTGATGGAAGGTAATGTTCAGCTTCCAGTGAGACAAGAATTGGGAAAACCAGAAGAGCATATGTTGCATATGTTCCAAGTTCTTTGACCTCACTTCTTGCTTCGATGTATGGTGTACCAGGGGCAGACTGGGGCCTGTCATGAGCTCCACAGGCAGGAGGCCCTGGGCAGCCAGGCAGGATTCCAGGTGGAGGAGGAAGGAGAGCGTGGGGAGGTGCTGACAGGTGCAGGCACATGGGGGCAGGAGCTGGCAGGTGTGGTGGTCCAGTGAAGGGAGGGTGAGGGTGCCCTGACCCCACAGCCTGCGCAGGGCACGGGGAGGGGGTGTCGGGATGGCACTGGCAACTACCTAGGCTGAGTGTGGAGATGCCAGAAGGTGCCACCCTTGTCCACAGGCATGAGCCCTCATGAGTGAGCCACACCTCCCATGCGGAGCTTCTCCCAGGAGGAGGAGCAACAGGGAACCGCAGCCTCAAGGGGCAGCTCTCAGCACCATGAGGAGAATGGTGTGTTGGCCCAACCCACCCACAGTGCGGGCTCTCGGGGGAAGGGCTCACTGGTGTGAATGTCTGAGTGTGGAGGGCACAGGCTGTTGCCCACATGGCCCTAGGTGAGCCCCCTGAAACAGCACACTCCTGGGCAGGTGTGTGGCCATGTCGCCTGGTGGCCATGTACACAGTATCCCAGCACTGTCATCTCAGGCTAAAGGTTACTGAAGAGTTTTATTACATTTTGCCCTTCTTGTTTCATGAAAATAGGCAGAAAATGAAAAAAAAAAAAACAGTAATCTTATCAGAGAAAAGATACGTAAGTCTTTGAATCTACCATAGGTGGGAGTCTCAGGTATGTGGAAACCAGCAAACCCCTTAGCCTCAATGAAGTCAAACTCATCTATTATGGGTTCAGTTGTGAAGAGAATGAGCAGAACGAAAGAACACTATGAGATGCTGCAAATAGATTGCTTCAGACTGCGTTGAAAAGGTAATTTGGGGGACTGTACTGGCCTATGTTTTAGCTCTCAGGGAATCATCCCCTTGTAGCCTCGTTTTCTGTTGTTTCTGCAGGAGAGAAGCAGGCAGAGGCTGTAGCCTGCCGTGTCCCCTTTTTCCTTTGGCTCCCAGGCAGCTCAGGTGCAATTTCTTGGGTCAGTTACATCACCTGTGCACAAACTGGTTACTCGGTATTTTCTTAAAATGATTAAAATCTGTGTGAAACAAGGCAGGATATACATATAAAGAAAGCTGGAAGGAAGAGTGAATTCAGGATCTATTGCCAGGTAACAAATTTCTCCCAAACTTAGCAGCTTAAAAGAGTACATATTTATTTTCTCAGTTTCATGGGTCAGAAATCTGGGCACAGCTGACCTAGGTCCTCTGCTCAGGGTCTTCACAGGCTGGGACAAGTTGTCATGTATGGCTCTAACCATAGCATCTCAGTGTTCAGCTGGAGCAAGGTCTGCTTCTGAGCTCATCTGTGTGGTTGTTGGCCGGGTGTGGTTCTTCCTGGGCTGTTGGATGGATGGCCTCAGTTCCTTGCCAGCTGTTGACTGGAGGCCATCTCAGCTCATTGCCAGGGGCCCACTCCATCTGGGCAGGCACAAGGGATAGTCTTTTGTGACCTAATCATGGAGTGACACCATCCCTTCTTCTGTATTCTGTTGGTTAGAAGCCAGTCACTACTAGGTCCAGCCCACTCTCAGGGATGGGATTGCTGGAGGCTGTGAGTAGCAGCAGGCCAATTCCTGGGAGCCACTCAGGCATCACCAACCCCAGAGATGAATAGTGATGAAGGAAATTGTTGTGAAAAAGTTGGAAATGGAACACAAAGATGATTGGTGTCTTTTATAGGAAGTGAAGGGAAGTCTGGAGTCCTTCCAGGTTATCTGCATCTTTCACTGTTTGCAACTGATCAGAAAGCTGACAATAATGCAAATAACTCTTTTCCCTAGAAGTAAAGTTGGATTGTGTCCGTGGAATGCATTGTCCAGTTTTGCATTTATTTGTAAGTTCAATTCAACGTTGTCACCCAGGCTGGAGTGCAGTGGTGCAATCTCGGCTCACTGCAACCTCTGCCTCCCAGGTTCAGGCGATTCTCCTTCTCAGCCTCCCGAGTAGCTGGGACTACAGGCACTCGCCACCACATCCGGCTAATTGTTGTATATTTAGTAGAGACGGGGTTTCACCATGTTGGCCAGGATGGTCTCGATCTCCTGACCTCGTGATCCACCTGCCTCGGTCTCCGAAAGTGCTGGGATTATAGGCATGAGCCACCGCTTCTGGCCCAATTCAGCATTTCTAATTGCCCATGTTTGTGTGGTTTTTTGCGTCTTATCAGTTTCTTCTAATTGATGAGTTAAACAAAATATTGACCTGCATTCATTTTATATTGGGACGTGAGTCGCAGTTTTACCCTCCTTTAATAGTAGTCCTATAACAGAGGGAACCAACCACAAAGACATATGGAGAAAGCAGACTTCATTCTCTGGGCACCTCAACCCTTGTCTTTGGGACCCTGCGCCTGCTCTGTATGTCCAGCCCTGGAACGCTGCTGGACATTCCTCAGGGCTGTTTCCCCTGTCCTAGCTGAGGACTTCCACCCTTTTGTTAGAGGAATACGTCTTGTCCATACAATCGTAATGACATGGAACAAACAAAATTGCCAAATTAAAGATGAATTTTTTAATCTAATATGCTAATTTTATTCATAAAAAAACTAAGCACAGGGCTGGGTGCGGTGGCTCATGCCTGTAATCCCAGCACTTTGGGAGGCTGAGGCAGGTGGATCACCTGAGGTCAGGAGTTCGAGACCAGCCTGACCAACATGGAGAAACCCCGTCTCTACTAAAAATACAAAATTATCCGGGCCTGGTGGCACATGCCTATAATCCCAGCTACTCTGGAGGCTCAGGCAGGAGAATTGCTTGTACCTGGAAGGCTGAGGTTGCAGTAAGCTGAGATCTCACCATTGCACCGCAGCCTGGGCAACAAGTGTGAAACTCTGTCTCAAAAAAAAAAAAAAAACAAATTAAGCACAGAGTGACACACAGACTTCCCCACTCTCTCCACTCTCTCTTTCCCATTTGCTTTGCCTAATTAAATCTCAGAAAATTTTGAATCAATTTTTTTTGTATCTCAAAATAGTATGTAAGAATGACAGATGTACTTAAATACAATTGGTTGTCAGATTGACAGACTTAAATTATCTATTTTTTTTTTTTTTTTTTTTTTGAGACGGAGTCTCGCTCTGTCGCCCAGGCCGGACTGCGGACTGCAGTGGCGCAATCTCGGCTCACTGCAAGCTCCGCTTCCCGGGTTCACGCCATTCTCCTGCCTCAGCCTCCCGAGTAGCTGGGACTACAGGCGCCCGCCACCGCGCCCGGCTAATTTTTTGTATTTTTAGTAGAGACGGGGTTTCACCTTGTTAGCCAGGATGGTCTCGATCTCCTGACCTCATGATCCACCCGCCTCGGCCTCCCAAAGTGCTGGGATTACAGGTGTGAGCCACCGCGCCCGGCCAAATTATCTATTTTTTTTAAAGGCAAGATTGTGTGGGAAGGTTTATTTCTAATCAGTGGAAAATGTAATTAATTTTTTCTAATTGTTTTCACAAATCAGGAATTAATTGACCTTGAAATTTGCCCTTTCAAAATTAGCTAATTACCTTTTGGTCTTCCACTTAGCAGGAATATATTTGATGGCAGATTGGACAGGGAAGCAAATTAGAGAGAATATGTTAAAAATAATGAAGATAAATTATTTAAGGCAGCGTTTACATCTGTCATGGATTGGTTACTGTATTTCATTATCAAGTGAAAATAAATATATTGCTGAAAATTTGGAGGTCGAAGGGAGAACACAACATCGTGCCTCTAACACAATCATTACTGTCTGCTTGCATTTATCTGTGTTCCCTTCTGGTCTTTCCTATATGTAATACAAGTTTTTACATAATTGTGCTCAGAGTGTATCTCTTGCTTTGTAGTTTCTTAAATGTAACAATATGTTGTAAACACTATCAGTGCTGTTGCAGATTGCTCAAAGCTATTATTTTATGTATTTTTAATTGAGGTATAATTTCACCAGAAATGGTGAGTAGATCTATGAGTTTTGACAAATGCATACAATTGTGTAATTGTCAGCAAATCAAGATCTGGAATATTTCTATCACCCCACAAAAACTCCTTTGGCTGCTTCCTTTTCCCGTCAGCACTTGTTAACCATCAATCTGTTTTCTGTTTTTACATTTTGGCCTGTTTCAAGCATGTCAAATAAATGGAACCATTGAGTTTGGTTCTTTTACTTTGTATAATGCATTTGAGCTTCATCCAAGTTGTGTTTCTTTTTATTGCTGAGTGGAGTTGTGTGGACATATCACACTTTGTTTATTCATTCTCCTCTTGAAGGGCACTTGGATTGTTCCCAAGTTTTGGTAATTATGAATAAAACCAGTATAAGCATTGGCATACAGGTTTTTATGTGAATGTAAATTTTAATTTCCCTTGGATAAATGCCTAAGAATGAGATTGCTGAGTTATTTGATAAATATATGTTTAACTGTCTAAGCAAAGGCCAAATTGCTTTCCAAGGAAGCTGTACCATTTTGCATTTTCACCAGCAATACATGAGAGCTCCAGTCCTCTGCGTCATTGTCAGCACTTAATATTGACTGTACTTTTAATTTTAGCCATTTTAATAAGTATTTAGAGGCACCTTATTATGGTTTTATATATTTGGAGAGTGAGGTCTGCTTGTTTTCCTATTATGGGGTTTGTGATTCATTATATATTCTCAACACAACTTTTTTTTATAAAATGCATTTTTCCCAATTATCTTCTGACAGTTTGTGCTTGTCTTTGCATTATTATTTTTTCATTTCTTTTGGAGAGCAGAAATTTTTAATTTTGATGTTGTCCAATTTATCAATTATTCTTTTATGGAGTATACTTTTGGTGTTGTATCTAAGAAATCTTTGCTTAACCCAAGATCACAAAGATTTTCTTCTGTTTGTTCTTTTAGAAGTGTTGTAGTTTTAGGTTTTACATTTAGGCATATAATCCATTTTGAGTGAATTTTTGCATATGCTGCTGGGTTTATTTATATTTTGCTTATAGATGTCCAATTGTTCCAGGACCGTTTGTTGAAAAGACTCCTTTGTCCATTAAATTGCCTTGTATCTTTGTCAAAAATACATTGTCCATTTATCTGTTGATTTATTTCTGAACTCTCTATTCTTTTTTGAGACGGAGTCTCGCTCTGTGCCCAGCTGGAGTGCCGTGGTGTTATCTCGGCTTACTGCAACCTCTGCCTTCTGGGTTCAAGCGATTCTCCTGCCTCAGCCTCCCAAGTAGCTGGGATTATAGGTGCCCACCACTGCACCCAGCTAATTTTTTTTTTTTTTTTTTTTTTTTGAGACGGAGTCTCGCTCTGTTGCCCAGGCTGGAGTGCAGTGGCGTGATCTCGGCTCACTGCAAGCTCCGCTTCCCGGGTTCACGCCATTCTCCTGCCTCAGCCTCCCGATTAGATGGGACTGCAGGCGTCCGCCACCACGCCTGGCTAATTTTTTGTATTTTTAGTAGAGACGGGGTTTCACCATGTTCGCCAGGATGGTCTCGATCTCCTGACCTCGTGATCCGCCCGCCTCGGCCTCCCAAAGTGCTGGGATTACAGGCGTGAGCCACCGCGCCCGGCCATTTTTTTTGTATTTTTAGTAGAGACGGGGTTTCACTATGTTGGCCAGCTGGTTTCAAACTCCTGTCCTCAAGTGATCCACCCACCTCGGCCTCCCAAAGTGCTGGGATTACAGGCGTGAGCTACCGTGCCTGGCCCCCTGAAATCTCTATTCTGTTCCATCAGTCTATGTGATTATCATGTCATGAATATCACACTATCTTGAATCTTTATGAAGAGTTCTGAAATCAAATGGTGTGAGCCCTCTAACGTGGTTCTTTCTCAAGATTGCTTTGGCTATTCGATGCCACTTGCCTTCCCATATAAATTCTATCATCATTTTGTTGATTTATGTAACATTCCTGCTGGGATTTTTTTTTGTACTGTGTGTGTGTGTGTGTGTGTGTGTGTCTGTCTGTCATTTTATCACTTGGGTAGCTTTATGTAACCTCTACTATAATCAAGATATAGACCTATTCCATCGTAATCTCAGATTCCGTACAGAAATCCCTCACACAACCCTTAAGTTACATACCCCTCCCCCTGCCATCTTTAACCCCTGGAAATCACTGATCTGTTTTTCATCTCTAGAATTTTGCCATTTTGATAATGTTATATACATGAAATCATACAGTGTGTGTAAAAATTTAAAATTCAACGTTTATTTTAGATATGGGGGTACCCATGTGCAGATTTGTTACATGAGAATATTATGTGATGTTGAGGTTTGGAGTATGGATCCCGTCACCTAGGTCATGAGTCTAGTACCTGATAAGTAGTTTTTTATTTTTTTAACCCACTCCCCCTTCCTTCATCCTCTAGTATTCCACAGTGTCTATTGTTCCTACACTCATGTCCATGTGTGCTCAATGCATAACTCCCATTTATAAGTGAGAACATGAGGTATTTGGTTTTCTGTTCCTGCATTAATTTGTTTAGGGTTATAGCTTCCAGCTCCATCTATGTTACTGCAAAGGAGATGATTTCATTCTTTCTTTTTGAGATGGAGTTTCGCTCTTGTTGCCCAGGTTGGAGTGCAGTGGTGCAATCTTTGCTCACTGCAACCTCCACCTCCCGGGTTCAAGCGATTACCTCGCCTCAGCCTCCCAAGCAGCTGGGATTATAGTTGCTCGCCACCACGCCCAGCTAATTTTTGTATTTTTAATAGAGACGGGGTTTCACCGTGTTGGCCAGGCTGGTCTCAAACTCCTGACCTCAGGTGATCCGCCCACCTCCGCCTCCCAAAGTGCTGGGATTACAGGTGTGAGCCACCGTGCCCTGCGGATTTTACTCTTTTTTATGGCTGCATAGTATTCCATGATGTATATGAACCACATTTTCTTTATCCAGTCTAGCATTGATGGACACCTGGGTTGGTTCCATGTTTTTGTTATTATGAATAGTGCAGTGATGAACATATGAGTGCATGAATTTTTGGTAGAATGATTTTTCTTTTGCATATCTACCCAATAATGGGATTGCTTGGTTTAATGGTAGCTCTGTTTTAAGTTCTTTAAGAAATCTCCAGACTGCTTTCCACAGTAGCTGGGCTAATTTGCATTCCCACCGGCAGTGCATAAGGATTCCCTTTTCTCTGTAGCCTCACCAGCATCTGTTGTTTTTTGATTTTTAAAATAATAGCCATTCTGACTGGTGTGAGATGGTATCTCATTGTGGTTTTAATTTGCATCTCTCTGGTGATTAGTGATGCTGAGCGCTTTTTCATATGTTTGTTCACCACTTGTATGTCTTCTTTTGAGAAGTATCTGTTCACGTCCTTTGCCATTTTTTAATGGGGTTACTTGTTTTTTTTTTTTTTTTTTTTGAGACGGAATCTTGCTCTGTCGCCCAGGCTGGAGTGCAGTGATGCGATCTCAGCTCACTGCAAGCTCTGCCTTCCAGGTTCACGCCATTCTCCTGCCTCAGCCTTCCGAGTAGCTGGGACTACAGGCACCCGCCACCACGCCCAGCTAATTTTTTTATATTTTTAGTAGAGATGGGGTTTCACCGTGTTAGCCAGGATGGTCTTGATCTCCTGACTGTGTGATCCTCCCGCCTCGGCCCCCCAAAGTGCTGGGATTACAGGCGTGAGCCACCGCACCCGGCCTGCTCCACTATATTCTAATAGTCAGTGTGGTGGAGATGGCAGCCCAGATTCAACACTCTGCCCTGCCTCAGAAGACCCAGCCCAGCTAATTTTTTTGTATTTTTAGTAGAGACGGGGTTTCACCATGTTAGCCAGGATGGTCTCCACCTCCTGACCTGGTGATCCACCCGCTTCGGCCTCCCAAAGTGCTGGGATTACAGGCGTGAGCCACTGTGCCCGGCCGGGGTTACTTGTTTTTTGCTTGTTGATTTGTTTAAGTTCCTAATAGATTCCGGATATTAGGCCTTTGTCAGATGCATAGTTTGTAAGTATCTTCTCTCATTCTGTAGGTTGTCTGTTTACCCTGTTGATAGTTCATTTTGCTGTGCAGAAGCTCTTGAGTTTAATTAGGTCCCACTTGTCAATTTTTGTTGCAATTGCTCTTGGGGACTTAGTCAAAAATTATTTGCCAAGGCTGATGTCAAGAAGAGTATTTCCTAAGTTGTCTTCCAGGATTTCTATAGTTTGAGGTCTTATATTTAAATCTTTAATCTATTTTGCGTTACTTTTTACAAATGGTGAAAGGTAGGGGTCCAGCTTCAATCTTCTGCATATGGCTAGCCAGTTATCCCAGCACCATTTATTGAATAGGGAGTCCTCTCCTCATTGTTTGTTTATATTGGCCATGTCAAAGATCAGATAGATGTAGGTGTCAGGTTTTATTTATGAGTTTTCTATTCTGTTCCAGTGGTCTGTGTGTCTGTTTTTGTGCCCATACCAAGCTGTTTGGTTTCTGTGGCTCTATTGTGTAGTTTGAAGTTGGGTAACGTGATGCCTTCAGCTGTGTTCTTTTTGCTTTAAGATTGCCTTGGCAATTTGGTCTCTTTTTTTGGTTCCATATGGATTTTAGAATAGTGTTTTTTCTGAATCTGTAAAGAACGTTGGTAGTTTGATAGGAATAGCATTGAATCTGTACATTGCTTTGGGCAGTATGGACATTTTTATGATATTGATTATTCCAGTCCATGAGCATGAAATGTTTTTCTATTTATTTGCGTCACCTCTGATTTCTTTCAGCAATGTTTTGTAGTGCTTATAGAAATCTTTCAACTCCTTGGTTAGCTGTATTCCTAGGTGTTTTTCTTTTTTTTTTTTTAATTTATTTTTTTATTGATAATTCTTGGGTGTTTCTCACAGAGGGGGATTTGGCAGGGTCATGGGACAATAGTGGAGGGAAGGTCAGCAGATAAACAAGTGAACAAAGGTCTCTGGTTTTCCTAGGCAGAGGACCCTGCGGCCTTCCGCAGTGTTTGTGTCCCTGATTACTTGAGATTAGGGATTGGTGATGACTCTTAACGAGCATGCTGCCTTCAAGCATCTGTTTAACAAAGCACATCTTGTACCGCCCTTAATCCATTTAACCCTGAGTGGACACAGCACATGTTTCAGAGAGCACAGGGTTGGGGGTAAGGTCACAGATCAACAGGATCCCAAGGCAGAGGAATTTTTCTTAGTGCAGAACAAAATGAAAAGTCTCCCATGTCTACTTCTTTCTACACAGACACGGCAACCATCCGATTTCTCAATCTCTTCCCCACCTTTCCCGCCTTTCTATTCCACAAAGCCGCCATTGTCATCCTGGCCCGTTCTCAATGAGCTGTTGGGCACACCTCCCAGACGGGGTGGTGGCCGGGCAGAGGGGCTCCTCACTTCCCAGTAGGGGCGGCCGGGCAGAGGCGCCCCTCACCTCCCAGACGGGGCGGCTGGCCGGGCGGAGGGCTGACCCCCCCACCTCCCTCCCGGACGGGGCGGCTGGCCAGGCGGGGGGCTGACCCCCCCACCTCCCTCCCGGACTGGGCGGCTGGCCGGGTGGGGGGGCTGACCCCCCCATCTCCCTCCCGGACGGGGTGGCTGGCCGGGCTGAGGGGCTCCTCACTTCCCAGTAGGGGCGGCCGGGCAGAGGTGCCCCTCACCTCCCGGACGGGGCGGCTGGCCGGGCGGGGGGCTGACCCCCCCCCACCTCCCTCCCGGACGGGGTGGCTGCCGGGCGGAGACGCTCCTCACTTCCCAGATGGGGTGGCTGCCGGGCGGAGAGGCTCCTCACTTCTCAGACGGGGCAGCTGCTGGGCGGAGGGGCTCCTCACTTCTCAGACGGGGTGGTTGCCAGGCAGAGGGTCTCCTCACTTCTCAGACGGGGCGGCCGGGCAGAGACGCTCCTCACCTCCCAGACGGGGTCTCGGCCGGGCAGAGGTGCTCCTCACATCCCAGATGGGGCGGCGGGGCAGAGGCGCTCCCCACATCTCAGACGATGGGTGGCCGGGCAGAGACGCTCCTCACTTCCTAGATGTGATGGCGGCTGGGAAGAGGCGCTCCTCACTTCCTAGATGGGATGGCGGCCGGGCGGAGATGCTCCTTACTTTCCAGACTGGGCAGCCAGGCAGAGGGGCTCCTCACATCCCAGACGATGGGCGGCCAGGCAGAGACACTCCTCACTTCCCAGACGGGGTGGCGGCCGGGCAGAGGCTGCAATCTCGGCACTTTGGGAGGCCAAGGCAGGCGGCTGGGAGGTGTAGGTTGTAGTGAGCTGAGATCACGCCACTGCACTCCAGCCTGGGCACCATTGAGCACTGAGTGAACGAGACTCCGTCTGCAATCCCGGCACCTCGGGAGGCCGAGGTTGGCAGATCACTCGCGGTTAGGGGCTGGAGACCGGCCCGGCCAACACAGCGAAACCCCGTCTCCACCAAAACCAGTCAGGCGTGGCGGCGCGTGCCTGCAATCGCAGGCATTCGGCAGACTGAGGCAGGAGAATCAGGCAGGGAGGTTGCAGTGAGCCGAGATGGCAGCAGTACAGTCCAGCTTCGGCCCCGCATGAGAGGGAGACCGGGGAGAGGGGGAGGGGGAGGGGGAGGGGGAGGGGGAAGGGGAGGGGGAGGGGGAGGGGGAGGGAGAGGGAGAGGGAGAGGGAGAGGGCAGGTGTTTCATTTTCTTTGTGGCTAGTGTAAGTGGGATTGTGTTCTTCATTTCACTCCCATTTGGACTTTATTGTTGTATAGAAATGCTGTTGATTTTTGTACATTTGATTTTGTATCTTGAAATTTTACTAAAGTCATTTATCAATTCTAGGAGTCTTTAGGATTTTCTAAGTATAGAATCATATTGTCCGTGAAGAGAGATAGCTTGACTTCCTCTTTTCTTGTTTGGATGGCTATTACTTCTTCCTCTTGCCTGACTGCTTTGGCTAGAATTTCTAATACTCTGTTGAATAGGAGTGGTGAAAATGTGCATCCTTGTCTTGTTCCAGCTCTCAAGGGGAATGGTTTGAGCTTTTGCCCATTCAGTATGATGCTGGCTGTAGGTTTGTCATAGATGGCTCTCAGTATTATGAGGTACATTCCTTCAGTGCCTAGTCTGTTGAGGATTTTTATCATGAGGGGCTGTTGGATTTTATCTAAAGCTTTTTCTGCATCTATTGAGATGATCATACAGTTTTGCTTTTGATTCTGTTTATGTGGTGAAACACATTTATTGATTTGTGTACATTGAAACAGTCTTGCATCACAGGAATAAAGCCTACTTGATTGTGGCATATTAACTTTCCGATGTGCTACTTGATTTTATTTGCTAGTATTTTGTCGAGGACTTCTGCATCTATGTTCATGAGGGATATTGTTCTGAAGTTTTCTCTTTTCACTGTGTCTCTGCCAGATTTTGGTATCAGGCTGATGCTGGCTTAATAGAGTGAGTTGGGGCAGAGCCCCTCCTTCTTGATTTTTTGGAATAGTTTGAGTAGTATTGATATCAGTTCTTCTTTGTACTTCTGGTAGAATTTGGCTATGAATCCATCTGGCCCAGGGCTTTTTTTGGTTGATAGGTTCTTTCAGATGTTGATACTGGTTTATTCAGGTTTTCAATCTCTTCCTAATTCAGTCTTGGGAGATTGTGTGCTTCCAGGAATTTATCCATTTCCTCTAGATTTTATAATTTGTGTACATAGAGTTATTCATACTCATCTCTGAAGATCTTTTATAATCCTGTGGGATCAGTTGTAATGTCATCTTCGTCATTTCTGATTGTGCTTATTTGGATCTTCTCTTTCTCACATGTAATGACACCCACAGGCTCAAAATAAAAGGGTGGAGTAAAATCTACCATGCAAATGGAAATTAAAAAAGAGCAGGAGACTCTATTCCTACATCAGATAAAACAGTCTTTAAACCAATAAAAATTAAGAAGGACAATGAAGGGCATAACATAGTAAGGATACAATCCAACCAGAAACCTTAACTATCCTAAATATTTGTGCACCCAACCGTGTAGCACCCAGATTCATAAAACAACTTCTTGAGCTGTAAAAAGACTTACAGTACCACACAATAATAGTGGGAGATTTCAACACCCTATTGACAGTGTTAGATAGATCACCAAGTCAAAAAACTAACCAAAAAACTCTGGACTTAAACTCAACACTTGACCAATTGGACCTAATAGACATCTGCAGAACACTCCAACAACCACAGAACATACATTCTTCCCATCTGCATATGGAACATATTCTAAGATTGACCACATTCTCAGTCATAAAGCAAGTTTCAATAAATTCAAAAGAAATCGAAATAATACCAAGCACATTCTGAGACCATAGTGCAATGAAAATAGAAATAAATACCAATAAGATCTTGGAAAACTACAAAAATACATGGAAATTAAACAACTTACTCCTGAATAAGTCCTGAGTGAACATAAAAATTAAGGTAGAAATAAAAAATGATTATTTAAAATTAATGAAAATAAGGACATAATCTTCAAAAATCTCTGAGATACAGCATTAGGAAGAAAGATTGTAGCCCTAAATGCCTTCATCAAGAAGTTAGAAAGGTCCCAAATTAACAATCTAACTTTACACCTAAAGGAACTAGAGAGAAAGGAACAAACCAATCCAAAGAAATAATTAGAGAAGAACTTAATAAAATCGAGATGCAAAAATCCATACGAAAGATCAATGAAACCAAGTTTGTCCTTCAAAAAAATAACTAAGATTGATAGACTCCTAGCTAGATTAACAAAGAAAGAGAAAGAGAAGATCCTGGTAGGATTTTTATTGGAATGGCATTGAGTCTATAAGATGAATTTATGGAGTTGACACCTTAATAATATTATTGATGAGAAAAGTCAAACACTGTAAAATATTTGAAGAGATTTATTCTGAGCTAAATGTGAGGACCATGACCTGTGGGCACAACCCCAGGAGGTCCGAGGTTACAGCTTGATTTTATACATTTTACGGAGACAAAAGTTACAGGCAGACATCAATCAATACATGTAAGGTACACATTGGTTTGATCCAGAAAGGTGGGACAACTTGAAATGGGGGTTTACAGGTTGTAGGTAGATTAAAAGATTTTTTGATTGGCAATTGGTTGAAAGAATTAAGTTATTATCTAAAGCCATGGAATCAATAGAAAGGAATGTCCGGATTAGGATAAGGTTGTGGCGACCAAAGTTCTTTTTAAGTAGATGAAATCTCATAGGTGGCCACCTTTAGATGCAATAGATGGCAAATGTCTCCTGTTTAGACCTTTAAAAGGTGCTAGACTCTCAGCTAATCTCTTCAGGATCAGAAAGGGAAGGGGATTCTCTACAGAATTTAGATTGCCCCCACAAGAGACAGCTTTGTAGGGCCATTAAAAATGTGTCAAAGAAATATATTTTGGGGCAAAATACTTTTCTTTTAGGGTCTGCTGTCTGTCATGTGATGCTATATTAGGGTGAGGTTGGAATTTGGTATCTTATTGCTACAAAGAGTCTGCTTCATCAGTTTTAATGTCTCTGTTTTAAATGTTAATGCTAATCAGCTGTGCCTGAATTCCAACGGGAGGAGAGTATAATGAGGCATATCTAACGCCTCCCACCCCCCTCTCCCATCATGGCTTGAACTGATCGTTTAGGTTTCTTTGAAACTCCCTTGGCCAAGGGGAGGATTCCCATTAGTCAGTGAGGGGCTTAGAATTTTATTTTTGGTTTCAAATATTGAATCTTCTGCTCTAGGAACATGGCTTATCTTTCCATTTGTTTGGGTATTATTTAATTTCTCTAAGCAAAATTTTATAGTTTTCAGTGATAGGTGTTGGACATATTTTGTAAGATTTATCTCCAAGTGACTCATTTTTTGGTGTTGTTGTAAAACATCAATTTACATTTGTTCAGTGTTGGTACATAAAACAGAATTGATTTTTGTACATTGATCTTGTGTTCTGCAAACTTGCTAAAGTAACTTATTAAGTATAGCAACTTTTTTGTTTGTAGATTTTTTTGTGGGGGATTTTCTAAGTAAATAATCATGTCTGTGAATAAAGACAGTTTTATAAATCAACATACAAAAACTAATTGTCTTTATATGTTAGTAATGAATAATCTGAAAATAAAATTAAGAAAACTGTTTCACAAAATCATTAAGAAGAATCACATTTTTAGGATTAAATTTAATAAAAAGTACAAGATTTATAATTGAACAACACAAAATATTGCTGAGAGAACTTAAAGAAGATTTAGATAAGTAGAGAGCCTTCAATGTTCCTGGATTGGAAAACAACATAATTAAGATGACAGTTTCCCCCTAATTTATCTTTAGATACAAAATAATCCCCAAAGCAATGACTTACTGCAGAGGAATAGTGATGGCAAAATGGCAAAGTGAGCAGTTCCAAGCTCTTATTCGACCCCCAGAAACGTTGAAAACAAGCAGAAACTCTTAGAACCAGCACTAAGAGTTGTGGAAACTGTAAATTATTGCGTTTGCTCTGATTTGTCTGTGGGCTCACTGAAGGATTGACACAAGACTCTGAGCTCTGTTTTGCCTAACTCAGAACATAAGCTGGAAAAGTGATGGGCATTGCTTGAAGATACTGTCAGAGAGTCTGACAAACTATAGAGGCCTAGGGCAGATGCATACTGATTGAGGCATACAATAGACTGCCTAAAACCTAGGTGCAAAAGCTGTAGGAGATTCCTTGGGAACTTAGGATACTCAAAAGTACCTGTGTGTGGATGAACTTAGAAAGCCACATACATAATTAGGGTGAGATGCATGCTCAGAAAAGACCATAGAAAACCCTAAACTTTCACCTCAAGCTTAATCTTAGTCTCAGTGGGAGACTTGATAATTGTTGATGAAGTGCTCCATCAGAGCCACTTTGCAAAGACTGGGAAAGGTGTTTGCTTCTTTGGTTTTGTGTTTTCTCTTTTTCTGGTTTGCTTGTAAAATCTCCTGGTATTGAAGAAAATCTCTGTCAAAACATTAGCTGAACATGATGTTAGGAAACAGACATGAAAAGGGATACAGTCCTTGGAAAAATAGTTTGGAAAAGTACCTAAACCAACGGACTGCTACAGCATTTAATAACAGTGACAACAACAGCAACCACTGCCACCAACAACAAAGTGTTTCAACAACAATAATAATAAAAAAAAAAACCCCAAGACATACAAAGAAACAAATCCATTTAAATCCTTTAAATGGATTTGTTTCTTTCCATCCTTGAGGAAGCCCAGACATCATATTAATACCTCCTGAAAAAAGTCTTTAAAACATCTATCTTAAATATGCTCAGATAGCTAAAGGAAAAAGAAGGACAAATAAATATGGGAAATAAGAAAAACACCGTATGAACAAAATGAGTCTATCAACAAAGAGATAGAAATTATAAAAAAGAAATCAGCAAGAAATTCTTGAGCTGAAAAGTATAAATGAAATGAAAAACTCACAAGTGGCATTCAACAGCAGATTTAGGAAGGCAGAGGAAAGAATCAGCAGGCTTGAAGATAGGACAATTGAAACTGTTTAATCTGAGAGGCAGAAAGAAAAAAGAATGAAGAAATGTGAATAGAGCCCAAGGGACCTGTGGAAAGCCATCAAATAGTACAACATACACATTATGGGTGTTCCAGACAGAGAAGAGAGAGAGAGAGAGAAAGGACCAGAAAACATTTTAAAGAAATAATAACTGAAAACGACACAGATGTACAAATCCAAGAAGCTCGATGAATTCCAAATAAGGTAAACTTAAAGAGACTTATAGCAAGACACATGTGAAGGCCAAAGAGAGAATCTTGAAAGCACTGAGAGAGAAGTGACTTGTCACATACAAGGGATCCTTAATTACATGCACAGTTGATTTTTCATCAGAAACCATGGAGGCCAGAAGGCAGTGGGATGACATATATAAAATGTTAAAAGAAACATACTGTCAACTAAAAATTCTATATCTGGCAAAACTGCCCTTCAAAAATGAGGGAGATGTTAAGAAATTCCCATACCAACAAAAGCTGAGGGAGTTCTTTAACACTATACCTTTCCCACAAAAATTGTTAAAGGGAGTTTTTCAAGCTGAAATGAAAGCACACTAGACAGTATCTCAAATCCACATAAGGAAAAACAGAGCACCAGTAAAGAAATCTGTATAGGAAAACATAAAACACAGCATAAATGTATGTTTTTCTATGCAACTCCTTCATTCTACCATCTGCTTTAAATGACAGTTGCATAAAGCAGTAATTATAAATCTTTGTTAAAGGATATACAATGTGTAAACGTGTACTTTATAGTCAGCAATAGAACAAACAGGTGAGAGGAAATAGAGTTATGTAGGAGCAAAGGTTCTGTATAGAGCTGAAATTAAGTTGGCACTAGTTCTAAATAGATTGTTTTAAGATGATAATTGTAATCCTCTCAGCAATCACAAGAAAATAACTAAAATAACATATAGTAAAAAAAGAAGAAAGGAATCAAAATGATACACTAGCAAATATCTATTTGACTTCAAAGAAGGCAGTAATGGAGAAGTGAGGAACAGAAAAAAACATGAGGCATATAGAAAAAAATACCAAAGTAGCAGATAAATCTTACCTCAATGGTAATTATATTAAACATAGATGGATTAAATACTTCAACCAAAAGGCAGAAATTGGCAGACTGGGTAAAGTAAATGATCCAACTGTATGCTATCGCCAAGAAACACACTTTAGAATCAAAACCCCAAATAGGCTGAAGGTAAAAGAATGGAAAAAGGTATATCATGAAAACAGTAATCAAAAGAGAGGTAGAGAGACTATACTAATATTGGACAAAATAGACTTTAAGACAAAAATTGTTACTAGAGACAAGAATTTCTGGTAATAAAAGTGTCAATTCATCAAGAAGATATACTTACTATTGTTAAATGGCATTACTACCCAAATTAATCTACATTTTCAGCACACTGATCCTGCAAGTCATAGAGAAATGCAAGCAATCCAGAATAGCCAAAACAACCTTGTAAAAGAATAGCACTTGGAAGACTCATGCTTTCTGCTTTCAGAAGTTACTACAAAGCCACAGTAATTTAAGACTGTGTGTTTCTGGCATAAGGATAGACATACAGATTAATGAAAGAGGATCAAGACTCCAGAAATAAACTCTTATATGTAAATTCAATTGATTTTCACCAAGGGTATTAAAACAAATAAATACAGAAAGAATAGTCTTTCCAACAAATTGTGCTGGGATAACTGGCTATCCACATGCAAAAGAATGAAGTTGGACCCCTACTTCACATCATATACAAAAATTAACTCAAAAGGGATCATAGACCTAAATGCAAGTTCTAAAACTATAAAACTCCTAGAAGAAAACATGGTTATAAATCTTTGTGACTTTGAATTATGCAGTATCTTAGATTTGATGCTAAAAGCACAAACAAAAAAAGTACATAAATTGGACTTTATCAAAAAGAAAAACTTTTGTGAATAAAAGGGACACTGTCAAGAAGTGGAAAGACAAGCAACAGAACGGGAGAAAATAATGGCTGACAATATATCTGATAAGGGACTAGTATTCGGAATATATATAGAACTCTTACAACTCCATAATAAAAAGACTCCCCCCATGCCCACAGGCAAAATATTTAAATAGGCATTTCTCCAAAGAAGATATTCAAATGGCCTGTAAGCAACTGAAAAGATGCTCAACATCAGTGGTATTTAGAGAAATGCAAATTAAAAGCTCAGTGAGATGCCATTTGACACCCAATAGGATGGCTATCATAAAAAAGATGGCAATGACAAGTGTTAGGGCTGATGTGGAGAAATTGGAACTCTCATGCATTGCCAGTGGGAATATAAAATAGTGCTGCCATTTTGGAAAACAGTTCAGCAGTTCCTCAAACTGTTCAGCATGGAGTTGCCATTTGATACAGCATTTCTGTTACTAGGTATGTACACAACAAAATTGAAAAGACATGCCTGTGTAAAACTTGTGCATATGTGTTCAAAGCAGCATTATTCCTAATGGCCAAAGAAAGAAGCAACCTCATTGCCCATCAATTCATGAATGGATAAACAAAATTTGGCATATCCATACAACAGAACATAGTTCCCATAAAAATAGAAGAAGTACTGATATGTGCTACCACTTGGATAAACCTTAAGGACATGCTCAGTGAAAGAAGCCAGATATAAAAAACGATAAATTGTATGTTTTCATTTATATGAAATGTCAGATTAGATGTCTTAGTCCATTAAGGCTACTGTAACAAAATGCCATAAACTGAGTAGCTTATAAACAACAGAACATTATTTCTCATAGTTCTGGAGGCTGGGAAGTGCAAAGTCAAGGTGCTGGTGAGGGCCTGTTCCTCGTAAATGGTGCCTTCTCTCTGTGTACTCACCTGGTGGAAGGGGTGAGTGCACTCTCTGGGCCTCTTTTAATATGGACACTAATTCCATTCACAAGGACTCCATCCTATTTACCATTTTTTTTTCTTGTGTATGGACCATACATGTCTTTGCATGTGTATATTTTTGTCAGACTGGACATTTAAAAGAATATAATATGGAAGCTCTAGTAATCAGATTCTTCCCCCTTCCCAGGGCTTTTTGCTGTTCCTGTTTGTTTAGTGACTTTCCTGAACTCATGTTTTTGAGTCTGTATTCTTTGTTGTGTATGGCCAGTGAATTCTCTGTTCAGTTAGTGACTGGACAGAGGTATTCTTAAATAAGGGCTGGGACCATTAAGTCTCCCTGCCTTTGTCAAGGGGCTGTGTGTGCATGTTGGGGTCGGCTTTCAGCTTCCAGCCAGACATTCTGCCTTCTTCTTCACTTCTGGCTTCTGCAGAGCCTCACGGTCATCCAGAGGTGAGTGGGTAGAACTTCACAGGTCCCTCTTGGGCACACGTACAGCCCTGTGCTTGAATGCCTAGGAATGTGTTGAAGCTTTACAAACTGCTTTTTCTTTTGTGTTTTTTGGTTGGCTTCTTGTTAGCCCCAGTGGCTGTTGCTGCCTCAGGAAGCTGTGATGTTAAACACTTGCTGCTCATTGTTTGTGGCAAACGCCCAGGAGAGAAGGCTATTCACCTCTGGAGCTCTGAGCCTGGTCCAATACAGATGGTACCTGTGAGAGGGGTAGTCAAGGTACTGCCAGACAGCTCCAATAGTGCCAGTTCTCTGTAAAGGAGATTTGGAAGTGCCCTAGTCCAATTCTGCTCTCTTCAATGGCTACTAGGCCTCTGGTTTTCACCATCATGGCAGGGCTGATTTTCAAGCCCAGCACAGAACTGGGTAAAGGGATATGGCAGTAGAGCAAGTTAAAATTTTCTCACTGAGACTTGGCCATCCTCTAGAATACATGCTCCATGGATTGTTTTATACTTTTGTTAACTTCCAAAGTTCTGAAAATATTGATTTTGACAAGTTTTGTCTGTTTTTGCTGCTTCTATGGAGGAGAGAATGTCTACACGTCCTTTCTGTGCCATTCCTGCTGTTACCTCGTCTTCCTTTGATTTGAAAGCAAATCTCATCTTACAAAAATAATACTTTTGAGATACTAAGTGGAAGTGCTTTTCTATCCCCACAAGGGTGCAAGAAGATTAGGTTTGGCTTAGAACAGACAAGTCATTGCTCATTTTGTATTTCAAGCTAGGATTAAAAAAAATAAAATTCATAGCAGCAAGGTGATCATTTCGCAAGGCTGGGCAGGAGGTGCTGGTCTGGTCAGCACATCCCAGCCTGCAGTGCCCCAGCTAGAGGGCGTGCAGGCCTTGCTGGAGCAGTGTCCATGAGGTGGTCTGAGACTGATTCCTGGCCTCCAGTTCCAGGCAGGCATGCTGGGGACCTACACTTCCCACCTGCCTCAGTGCGGGGCCGGCACCCTGAGGAGCCTGGCAGGGACCAGGTGAAACATGAGACTGCAGCAGAGGTGCTGGCACCAGGGGTGGGAGCTCCTGCAATGCCATGAGGGTTGGTGGAAGCAGCGGGTTGCATGAGGGGCATGCGGCGTGTGCTCGCCCACAGCCTTCCCCTTTCATGGTGCCATTGTGTGTGCTGCTCCTTGGGTGGGGAGAAATCCTGATTGGGAGTCTGAACTTTGGCTTGAATGAATGTGTACATAAAGAGAGACTCTTAAATAGAAAGAAACGGAGTAAGTACTAATTGACTTCACATGCTCCCATTCATCAAGGGGACTAGCGGCCGGTTATATTTAATAGAAACTGGAGTGAATGAATTACACACGAAGTGACCCAGTGCGTGTTCCAGCTCTGCCCAGGCATGCTTCCTTCCAAGAGGAGATTTGCTCTTCCCTTTTTGGGTCAATAAAATGGAAAATCTGCAGAAGACTTTACTACTAGGGAGCAAAAGGCATTTAGAAGTCTTTAAAAATTGTTCTTTTCACATAATTTTAATGTAGTACATCTTTTAGTTAATCTCAAATTTAGATTTGTCTTATGATGATGATGATTATTATTATTACTATTTCTGAGACAGGGTCTTGCTCTGTCGCTCAGGTTGGAGTGCAGTGGTGCAGTCATAGCTCACTGCATGCTTGACCTGTGCTCAAGGGGTCCTCCTGCCTTGGCCTCCCAAAGTGCTGGGATTACAGGCAAGGGCCACCACACTCAGCCTATCTTATCCTTCTGATGATTTTAATAAGGAAAAAATAAGATTTACCTTATTCCTTTGCTGATAAGTTTTGGGTTATTCAAATGAATAACTGATTTCCCTGGCCACTGCAGTAGCTCACGCCCCACCTCCCTGCAGCTCCAGGATGTTCCCCAAATGCAGACCAGCTTTGCCCTGCGTGGCTCCTGCAGGCCAGCCTTCACCTTCTCAGTCTTCTGCTCTCTTGTGGGCACAGGGAGGAACTGGAGCTTGAGTGGACAGGGCAGGCTTTCAAACATCTTCAGAAAGTGCAGTTTGTCGCCTTCTAAGCAGTGAGGTGCATTTGGTGTGATCTAATGTCCTATGCACTCTCCTTTTCCTAGGGGAAGGCAGGCTTCACTGAGCGCTCTCTGGACCCAGTGGGAATGTGCCCCTTCATCCAGCACCAGAGCTGTCCTCATCTGCGGGGCCCTTGGGGACCTCCACTGCATCCCCTCAGGACTTCTGGGAGCAGGGAGAGGACCCAGGCCCTGGACCACAGGCTTGCACCCCAGCGCAGACTCTCCCCTGCACACCTGCCCCCTGGACTGGGCTCTGGGATGCTACGTTTATTACCTCTTCTAGTCCCACTTGCCTGCAAGGGAGGAGCTGTTCATAGCTATTTTGGGGGCTGAAATAGTGACAATTTTCTGTTAAGTGTTTTGGTCACCTGGATTATTACTATTTATACAAAAGAGCAACATACATAAAGTCACTAACACTGGTCTCTAAGAAATAGAGAAGTCGACATCATGTTCCCAGCAGGGCACCACCCCATCTCTCTGAGATGTGTCTGGGTTTGCCACCTCAGGGGGATGAGGAGGTGACAGGGAGTCCAGAAAATGAGCAGTGGAGGGGCACAGGGTGGCAGGGTGGGTGGTGGGGCCTGAGCCAGGTGGCCAGCGTGCCCTGGGCCAGTACCTCCTGCATGATTCCTGCAGCTGCAGAGGGAGCCTTCCCTGCTAGAGGCAGATGAAAGAGGGAGCGCTCAGAAAAAATCGGACAAAGGCCCCACCACAGAGGAAGGCCAATTCCCAGAGGACATTGCAGACGGAAGAGGCGGTAGAGGCAAGGGTGGCAGCAGCCAGGCCCAGCTCCTGGCCTTCGTCCTTCCCTGTGGGCAGTGGACCAGCACCCAGAGCCACCCCTTATCAACCCTCCTGCTGCAGTTTTGCCTTCAGCATTCAAGTGGCTATGCATGTGGATAGCATTTCCCCAAAGTCTCTCATTTCATTATTGGGGGGGACCCTCAAGCTTTGAGGGTCAGTTCCCAGGCCCTTATAAGGCTATGAGAGAATGTCTACCAGCCCTTCAGGGTACCAGGGCACTTGGTGGGCCAGGGTGACCTGCTGCAGGTACCCAGCTCTGGGTGGGTCCTCACATGTCACTCCCCGCTGTGCCAGGACCAGGCAGGCTGCCTCCCGGTGTGTGAGGCTGTTTACGATCCAGTAGTCACAGGGTCCAGCCTGGTGGCTTAGTTTGGTTGATCTGGGAAGGGATCAGTCTTGTTGGACAGTTTACTTTCCCCTCCTGCTTTACTCCTGAGTTTTCTGAGTACAAATCCCACCCGTCTTTGTGATGACGTTGTTCCCACCTGTTCCCCTGCAGCAGCGGCTGCTTACCTGTCTTACTCTCAGAGGGCTTGTGCCCAGGAGGCTTTGCTGTCTGAGAGCAGGGAGTGTGTCTTGTTCATGCCTGCCCCTGGCCAAGCGAGTGCTCGATAAATATTTGAATGCAAGAGTAGCTTATATGTATTTTTGGGCCAATGTTTTTGGAGTATGTGTAGTAGGGCCATTTCTTGGTGGGGAGCAGACATTCTGGGAGTGTAGGAGCCTTGTCTGTGGGGCCCTGTCTGTTACAGAGCTGATGCAGCAGTGACAGTGGCTGGGCAGGCCAAGGGATTCACTGGTCTCCAGGACATCTCAGGGGCACAGATACCCTGACAAGGGCATGGAGGCTTCTCACAGTGCAGGCCCCATAGAGAGCTGCTATTATGTTGAGGGCCGTGGCAACATCACAGGGCAATGTCTTGGAGTTTCATAGAGTTGATTTCCATGAGCATTGGATTCTAGCTCCTGTAGGTTGCCAGGTGTTCTTGTGGATCAAAAATAATGAGACCATCACCTACAAGCACTGGAGAATTGGATAGTTTCAAAAAGGTGCTTTCTTCAATGTATTCATAAAATGTAAAGTCTAAATGCATTTCCTATTTGAAGCTCTTAGGAATCAGACTTTTTGTGCCAGAATCCTTTCTGAAACATGTGTTCTATTTTATGCTATCAATCATTGCAACTTTGCAATGGAAGAAGTGTGTTCAGAAAAGCAATACAAACCTAAAGCATGCTTTCCTATGGGCCCTCCCTTTCTAGAAATGCAGCCACTGCCTCTGCTGAACTAGGAGGGGGGCCTGAGAGGGTGCACCGACTGCCCAAGGTCACACATGCACCAGAGGCAGGGGGCAGGCAGCTGGGGCAGGGGCCACCCCACTGGCCTATGTCCCTGTCCTCGTTGCCTGGCTCCGAGAGAGACACTCAGCATCGTGGTACTCACTAAGGGTCTAGCACCTGAATATTCATATAGTGTGGAGCCCTGTTGAGCTCACCCTGGCAGGGACTTGCAGGGGCAGGGATAGGAGCGCGTGATGAGCCCCACTGGGGTGTCACATGGACAGCCCTGGAGGGTGTGGAGCTCAGCAGTGATGCAGGTGTCACCTGGGAGCCACACTGCCATCCTCCACACACACATGTCCACTGCTGATGCTTTCCTAACGACTCAGTTTTCAAAGAGCAGTGGAAAGAAGTAAAGCAGCGTGCCCCCACGTCACCCCAAAGGACAGGAATGCAGTGTGCTGTGCAGATGTCCCTGAGCAGGGAGGGCAACCGTTTTCCCAGTGCAGGGTCCTACATCTTGACAGGTGTTGGGTTTGGCTTCCGGCCAGTGAGTCCCAGACAGCCCGTCTTGTTCCTCCTGTGGACAAATTTTCTGGGGGAAAACTTAAAGTTGCACAAGCAATAGGAACGTCTCCCATCCAGCCAGTGGTAGAATTTTGTCATGAATGCCAGTGCTCAAGAAGAGAGGCTCCTGTCAGTGGGAATTCTTGAGAAATCATGGCCAAGTGGACTGTTTCATGTCAGACTTCTCTGCATATGAAAACGCTGTTTCTACATGGGAAGCACACAGGCAGGTCCCATGGTGGGCTGTGGAGCGAGGCTCTCCCTCTGGTTACCCAGACTGAACTGGCCAGCCCCCAGTCAGCGTTGCAGGCACTTGTACAGCAAGGTGGCCAGAGCCCAGGGCCACGAGGCTCCAGGGGCCCCTGGAGTGCAGGGGACCAGGGGACAGTGTCCTAGGAACAGACACTGCTCTGGGTCTCTGCCCTCTTGTGTCTCTCCTTTCTCTCTGGCCTTTTCTGCTCCCCCAGTCAGATCCCGGTTGAGTTCTGGAATCCCAGGGCTCCTGGCAGGTCCTTGACCACTTGCTGTCTCCTCCGGAGATGAGCAATCCATGCTCTGCATCTGAAGCAGGGGTCAGCTGGGGTTCCCAGCTTCTTCTGTCCTGCTGCACCGTGAGGATGGCCAGGCACCTAGGGGTGGGGGACATAGGCCGGGGAGATGTCCCTGAGGGGAGGTGGCCCTCGAGGAGGCTGCAGGTGAGGGAGCCGGCCTTCCCTGCTCAGGTGGGCTTGGCTCCCCGCTGGCCATACCCACTCACTTGAGGAGGCTGGAGCACCAAACCACTGTGATGTGGCCTGGGAGGGGCCAGGCCCCACAGCATTCCACACATAGCTTTCCTAAGCCTTGGAAAATGTAAGGAAGACACCCATTGAGGATACCACCCCAAACAAACCATCTAGGAGCACACTTCCATGGATGTTCAGTACCTACGTGAAAGGCCAACTCTGCCCAAAGCCCTCGAACTTCTGCAATGAGCGGTTCTCAGGGGAAACAGCATTGAAATGAAAGCAAACCTGGAAGAAGTCTCAGTGCAATTGCTTTACAACTTGACGAGGCTTCTTTTGCAGATAAAAGTTTTGGGGAAAAATGCAAGTGTGAGATCAGATATGTGAAAAAACAAATATGTGAAGAGAAACACGAAAGACGAGAAGGAATGAGGGAACTTTGTCCTGTAACTGGCCACATTTTATATAATGCCACACCAACACAGGAATAACAGGAAAGTCCCAGATACAGGTGTATGACAAACTCAGCAAACCCAACCTCTTAGACAACTGCAAAAGTGTGGCTCACCCATGTTACGAAAGTGGACACGCATTTGGAGAGGAACTGATAGGGTTTGGCTCTGTGTCCCCACCCAAATCTCACCTTGAATTGTAATAATCCCCACATGTCAAGGGTGGGAACAGGTGGAGATAATTGAATCACGGGCGTGGTTTCCCCCATGCTATTCTGGTGATAGTAAATGAGTTCTCACAAGAGCTGATGGTTTTATAAGGGGCTTCCCCCTTTGCTCTGCTCTCATTCTTCTCTCTCCTCCCACCACGTGAAGAAGGACATGTTTGCTTCTCCTTCTGCCATGATTGTAAATTTTCTGAGGCCTTCCCAGCCATGTGGAACTGTGAGTCAATTAAACCTCTTTTCTTTATAAATTACCCAGTGTCTCAGGCAGTTTTTTTATAGCAGCATGAGAACGGGCTAATACAGTAACAAAAAGTTGCATTCAGTTTTTTGCCAAGATAAATCTTGGACTTATGTGTAAGTAACAATAATGTAAGAGTACTAGAAAAAGCACATGTGAAGAAATCCTTATGTAATTTTGGGAGAGGGGTATCTCTATGGCAGCAACATAGAACTGTCTTCATGAAACGTGATGTATTGAGGTCTCAACATTTGGGCCCTGTGTCAGGGCAGAGCCGGCCAGGCTCTGGAGCCAGTCAAGATGGGTGTGGGAGGTGTTGCCAGGATCAGAAAACACGTTGAGGTGGGGCTCCTCTTGGCCACAAACATGCTGCTGTGCCTGCAGGAGCCATTTGGCCATCTCCAGAGGACCAGCACGCACATGTACATAGCTATGCACACACATAAACACACACTTCATACATGCATGCATACATACCCACACAGTTATACATGTGTACATGCATGCACACATGATTATATGCATCCACACACATTTATACATGTATATATGCATACACACATACACATACATACACACATACATGTGTGCACACATACCCATACACACATATACCTATAATACATATATGTACAGTATTTGTATACATACACATATTTACATACACATGCACCTATATACATGCACATATTTACACATACATATATATGCACTTACACATGCCCACATATATACATGCACATATTTATACACATACATATATACACATTTACAAACACACACCCACACTCATATAGCGATTTCTATCTTCTGTTACTCTGGACCCTCATGAGTTTAGAAGGGGGTGAGCCAGGGTGGGGGATCCGGAGACAGCTGTCCACTTGCCTGTGGGGGCAGTGGTTGGGAGCAGATGACCTGAGCTCAGTGGGCTACCACTTTTGCCAGGTATTGGTCTTGTCATTCTAAGATGGACATAACAACAATTCCTGCCCGTGGTTGCGCTGAGCATCGTGAGACAAAGTGCCCAGAATAGGCTCAGCTAGTTGCAAGAGCAGAGAGTGTGGTCTTGTGCTGGGAGGCCCTCTGAGGTGGGGCCTCTGAGGTGAGGTCCCCCTCTTTGGGAGACCTCATGGGCTGGGGCAGCATGTCTGGACTCCAGGGGCCTCATCAGCAAGAGCCCAGGCTTGTTTTGGGAGCC
The DNA here is from genome assembly GCF_000001405.40 of Homo sapiens. Taxonomy (NCBI): domain Eukaryota; kingdom Metazoa; phylum Chordata; class Mammalia; order Primates; family Hominidae; genus Homo; species Homo sapiens. Next base: position 28,053,586 of record NC_000015.10, on the reverse strand, counting down.
TGGAGGGAGGTAGCCATGGTAGTAGCCCTGAGTGGAACAGCTGTGCCCAGCACAGTGACCATCTCTTGGGCAGTGTGGGTGATGCCTTGAGAAATGCTTGGAATCAGCCAGGGTCACTTTGAGGGCCTAATATCTGGCACAGGGGCTGGGAGAGGGTTGTCACTGTGCTTTGTGATGAAGGAAGAGCACCTCCACCTTGGTCAGGCTATTGAGGTTGGGGGGCGTTTCCTGGTCCCCTCTTCCCTCCCACACCTCCTAAGAGGCATCTTCCTTCCCAGGTGTGTGAAGGTGAACGTGGCTGTCTTGTGCCCTCCATGGCCCACCCATGTGGGTGCTGCCTGGAGATACACACCATGTGTGTGCCAAGGAAAGGTACCAATGACTGTAACGATGACGCTGTGGCCACAAGCCTCTCCAACCAACTCTTTGGTGATTTTCTGATATCAGTATAGTTACATACACACGCAACTGAGGCTATATCAGAATGGCCTTTCCAGTCTCGCTTTTGAAAGTGGAATCCCATTTAATATTTTCATTCTGATCTACATGAAATTCAAACCTGCCTTGAAGACCCACCTCAGATTCCCTCTGTGAAGCCTTACCTGGCAGCGCAGTCATTGCCATCGCCATCCCTGTCTGCTTCTACGGTCTTCACCTTGCGTTATACTTGCTCACAGAGTCTTACGTGCCTGAGTAAGGCGATAGGCCAGCAACTCACCTGTCCATTACCCCCTTCCTAGAACAGCACCTGGGCCAGTACCCATTGAGGAATTATTGGTAACATTCTGATAAAATACAGAATTGCAAAATTTAACATTTCTCAATTTGGAATTTTGTCGAAGCCTGTGAGCTTGCTTAATGCAGGGCATTAGACCTCTGTGAAAATGCAGAAATAGTATTCTAGTTTTACATCGTATCGTAGTGTCATTATTTGCTTTGCATCTATTCACAGTTTATAGAGTATCTGATGGGGTGGAATTATTTTGGGGGTTTATGGATTTATTCTCATGTTTCCCCACCAGCTTCTACTGATTTCCCTTTTTAACTTGTGGATTTGCATTTGGGTTGATTAGCTCTGAGGCCAGCAATGCTCAGAGCTAGACTGAGGTTGATCCCTGCATGATTCCAAGTTTGGAAGGGTCATGAACGGCCTCTCAGCAGAAGGCGTGATTATTTTTATCTGTGGCTGTACTGTAATTAGAACACAGCTGTGAGAGTTGGTAGTTTACAAGTTTCTAATGAGCTATTTCCTTCCCCAATCACATTAGTTGGGGAGTTAATTGGGTCCATCTGGTGCATAATTCACAGTATCTCTAATATCTGTGATTTTATAAGCCTGTGGCAAACTTGGACTCTCGATTCACAAGGGGGAGTTTTGGTGCTTGAGTTCAACGGCAGAGTTTAGTGAAATGCAGGGACAGCAAAGCTGAGCTGGGGCTTTGCAGTAAACATGCCCTAGGAAGCAGAGCCACTGGATTCCAGTGAGGTGGTCAGGGCCATTCAGCACCCCAGCCAGCCTCAGGGATCTGGTTCCTGAGGGGGGTCACTGATCTGTGGGTTACCCGGCCAGGCCCAGCCTCTGATAGGAGGATCCTCTCCAGCTCAGTGAAGCAGAGGGGGGTTAGACAGTAGCTACAAATGCTGGCTTTCTTCTCATGATGAATGTATGTTCCTGATTTTTTTGCAGAATAGTGTGCTACAGGGCACAAGGCTATAGGAAAGATAACATGGGGCATATCTATAAACTCCTGGTCACATGAGGACGAAATCTGACCCAATCAACCAGTGCCCAAGCATCCCATGGTCCCCGCCTGCACCCTTCGGAGACTACACCTGGTCTGGAGGCTGGGACAGGAGGATTGCTTGAGGCTGGGAGTTGGAAGCTGCAGTGCGCCATGGTCTGGCCTCTGAATGAATAGCCACTACACTCCAGCCTGGGCAGCCTAGTGAGACCTGTGTCTATTAAAAAAAAAAAAAAAAAAAAAAAAAAAGGAAGGCCAGGCGCAGTGGCTCATGCCTGTAATCCCAGCACTTTGGGAGGCTGAGGCGGGCGGATCACCTGAGGCCAGGAGCTTGAGACCAGCCTGATCAACATGGAGAAACCCCATCTCTGCTAAAAAAACAAAATTAGGTGGACGTGGTAGCGCATGCTTGTAATCCTAGCTACTCGGGAAGCTGAGGCAGGAGAATTGCTTGAACCTGGGAGGCGGAGATTGCTGTAAGCAGAGATCACACCATTGCACTCCAGCCTGAGTGACAAGAGTGAAACTGTCTCAAAAAACAAAACAAAACAAAACAAAACCATAAAGGGAAATGTCTGTAGATTTCCCAACTGTAGTTCCTTGCCTGGAAGCATAGCATACTGCACAGTGTGGTGGTGCTGGCAGCCAGTGAGCCAGGATGTCCTTTTGAGGCCAGCGCCCTCCACAACATTCTCTAAGTGTGAGTAAACTTGCCCCCTTGCTTCAACACATCCCTGTGGGAAGACCTGCAGAGGTCCCAGCTCCAGAGGCCTCCAGGCAGGATCCACCCTCATATGGGTGGGAGGCAGGCACAACCCAAGTCACCATGCCCTGTGCAGGGCCACACATGCAGCCCAGCTCCGAGTGGCTGTACTGGGGTGGAGGGCAGTAGGGGGTGCAGGGCAGAGGAGGGGTGCTGCAGGGCAAGGATGGGGCGGGATGGGTGAGATGGGGATGGAACCGGTTTCATTTTCCCTAGTGGCATGAGGGAGAGTAGTACTGACTTCTCAGGGTCTGCTCCTGACCAAGAGCCACTCCATGCCATGTGTTTTACCTGCACTCGGCATGTCTGTGTGGCCTCATGTCCAGGAGAGGATAGTTCTGCCGGCAACAAGAATGACACAACAATCATCATGAAATGGATTAAAGACAACCTGAGGTGTATGAAGCAATAGGTGCGTATTATGTCTGTCTCCTAGATGAAGAGGATGCGTGCGTATGCTCATTCCCATGCTTTCCCACCACTGGAGGGCACTGGTCTTTTTTTTTTTTTTTTTCTTTTTTGAGATGGAGTCTCACCCTGTCACCCAGGCTGGAGTACAGTGGCACGATCTCGACTCACTTCAACCTCCGCCTCCCGGGTTCAAGCTATTCTCCTGCCTCAGCCTCCCAAGTAGCTGGGATTACAGACGCCTGCCACTATTGCTGGCCTGCTAATTTTTGCGTTTTTAGTAGAGACGGGGTTTCACCATGTTGGCCAGGCTGGTCTCGAACTCGACCTCAGGTGATCTGCTTGCCTCAGCCTCCCAAGAGGGTATTGATCTTTTCCTTTTTTTCTGTGAAACAAGGTCTTGCTCTGTTGCCCAGACTGGAGTGCAATGGTGCGATCAAAGCTCACTGCAGCCTGAAACTCCTGGGCTCAAGCGATCCTCCCACCTCACCCTCCTGAGTAGCTGGGACTACAGGCATGTGCCACTACACCCAGCTAACTTTTAACATTTTTTTTTCTGGAGAGATGGGATCTTGCTATGTTGCCCAGGCTGGTCTCAAACTCCTGGCTTCAAATGATCCTCCTGCCTTAGCCTCCCAAAGAGTTGGGATTACAGGTGTGAACTACCACCCCAGCCCAATTTTTTCAATTATTTTTAGTGTGGAAAAAATATATATCATATAATCTACCATTTTAGCCATTTTTAAGTGTACAATTCAATGGCATTAATTACATTCCTAATGGGCAACCATCAGCACAAATTCTAAAATTTTTTCATCACTCCAACTATGAACTCTGTGCTCATTAAGCAATAACTCTCCGTGCCTTCCTCCCCACAGGCTCTGGAACCTGCAATTTCCTTTCTGTCTCTGTATTTACCTTTTGTAGATATTTCATACACGTGAACTCATGCAGCATTTGTCCTTTTGTTCCTGGCTTATTCATTCAGCATGATGTTTTCAAGGTTCATCATATTCGGCATGTGTCAGAATTTCATTCCTTTTATGAGTAAATGATGTTTCATTGTGTGTATATACCATATTTTATTAATCTTTTATTGATAGACATGGGTTGTTTCCACATTTTGGCTATTTTGAATAATGTGGCAATGAATATTGGTGTATAAGTATCTGAGTCCCTGCTTTCCATTATTTTGGGATATACATCTAGGAGTGAAATCGCTAGATTATGTGGTAACTATGTTTAACTTTGTGAGAACCTGCAAAACTGTTTTTCATAGAGTTTTCCACACTTTGCATTATTACTAGCAGTGCATGAGAGTTCTGGTTTCTCTATATACTCACCAACATTTATATTCCTTTTTTTATTCTAGCCATCCTAGTCAGTGTGAAGTAATATCTCATAGTAGTTTTGCTTTACATTTCTCTAATGACTAATGATGTTGAGCATCTTTTTATGTGCTTATTGGCCTTCTGTATATCTTCTTTGAAGAACTGTTCATGTAAGTCTTTCGCCCATTTAAAAATTGGGTTGTATTTTTGTTGTTGAGTTGTAGGAGTTTTTAAAATATTGGATACTAGACCCTTATCAATATATGATTTGCAAGCAATTTCTTTAATTCCATAGGTTGTCGTTTCACTTTCTTGAGAATGTCTTTTGTTCTCTTGTTTTTGAGACAGGGTGTTGCTCTGTAACCCAGGCTGGAGTGCAGTGGTGTCATTATGGCTCACTGCAATCTCTGTCTCCCGGGTTCAGGCCATCCTCCTCAGCGTCTCAAATAGCTGAGACTACAGGTATATGCCACCATGCCTCACTAATTTTTGTATTTTGGGTAGAGACAGGGTTTCACCATGTTGCCCAGGCTGGTCTCAAACTCCTGAACTCAAGTGATCTTTCCACCTTAGCCTCCCAAAGTGCTGGGATTATGGTCATGAGCCACCGTGCCCGGCCCTGAAATGTCTTTTGAAGCGCAAAGGATTTTAATTTTGATGAAGCTCAATTTATCTATTTTTTTTTCTGTTATTGCTTGGGATTTTGGTGCTATAGCTAAAGATCCATTGCCAAATCCAAGGTCATGTTTGTTTTTTTCTAAGAATTTTATGGTTTTATCTTAAATAAATGATCTATTTTGAGTCAATTGTTTTATAGGGTGTGAGGTAGGGGTCTAACTTCATTCTTTTGCACGTGGAAATTTAGTTATCCCAGCACCAATTGTTGAAGAGACTATTTATTCTCTGTTGAATGGTCTTTGCACTCTTGCCACAAAACTGGTTGGCCATAAGATGTATGAGTTTATTTCTGGACTTTCATTTGTATTCCATTGTAGTAAGTTTTGATATTTGAAAATGTGAGTACTGGAAAGTTGTTCTTTGTCAAGATTGTTTTGGCTGTTCAGAGCCCCTTGAAGTTCCATATGAATTTGATGACCAGCTTTTACATTTCTTTGGAATTTTGATAGGTGTTGCACTGAATCACTTTGGATAGTATTAAAATATTAATGACATTAAGTCTTCTTATCCATGAACATAGGGTGCATTTTAATTTATTTAGGTCTTCTTTAATTTCTTTCAGTTATGTTTTACAGTTTTTAGTGTACACGTCTTTTACCTCTTTGTTAAATTTATTTTTAGCTATTTTGTTCTTTTGGATGCTATTGTAAATGGAATTGTTTTCTTAATTTCCTTTTTCAGATAGTTCATTGCTGATGTATAGCAACACAACAAATATTTTGCATTGAAAATTGTACTTGCAACTTGATGAATTAATTTATTAGCTCAGTAGCTTTCTTGTGGATTCTTTGGGATTTTCTACATATAGATTCATGGGATCATGTCTGCAAATGGAGATATTTTTACTTCTTCCTTCCCCATCTGGATGTCTTTTATTTCTTTTTCTTGTTTAATTACTCTGGCTTGAACTTCAAGTACAATGGTGAATTAGCAATAGTGAAAGTAGGCATCCTTGATTTGTTCCTGATCTTAGGGGGAAAATTTTCAGTCTTTTACCATTGAGTATGATGTTAGCTGGCTGTGGGTTTTTCATATATATCCTTTATCACGTTGAGGCAGTTCTCTTCTATTCCTAGTTTTCTGGGTAATTTTCACCCTACTCCCAGAGAGCTTATGCTTAAGATGGAAGATGGCAGGAAGACATAACAAGTGGGGGAAGAAGCCTAGACCACGTGTTTCCCTGGAGTCCATCTATATGACATGAGGTCTGTCTGTATGTCTTAATGGTGATGAAGTTGACAATGTTCAAAGGATGGTGCCATGGACAGATAATCATGCCAAGCTGGAGAGGTCCGAATTCATCCTCTATGCCAGTGTTTCTCATAATGTGGTACTATATCAATATCTCCTAGGTGTTAAAAATATAGCTCTTTGAGCCACACTCTCTTCTGAATCAGAGTCTCTGGAGGAGGATTCTGGGAAATTGTCTTTGAAGTAAATTCCTCAGGTGATTTGACTGTGGGCTTATTTTTGGAAACCACTGCTATAGGTCATGGTGGGAGAGAATGAGGTGAGAATGGTGTTTTGGGGAGTCTGAAGTTTGTGAGATGGCCTGGGATATAGGCCAGGGCATGTGTCAGGGCCTGACCAAAGAGAGGGATGCACAGGCAGGCATGGGAGTGTGTGCTGGCAAATTTTTTTCGGAGAGGGGAGTCCAGTGATCTTTGGATTGTTCCAGATCTAGAGTTGTTCCCAATAATTCTAGGATCCCAAAATTTTCAAAGAGGATGACAAGAGGGAAATCTTGAGCAGGTGGCTTTTAGGAAAACATTAATTCATTTTTAGGCATGTCGATTTGAAGTAAGAGTAAAGCCAGGCTTGTGGCTGCCTACCCTGTGTGAAGAGGCACAGCCTCTATAAAAGGAATAACCCCAAATTTCCATCACAATATCGGTTCATTTCTTGCTTGTATGGATGAAGTCCACTTGGCAGCATGGTGGTAGTGCTGTGGTCATTATTCAGCACCAGCATGATAGGTACCCTGTCCTGTTGTTGTCAGTGCATGGTTGGTTGCCCCTTCCCTCCTTTCCCCCTGCCCTCTGCCCTGGGATATGACCTCTAGGGACTTCTTAGAGCTCCCTGGTGGCTTCTGGCTGGGTTCAGCCCATGGGGCATGGTAGGAGATGGAGCATGATGCGACTGGGGCTCTTATTTCTTCAGTCCTCCCTTTCCTGTCCTCCCAGAAAGACCCTTGTGGCTGATGTGTCCTTAACAAGAGACCTCCATTCATCTCAGAATGGCTCTTCTGCAAGACTCTTTTCTGCTGGGTTCTGACAACTGCCTCCTCCCTTTATCCCCTTCAGGCCAGGGGTGGTAACAGATCTGCTGTTCCTAACCCCATCATACTGCACGTGTGTTTTCCCTACACTCTGCCTACACTTTTGCAAATTTTCCCTTTATTGAATCCTCCTTGAATTATTCTGACTTAGTGAGCCACCCATTTCCTTCTGGTATCCTGACTGGTAGAATAGCTTCCAAGATGGCACTGCGGGTAAAGTCCATCTGGAGTGTGGAAGAAGAGAGAGGGAGGATGATGCACAGGAAGAGAGAGTCTGGAGTGTCATCCATCATGTCCTCCTCTGGCCACTATCTGGGACTTGGTTCTGTGGTCCCCTGAAATAGAAGGGGTGGGACACGTGGTCCCTAACCAGCGAGCCATCTCATAGCAGCAACTCCACACTGAGCAGCTGCCCTGGTGAAGAGCTGGTGGTCTGTGTTGCAGGAAGGGGCAGTTCTCAAGACTGAGGGTTTTGGTATGAATATTCAGTATCACTTAACCTGATATCACCAGGATATTTTAGGTGTCTTAAGAGTGATGATAGCACAACACCCTGTTTTAGAGACTAGTATATATGAGTTTGGAGGAAACTGTGACAGATAACTAAGAAGTATTTGTTGGAGAGAAATACTGGATTTCTCTGTAAAATACTGTAGCCTGGATTTAAGTAGTTCTGGCATTTTCTGTGCTATGTGCCGGGTGCTGTGCTGGGAGGCAGTTACATAAGCAAGTGGCCCTGATATGTTGAGTTAAATGTGGTACTGGTGAGTGTGAGGTCCAGCCAGGTAGAGGGTGTATGAGCTCCAGCTCCATCAGAGGAAAATGGGTCTGCACAAAGGAATGGAGGGTACCAGAAACACTGACAGCTTTGTAAATCTACACATTCCTTCTTATCATTAAAAGGTAATTGGCAATTGAAATAAAAATAATCAAAATGAAGTGTGCGTCTCATATCACATGTAAAAATGTGACAGCAGTGATACAAAGGCTGAGGAGAGAAATGGAAGCACACTCTTCTTGTATGTGAACCACAGTGTACCATAGAGGTAAAGTGTTATATACTGTATATGTGTACATACATGTATATATTCCTATTGTATGCTCTCTAGCAATGGGTATAATATCATTTTCAGTTAGACTGTGGGAAGTTAAAGATGTATACTGTAAACCCTAAAGCAATACCTAGAATAAAAAAGAGTTATAACTAATAAGCCAATAAAAGGATAAAATGGAATCATACAAAATAATTAATGCAAAATAAGGCAGAAAAAGGGAACAAGGAACAGATTGTCAAATAGAAAACAAGTATCAAGATGGTAGATTTAAATCTAAATATATTTCTAATCACATTATATGTGAATGGACTTATTATCTCGATTAAAAGGTAGACATTGTCATATTGGGAAAGAAATAAAAATTGAACTATATGCTACTTATAAAGGAACCAATTCTAAGTATTAAAATCATTCTAAGTATTAAAATAACATATGGAGATAGGTTAAATACAAAAATGAAAAAAGACATACAGTGCTAAAACTGATACTGTCCAAAGAAAAATGGGATGTCTATATTAATATCAGAAAAAGTAGGTTACAGAGCAAAGAATATTACTAGGGACAAAGAAGGCCAGACCATAATGATACAGGGGTCAATTGATCCCAAGGACATAATTCACAGTGCATATGGACTTAGTAACAGAGCTGCAAAATACACGAAGCAAAAACTGATAGAACACAAGAAAGAATCATAGTTGGAGATTTCAATACCCCCTTCTTATTAATTAATAGAACAAATAGACAGAAAATCCTGTAAAGCCATGACTTGTTCAGATGCCTGTAGCACGTGGCAGGGATAATTGCCATCTGCAGAGAAATGTGCTATTATTCACTGTGACGAGTCTCCAGGCCGTGTATGTGTCAGGTCCATGCCAGGCCACTGGGACAAGAATCTCCTGGACAAGCATCCTGGACAAGCATCCTGGATAAGTATCCAGGAAGGCCAGTGGTTTTCGAAGAAGAGCTTAGGAAATATACCTAGCCACTGTGTCACTGGCAGAGTCTACCTAGGAACATGAGATAGGGACAATCTGCCATCTGCTTCATGCATGCGTTGCCACCTACTATCATTTCAGAGAATGCCCTTGAATGTTTCATTGATTTCAAATTAGATATTGGTTAGAATAATTTTTTAAGACTATACTTCCCCTTTTTTTATGTGGGATATCACTGTTGAGCAAGTTGTACACATACACATATATAATATGAAAAATGTTAACACAAGTTGTAAAATGGTCTTTCAGAGAGCTGTCTACTCTGGCAAAATGGAATGAGCTCAGGCTTCATCCAATAACATATGGAGGTACTGTCTGCCCATCTGTGTTCCTGTTGACATTGCTCAATGTTTTCCTTTCCAGGACTCAAGCATTCATTGGCCTTTCTGTGAAAGTATGGCTATTAGGAAAAGATACAGCTTTTAACTCATGGCCTGCACATCATTCATTAACATGAAGAATCTTATCTTTCTTCCTTGAAAAGCATAGCCCATCTGGTTTGTTTTGGGAGGAGTATACTTCTGTGCTTTGTGCAATAAAAATGATTTATCTCTTCAATAACCAGCCCAGTCACAAGCCCATCTAATGTTAATAATTAATTTTGGGGCTTTCCAGCTAACTGGAGTGAATGTTGGTCTGATTTCTTCCCTCGGGTTTTTTCTGCCTGAAAACAATCCTTCCAATACTGATTTCTTTGCACACTGGGCTGAGATTTGAAAACTTGCTTAATTACATGGCAGTGGTTCTCTAAACAGGAGTCTTTCATGTTCCATCCGTTTGCTTTGAAAAGGAAGGATTGCATCCTTATGTCTGAGGAATTACTTAAGCCCAAGGATCGAATGTTCTGTTTTACTACCTGTGTGTAAGCCCCAGAAAAAATGGGCACCAATCTTCTTTATTGTGATTTTTGGAGATTTATTGAGCGATCACCAGCTTCACAGCAAGCTGGATAGAAACAGCCATGCATGTTTGGCTTTATTTCTGGTATGTCTACTTCTTGTGTCTCACTGGGCTCAGGCACTACCCTACCACCTCTCCGTCTCTCTGTTGAATTGTAAACTTCAAAAATCCTACCACTGGGCCTACTTGCTGTTTAAACTACTTTCCTTAGGGGAAAGGACAATTGAAATTAGACCTTAAATACAGGTGATGTTCTTACATCCAAGTAATCCTAAAATTGCTCCTGTAAATATTTCTCAGTGAATACCTCCCCAGGCTTTGGGGCATATGATTATACTTTTTTGCCAATTATTAATATCCATTTATATTCAATATTTCTTGTGTTAACTGTCCTTACAAATTGTCTGGAAGCATTTTAAAAACAGTTTGTAGACATTCTCTTAAAAATATTAATTTGCACCCTCTGTAATGAAACTAGTTGTTCGAACAAAGGTTACCATCAACCCTAACATATTTTCCAATTAGGGGGCACTGCTAGGATTGGTGGAGTATAAACGAATAAAATTTTATTATGTTGGCAGAGAGAGAAAGTGAAAAAACTTTTCACTTGTAAAGACTGCATTCTTTTAATCCCTTTTTCTGCTACTATTAATATATAATATACAGGGCATCTTGGTTTGGCAATTCATTTGAAACTTTAATATTCCTATTAATACTCACTTTACCTCCAAGTCCCTTAATTTTTAGAAAGCATTTTATTTATTTATTTATTTATTTATTATTTATTTATTTACTTTGAGACAGAGTCACACTATGCCACCTAGGCTGGAGTGCGGTGGTGCAATCTTGGTTCACTGCAATCTCCACCTCCTGGGTTCAAGTGAGTCTCCTGCCTCAGCCTCCCAAGTAGCTGGGACCACAGGTGTGTATCACCACGCCCAGCTAATTTTTTTTTTTTTTTTTTGTATTTTTAGTAGAGATAGGGTTTCCTCATGTTGGCCAGGCTGGTCTTGAATTCCTGGCCTCAAGTGATCCACCCACCTTGGCCTCCCAAAGTGCTGGGATTACAGGCGTGAGCCACCGCACCTGGCCCGAAGGCATTTTTAAAATAAGAGTTTCTTCATTTCATAGAATAGCTAGAAATGATAAGTAGAAATGATTAGTTTTCATCTTGTATTTCAGGGTTTCAGTACAGTCTTTCATCCCATCATTTCTTGAATTCCTATTTTCTATCCTTCCCTGTATCATTTATTTACTGTGCAAATTTCTCTTGTTTTCAAGTTGATAAGTTCATTCTTCCTTTAAAAATAGCATGTAATATTTGATCTACACAAAATAATATATGTAACATATGGATAGGTTATGAAGTTTAGTTTTTACAAACCCCTGTATGCTCACCAACCAATTGTTCCTCTTTTACCCCATCTCTTTGCTTCCCAACATGGAGACTTCTCTCTGGAATTGTGTATTTAAAATTCCTGTATGTGTACGCATGCCTCTCTCTCTCTCTCATCTCATGCACATTCACTCTTTCTATCTAAAACCAAATAAATTTATCCTAAACAATGTATTCTTCAGTGTGTCTTGGTTTTGAGCCTTATAAAAATTGCATCATGTGTGTATTCTTCTATTTTTCTTCATGCAACATTATGTTTCTAAGATTTATCCATATTGATTTGTTTAGCTGTAGTTCATTTATTTCCACTATTGTGTGAAATTCCATTGTGTGAATATACCATTGTGTGTTGATTTTGTATCCTTCAGTTATGCTGAATTTATTAATCCTAATGATTTTAAAAATGGAGTCTTTAGAGTTTTCTACACATAAAGTTGTGTTATCTACAAATAGAGATAATTTTACTTCTTCCTTTCCAGTTTGGATGCCTTTCATTTGTTTTTCTCCCCACCTGTTCTGGCTAGAACTTCCAATACTGCATTGAGTAGAAGTAGCAAAACAGGCATCCTTACCTTGTTCCTAGTCATAGGGGAAAAGCTTTCAGTCTTTCACCATTCAGTGTGATGTTAGCTGTGCGTTTTTCATAAATAGTCTTTATTATGTTACAGTAGTTTCCTTCTATTCCTAGTTTGCTGAGGGTGTGCATTTTTTTTTTTTTTAATCATGAAAGGGTGTTGAACTTTGTCAAATGTTTTTCCTGCATCAGTTGAGATGCTCACGTTTTTTTTTCTTTACTGTGTTAATGTGTATTTCATAGATTGATTTTTCCCATTTTAAGCCATCTCAGTATACCAGGAATAAATCCTACTTCATCATGGTGTATAATACTTTTAATATGCTGCTGAGTTTGATTTGCTTAGTATTGAGTATTTTGTTGAGGATTTTTGCATCAGTATTCACCAGGAATATCGGTTTGTAGTTTTCTTTTCGTATAGTGTCTTTGTCTGGCTTTGGTATCAGGGTAATGCTGGCCTCATAGAATAAGTTAGGAAGTTAGGTCTCACAGAATGAGTTTGCCCTCCTTTTCAATTTTCTGGAAGAGTTTGAGAAGAATTGGTGTTAATTTTTCTTTAAACGTTTGGTAGAATGCACCAGTAAGGCTATCTCATCCAGGGCTTTTCTTTGTTGGGAAGTTTTTGATTACTGATTCAATCTTTTTCCTGGTTGTAGGTCTATTCAGATTTTTTTATTTCTCCATGATTCAGTCTTGGTAGGTTGTGTGTACTTAGGAATTTGTCCATTTCATCTAGGTTATCCAATTTTGGGGCATACAGTTGTTCATAGTATTTTCTTATAATACTTTTTATTTTTTAAAAATTGGTAGTCATGTCCCTGATTCCATTTCTGATTTTAATAATTTGAGTTTTTCCTTAGTCAGTCTAGCTAAAGATCTGTCAATTTTGTTAATCTCTTCAAAAAACCAACTTTTGGTCTCATTAATTTTCTTTATTTTTAAAATTCACTACAGATCTCCTCTCTAATATTTATTATTTCTGTTAGCTTTTTAGTTTAGTTTGTTCTCCTTTTTCCAGTTCCTTATCGTATAAAATTAGGTTGCTAATTTGTGATCTTTCTTCTTTTTTAATGTCAGCATTTACAGCTATAAATTTCCCTTTTAGTACTGCTTTCACTGCACCACATAAATTTTGATGTGTTATGTTTCATTTTCATTTGTCTCAAGGTATTATATTAGTTTGCTAGAATTGCCATCACAAAATGCCAGACTGTGTGGCTTAAACAACAAAAATTAATTTTCTCACTGTTCTTGAGGCTAGAAGTCCAAGGTCAAGGTGCTGGTATGGTTGGTTTCTTCTGAGTCCTGTCTCCTTGGCATGCAATGGCTCCACTCTTCCTTCCTCTTCACATGGTTCTGTCAGTGCATGTGTGCTCCTGGTGTCTCTTTGTGTGTTTGAAGTGTTTGAATTTCCTCTTCTTTTTTTTTTTTTTTTGAGATGGAGTCTCTCTCTGTCACCCAGGCTGGAGTGCAGTGGCACAATCTTGGCTCACTGCAACCTCCGCCTCTTGGGTTCAAGCAGTTCTCCTGCCTCAGCCTCCCGAGTAGCTGGGATTATAGGTGCGTGCGACCACACCCGGCTATTTTTTTATTTTTAGCAGAGACAGGGTTTCACCATGTTGGCCAGGCTGATCTTGAACTTCTGACCTTGTGATCCACCTGCCTTGGCCTCCCAAAGCATTGGGATTACAGGCATGAGCCACCGCGCCTGGCCAAACTTCCTCTTCTTATAAGGACACCAGTCAGATTGGGTTTAGATCCATCCTAATGGCTTCATTTTAACTTAATCATTTCCTGAAAGACCTCATCTCCAAACACATTCACACATTGTGGGGTACTAGGGGTTAGGGCTTCAACATAGGAATTTCAAAGCTACACAGTTCAGCCCATAACAGGTGTTTTCTAATTCCTCCTTTGATGGATTGGTTAAGAGTATGTTGTTTAATTTCCACATTTTGGTGAATTTTCTAGTTTTCCTTCTGTTATTGATTTCCAGTTCATTCCTATTATGATTGGAAAAGATACTTTGTATTACTTCAAATTTTTAAAAATTATTAAAACTTGTGTCCTAACATATGGTCTATTCTGGAAAACGTTTCATGTGCACATTAGATAAAAGTGTATTCTGCTATTGTTGGGTGGAGTGTTTTGTATATGTCTGTTAGGTCCAATTGGTTTATAATGTTGTTCAAGTCTTCTGTTTTGTTATTGATCTTCTGTCTGGCTATACTATCCATTATTAACAGTGAAGTATTGAAGTCTTCAACCATTATGGTAGAGTGATTTTTCCCTCCTGTTTTGTCAGCATCATATATTTTGGAGCTCTAATGTTTGGTGCATATTATTTGTAGTTGTTATAACTTCTTGGTGAATTGACTCTTTTATCATTATATAATATTTTTCTTTGCCTCTTGTAACGGTTTTTGTCTTAAAGTCTATTTCGTCTTAACTCTCTTTTGGTTACTACTAGCATTGAAATATCTTTTCTCATCCTTTCACTTTCAACCTATTTATGTCTTTTGATCTACAGTGCATCTCTTGTAGACAGCATATAATTGAACTGTGTGTATGTGTGTGTGTTTTAAAATCCATTCTGCCACTCTTTGCCTTTTGATTGGAGAGCTTAGTCCATTTACACTGATTTTGTTTAGTTATTTATCCATGTTTTGCCAAATGGCTTTGTGCTGGGTCAATCCTTCATAACTGGCTGGGTGTGCCTTGAACCTAGAGACCAGCATGAGGTGAGTGCTTACAGTCTTCTCAGATGTTTTCTGAGCATGCATCTTGCTTGATCATGTTTGTGTTTTTTTCGGTTTTTCAGTACACTTTTCAATATTTTAATTTCCCAAAGAGTCTCATTCAAACTTCACCTTGGTGCCTTAGATGGACTGTGGTCTATCTTTACCCATAATCTCTTTCCTGAGAAGTCTGTGAATCTGTACTCTCCCTGTTCTGTGACTCTATCTCCTGAAAATGTGTGCATAGGGCCACTATGCAAAGCTGTGCTGAACTTTGCACTGTATTTTTTCTGTGTTACGTTACACTTAAAGGGCTGACCTTGCTCATACAGAATGATGCCAGACTCCCAGAGGCTCTGACTGTACACGGGTGAGGAATCATAGTCTCCTTCCAAGCCTTCTGAAAAATTGCCCATGAGAGCTGGCAGCTTCCTTACTCATGTTTCTTCCTCAGATCTGCCTTCTGTCTATGGGAAACATGTTTGGCTGTGTTCTGTGTGGTTGCTTTTGGGGTAAACCTAGCCTTACCACTGCCTGCTAGTTTGCTTTTTCCTCCTGGAAAGGCAGCTTGGGTCAGTGAAGCCAGGATGAAAACAGGCCGCAAACAAGAGTCCCTGTCAGAGAGAGGGAGAGAGAAAGAGAGGAGAAGAGAGAAGAGTACATAGGGATACAGAAAGAGAAATAGCGAAGGGAGGAGATAGGGATAGAGAAAGAGAAAGAGAGAAAGAAACAGACAGGTGAAACCTTGCTAGTCAGCCTGCTGGGCAGAGGGGGCTACAGGAGGGCTGGGTTCTGTTGGCTTGCTGTGGCTCCCCATGACTGCTGCTCCATGCAGAGTACATCTGTACAGAGGGTACCATGCCTGGCACAATCCTCAGGCTGGGATGTGTTGCCTTCTGGTGGGAGGGAAGGGCTGGGGGATGGCATCAGGTGCTGGACACATGTTGGCCCTGCCCTCAGCAGCTGGGAGCCTATCCTGAGTCCCATTTGCTCCTTTTAAAATGAGGATAATATTATCTACCTTCAGGGTTATCATGAAGGTTAAATGAGATAAAAAAGGTGATAGCTTCAGCAAGAGCCTAACATAGAAAGTACTTGCTTAAATGACCATGGTTGTTATTAATACTCATCAACTAAAATCCTGGTAATAATATGGTGGGGAAAAGGCCTTTTGTCTACAGGATACTTCAGAGATACTGTCAAGCAATTGGGACAGAGAGTGAAGGGCCCCAAGTAGAAGGCCTAAACCCGCTTCTGCTGTCTGCGGCCTGTCTCTTGCCCTGGAGATACTTCCCATGAGGGACCCCTCCTGGTCACTGCTGCATAGGCTCTGTTACAGAGAAGGCCTCATTGCTCAGCTTGGTTTTCCCACAGCTGATCTCCAATGTTACCAACCACTGGGGTCCTTCCTGTTACAGACCTCCTGACCTGGGTGTAGAGGGACCACCAGCTGCCTTCCTGCCCTCTGACTTCTGCTTGATTTATTTTGGTCCCACTCCCAGTCTGGCCCTGTCTTGATTTCTCTTGGTCCCACTCCCAGGCTGGTCCCACTCCCAGCAGCTCTTTTACACGGCTCTGCATGGCTGATGCCATCTGCCACCTGCCCTCTGTCCTGAGCCATTGGCTCTCGACCTTCCTGCCTGCTCTGTGGTCTTCCTGAGTGGTGCCTGGGAAAGAGCCTGCATATGACTTGAGCAGGCATCCCTTGGAGAATCTGTGGATGTGAATTTGGTCATGCACAGGTTAAGGCAGTGAAAGCACTTTGTATTCCTTGTTACCGGCTCTGTATCATCTTGTCCAGCAGAACTGACCTCAGCAATGGCTGCATAAATGGTGCCTATGTGGCACAGGGCCTAAGAAAGACTGAGGGCAAACCTCTTCCTCCATGCCTGGTACCCCAATCACCACCTCCCCAAGCTGTCATTTGCACTAACCACTGTCTCTTTTTTGGCCTTTAAAAATGTAAATTCTTTTGGAAGTGTTCATATATTAGGTACTCAATATTTTCAACATTTTTTAGCTCATTTTTTGTCAATATGATGATATAAGCATCATAGGATTGTTAAGTGTTTTGATCTAGAAAGAACCAAGGGATCTAGGGATGAGGAAGCTGTTGAAGAAGAGGGCAGAAGAGGCAGAGGCATGGGCAAGAAACTGTTTCCATCTCACAGTCTGACATGAACCTGTCTTATTAATAATCATGGTAGCAAGGGTTCTTGACAATGGTGGATCTGCCTCAGATCCATCAATTCTGGCTGTTTAAAACTTACTGTTTGAGGATTTTAAACATGGCTGATACCGAGGACTAGTGGGGATAGCGGTTTGTTCCTGCCTGTAACTGAAACAGGGAGTAATGGGGACAGGCTCTCTTCCAGCAAAAGGACCATGGGCACCAAGAAACTTCTTGATCCAGTGACCTCACGTCTAGGAATCTATCCTAAGGAAATAATTAAAGGCACACACAAAGAGTTATCTACCAGGACTCACATAGTGTTTGTTATTTACCCAGGTGAAAAACCAGAAATCCCCTAAATTTCCATCAACAGACAGATGGTCAGGCATAATTTGATGATCCATGTAATGGAATATGATGGCTGGCATTTAAAAATCACATTGTAGAAGAATAGCTAATATTTGATAACCTGTGAAATGCTAATGAGATAGCTGAGCTGAACAATTAGAGGACAAGGCAATTTGTATACGTGAATATGTATATGTGTGAATGTGTGTCTCTGCACTCATATGTATGAATCTGACCTGAAAATATTCATTTATATGTAGGAAAAGAACATTGAAAGGAAATTCTCTAAATGTTAACATTGGGTATCTCTGAATTAATAGAATTATGTACAGTTGCAGTTGTTTTATGTGTTATCTTCTGTAATTTCCTTTAAAATAAGTATAAATGTATAGGCATTTATAAGCTTATAAATGCTTATAAATGTATAGGCACATAGGGATTTTGTAAATGTATATACAGAGTTTATTGAGACATGGGGGAAATCAGACAATGTGGAAATTAGTAAAACTAGACAGTGCTCAGTCTTAGACTGAAGTCAGAAAAATGTCAATGGGATTTCTTTTTTCAGAAGAGGAAAAGTCAGGAATAATATAGATCTCATCAATATTTTCTACCTTATTGAAGTCAAAAGGAGAAAAAATTGGGCTTTCAGCTTTGTGGACCACCATTTTTATTTTCAACCTCTGGAAAATGTTTTTGGGCAATCCTGCATCTTCTCTACATGTGATCTGTGAGCTCTCTGGATCACAGGCCAGGGATTCTATCAAGCAACAGGGCCCCAAGGCCTCCTTGGTGCTTCCCCTATTTGCAGAGAGGAATGGATTTGGAACATTGAAAATGGTATCCGGATGGTGTTAAGTTTAAATTGGAATGGCCCAAAGTCTCTTTAGGAAATTGCCTGGTGAAACTCATTTTATTTTTGGATTTTTAGAAATATAATTACATAAAAAAGCTCAGAAATGATTACCTATATGCTTAACTACAATTATAAAATACTTTGTATACACAAAGTGCATAAATGTAAGTGTTAAACAGTAATAAAAATCAGCCAGATGTGGCCACCACAGAGAAGATAAAATGGACTTTGGATTTTTCCCCATTTCTAATTTTCCTTCTTAGTGGCAAGAAGGTAAATCCTCCACATTGTGCGATGTGGTGCTGCTGTGGGCTGTTTTGAGACCCCATGGGTCATGCTTTCCAAGGAGCAATAGCGCCTCCACTCTCCTGGGCACTCTCCTGAGCACTCTCCCTCTCCTGAGGGTCTCCTGACCCTCTCGTCAGAGGGTTGATATTGAGTCTATAAACATTATTGATTTAATGATTTAGAAAACTTGTTTTATTTGAGTTAAAAAGCCAATCTCATGCAAAAAAGCTATGATTACTAGGTTTTAACCCATTCATTATTAAGTGTGTATGTATGTATTTGTTTTTGTGACAGGGTCTTGGTCTGTTGTCTAGGCTGGAGTGCAGTAGCACAACCTCAGCTCATTGAAGGTTTGACCTCTCAGGCTCAAGCAATCAATCCTTCCACCAGCCTTCCCAGTAGCTGGGACTACAGGAGTACACCACCACACCCGGCTAATTTTTGAATTTTTTTAGAGACAGGGTTTTGCTATGTTGCCCAGGCTGGTTGTGAACTCCTAGGCTCAAGCAATCCACTTGCCTTGGCCTCCCAAAGTGCTGAGATTACATGTGTGAGCCACTGTGCCCGGCTCATTATTGAGTATTTATTAAGAACTTACTTTGAACTGGGTGCCACTTACAGTACCAAATAAAACAAGATGAAAACATGGCAGCCATTCTTAAGGAGCTCACAGTCTAATGAACCTCAGTGAATCAATATCCACAATCTATCTTTATGTTTTCCATTTACATCTCCTTAGTTAATGTAAGAAAACCAAGGATTTTTGTTTCTTTTTTTAAAGCAAGAGGGTCTCCTCCAGGCTGGAGTGCAGTGACTCCATCATAGCTCACTGCAGCCTTGACCTCCTGGCCTCAAGTGATTCTCCCACCTCAGTCTTCCAAGTAGTTAGGACTACAAGTGTGCACCACTATGCCCAGACAATTTTTTATTATTTTTATTTTCCATAGAGATGGGGTCTTGCTATGTTGCCCAGGCTTGTCTTGCACTCATGGCCTCAATCAATCCTCCCACCTTGCTGGGACTACAGGTTGGAACCACCATGCTTGGCCTTGTTTTCTTTTAATCTACATTGCATGACTGAGAAAATGGAAGCTCAGGGCTCAATAATGGGAGGGAGGTCACCGTCTCCGTAACACTCAGCTCCCCTAGACCACCCCAGGGAGCATCAGAAAACATCTGGTTGTTTGGTCCACTCACTGTGACATTTTCTAAATGTACCTAGGGAGTTACAGTTACAGATTTATAGTTATGGGAAACAGGGGTGGGAGGATCTCAACTATAAGCCAGTTTGAGCAGCTAAAAGCATGCTAATTATTAAATCTCTTGGGCAGAGAGATTCTTCCAAATCTCTCTACCTTCATCTGGCAAAGTTAAACCACCTACTTTGTAATTCTCTCTCCTGCCCTGCTGACCTCTACTGGCCGTTAAGTCTCTGAGGAGAGTCCTCAATTACCTGTGTTCTCCATGGGAAGTGGCCCAGTGCTGCCCAGAGATGACGCCCAGCGGATATTCACTGGCCCCAGACAGACTCCTTTTCTGACTTCCCAGAGGCATGGTGCTGGTGTTAGACACAACTCAGGGGCCCATGTTTTATTCATCCACAGAAGTCTTATTGTCTATCTCACAGGTGAATGCTTGAATGAGAAAGAAGCAAGCAAAAATATTTTTCTTAAAATTTCTTCCTTTGTTGTGCATTCGTGATCAGAAAGAATTACTGTTATTTCCCTAGGTGAATGTTTCATAGCATCTACAGCATCTCTACCTGGCCTGGGATCCTGTAAGAAAGGCAATGCATCAGCATATAAAATGACATATTCTCAGTGATCAGGAACGAAAATTGTTCCTACAACTTCTCATGGAAAGCTGGTTGTCTTTTAACATCATGTGTCCTTTAATGAGGGTGACCATACATGCCGGTTGTGGTTGTGCAGTTACTTCCTTTTCCACAAGCTCCTGATTTAAATGATACATTTATGGTGGTCCTTCCATATGGCAGGCAGGCCAGTGTGGTGGAGGACCATCCTGCCCAGTGCAAACCTTTGCTTTGCTTCAGTTGTGGCTGCTGTCCTTGGAGAGCTTCCTCCTTGCCATTCTGATTGTCGTCTCATTCCAACCCCTTGGTCCTGATTTGTTCTGTTTGGTCTTCCAATGGACGCCATTAGGATATTTTAAATGTGAACTGCTTGTGATTTTAGGAAATAGAATTTTCTGCCTACAAAAGCACCAATGAGACTCTGAATGTTTTTTTGTTTTGTTTTTTTTTTTTTTTTTGAGACAGAGTCTCGCTCTGTCACCCAGGCTGGAGTGCAGTGGTGCAATCTCGGCTCACTGCAACCTCCGCCTCCCAGGTTCAAGCAATTCTCTGCCTCAGCCTCCAGAGTAGCTGGGATTACAGGCACCCACCACTATGCCTGGCTAAATTTTTTTTTTTTTTGTATTTTTAGTAGAGGTGGGGTTTCACCACGTTGGCCAGGCTGGTCTTGAACTCCTGACCTTGTGGTTCACCCGCCTCAGTCTCCCAAAGTGGTGGGATTACAGGCGTGAGCCACCGCGCCCGTCCCTCTGAATGTTTTTCTTGATGAGAAGCTCTGCATGAAATAGCAAAGGTGGCCTGAATCTCCTGCTAATGCAAAAGTGAGCCTAAAAGTGTCATCCCATAGTATTTGGTCTCCTGTGCGAGTTTCTGCCATGCATTTTCAATTGAGTTGGGGAGAAGAGGTCTTTCTTATGGTGTCTTCTAAAACTTCAGCCTTTTACAATTCAGACAGACCCTTAGGCAAATTTCCTTGTAAGATTTATCACTGAATCTTGGGCACATTCTTGAATCTAGCACCTGAGTGCTGGGAACACATACATTATTTCTGTGTTGGTGATTCTGTTTCCTACCCTGTCTCTTTCAGGTCTCACTCTTCTTTGCCCCAGATGTCCAGCTCCAGGTCTAAAGATTCCTGCTTTACAGAAAACACTCCTTTGCTGAGGAATTCCTTACAGGAGAAAGGGTGAGATATTTTCCCCCTCATATGAAAGTAAGAGTTTCTGAGCATTGCACCTGGCATGTATGCTGGAGAACTTGAGACACGAATTTTTATTGGACATGTTTAACCTCTGCCAGATCCTTGACAATTTATTGTAGTAGATGTTCATGATTCCGGTGGTTATATTCTGTGGATATTAATTTCCAGATGGCCTTGAGCATAACCCTGCAGCAACTGCACAGCACACACGCACACTCATGCATGCACAAAGCTCTGATGGGCTGTCTTACCAGGCTGGGGTTTCTCAGCTAGGGGTGAGGTTGGCATTGTCTGGAGACACTTTTGGTTGTCACACTGAGGGCTGAGATGCTTCTGGCATCTAAGGGTAGAGGCAAGGGATGCTCCAAACATTCTGCAATGCACAGGACAGCCCCCACCACAAAGAATTATCCAGCACAAATGTCAGTAGTGACGAAGTTGAGAAACCCTGTATATGTGTTTCACAAGAAAACTCAATTTCCTGCAAACTTGCAGGTCCTTTTTGGGCACAAATCAGGGTGGTTCTGGAATTGCCTGAGGAGAGCTGTCCTGGAGGGCAAGTTACAGATGCTTCCTTCTGGGATGAAGGGCCTTGGGCCAGGCCTGCAGCCTCAATCTTCTTTTCTTTCTGCAAACAAACCGCCAGAAGCCTGAGCCGCCTGCTCCATGTTTCCTGGCTCCTTGAACGTCACAAACTTGGTGACATTGTCACTGTCAAACTGAAATAATAAAAAATATCAGAACCCAGTTTAAAATTATTTATTCAAGCACAAAGCTGAGGATAGCCATTTGGGAAACACAGAATCCAAAGGAATGGGATCAGTGCTCCAAAGCTGAAAAGTTAAGGTCTTATTCTTATCCATATAGGCAGAAAACAAAGAAATGTAGAAGGACTACATTTTCCATACATGGCTGGTTTATGAGTTACAGCAATTTGATTAGTTACAGCTTCCCCCCTCCCCCAATTTAAAAGAGTATATTTGACATTCCATGTTAGACAATGTGATAGTCATGAGGTCTTTGTGTGAGAGAAGAAAGAAGGAAGTTAATCTGTCAATGAAGATCAACAGTGAAGAGGGAAGGGGTCTTCTCTCGTGCCCGGTAGTCTTTTACAACATTTTACAAAACAATGTAGGTAAGGAAAAAGGCAAATCTAGAATCAGAGAAAAGGCCACAGCTGCCTTTTATGTGACTCTTTTCATAATCACATTCTTTTAAGACTCAAAATAATTTAAAGTTTCAACAGCTTTGATTTTGAATCACTTATTTGCACATCATGGATTCTCCTTTCCCTGCCCACTGATGGTGTGTACCTGCATTGACAGGAGGGCTGCTGTGTCTTCTTCACTCACCTCTGAGCTTCCGAGGAGCTGCCTCCTCTCTCCCCAGCCCAGTCTGCAGCCAGGGCAGGGACCAGGGCTTCGCACTTTAGGGGTGCTTGCATGCCATGTGCATTCCTGTCCTCAGCCTCCAAATACTCTGGCTCCCGGGATTTGGATGGTATGCAGCCATCTGGGTTTATCATTTCTCAGTGCAGGGATGATTTGTTCACATGAAGCCCTTGACTAGAGGAAACTCCTTCACTCTCTGGCTCTCCAGGCAGTCAGTCCTACTCCTGTCAAGGGCATTCAAATGTCACTTCCTTTGAGGACCCTTAGTTGTCTCTGCCCCACCCACCAAGAGTCAGTGCTTCTCCTGTGCTCTCAAACACTACATTCATGCCCTTACTTCCAAACTAGCCCCTGTGCTATCTATGGTTATGTTGGCCAGCCTGTCCCCTCTTCATCGTACATCCTGGCACCTAGTACAGTCCCTGCCACCAGCCCCTCAGTGACTGGATGGGTAAGGAGTGTAAGCTGAGGCACTTCCACTGACCCAGCTGCTTCAAGCTTCTGTACTGGTGGATAACTGAATTCTCCTCCATTGCTCCTAATCAATAACTTTTAAGACAAAAACTTTACGCACCTATTCCCTTAATGCTTTCTCTTGAATTACTTGGTAAATTGTGAAGGCCTGTGACATTTTAGAACTTGCAATTCATTGGAAAACCATTAATGTGTAAGCATTTTTTCTGGCATGCAGAGCAGAGACATGCCCTGGGAGGCCGAGCTGGGCCTCATGTCACAAAAACCATTTCAAGGGAGTAGAACATGGGTCAGCTTTGCTTACAAAACGTTTTCCTTTTCTCTTTTTGCATGAAGCTAATTAAGGTATTGGTGGTAGGAATGTCTTTTTCATGCTTTACTTTTATCAACTTTATTTTGTTGCAGTTTTAATTTGATCAAATGGCTTATTAGGATAATATCCATTGATTTATATATTTTCAGAAGTATTCTTTTAAGGGTGTTGACAGCAGGAACGTGTGGTACAAAGGTCAAAGCATGCCCTGTATCTGAACTGACAACTGGTAGCCACTCTTCACAGATGTTTATTTAAATTTAAATTAATTAAAATTAAAAATTCACTTCTTCAGTTGCACTAGCCACACTTCAAGTGACAAATAGCACATGTGGCTGCCATATTGGACAGGGAAGCGAACATTTCTATCACCACAGAAAGTTCTATTGCACAGCACTGCTCTAGAAGGCAATGACATTAACTTGCTTCCCTCTGTCTTCTTATAAGAAAAGGTTTTTTTTTGTTCCAATTTTGTTACAGTTGTGTTTTTTTCAGCAGTTGGTGTGATATTATTTCTCACACACCTGAGCATTTTCCAGTCACAAAATTGATAGGATTATCGACTATTTTCAAAGTCATGTGTTATCTTGTTACACATTGGTTATACACAGCCTAATTGGCATCTCTACGCTTCTTCTGAATAACATTTTTTCCTTGTGAACCACTTCTAAAGCAGTCATAAGTGTTCAGGAGAATCACAATGCCCCATTGAGCTGGCTCCATTCTAGTGTGTCACAGATCACATCTGTTAACGTCAGTATTGTGAGCCCATGAATATTCTATATGATACATGAAAATTCTGGCTTTTGGTACAAACTTTTAAGAGTCAAGTGCATCTAAACTGAAGGAACTGATCAGGTCAGGGATTCAACCAAAAGTAAATGGAGGCTCTGTACAGTGGCTCATGACTGTAATCCCAGCACTTTGGGAGGCCAAGGTAGTCAGATCACTTGAAGTCAGGAGTTCGAGACTAGCCTGGCCAACATGATGAAACCCCATCTCTACTAAAAATACAAAAATTAGTTGGGCATGGTGGTGCACGCCTGTAAGCCCAGCTACTGGGGAGGCTGAGGCAGGAGAATCGCTTGAACCTGGGAGACAGAGGTTGCAGTGAGCTGAAATTGCGCCACTGCACTCCAGCCTGGGTGACAGAGCAAGACTCTGTCTCAAAAAACAAAACAAAACAACAACAACAACAAAAATCCCAAAAGTAAACGGATGTGTTTTCAAGTAATTCTGAGAAAAGTTTATGATTCCCCTTGAGTCATCTAGATATAGGCCCCATTTTTGGCCTGTATAGTCAGGTACGAATGTTCCCTCTTCCTGCTCATGCTTCTGTGGATGTTGTGTGGGAAGCCAGGTAGGCCACCTTCCCTACAGCTCCACTGCAGAAAGAGATCTACACAGAGGAGGAAAAACTGACACCACTCACCCTGGACAAGTCTCCCAGATCTAGGTATTGACTACTGGAGTGCATGCAGTGAAAAAGCCAACGCTGAAATCAGCGGGAACTGGTCTGAGCCAGAAACAGCTTTCTTGGAAAGTCCCAAACTCAGAAAAAGCTGGTTTCTTGAAGGCCCACAATTCATTTTGAAGACTTTAATGACTCCAGAAAATTTCCTTTGACCTAAGTGTTCTGAGAGGTCACAAAAAAACCCATTCCCACCAGTATGAGAGTGCACCACTGTCTGTGGTCCTTTGAAAGACCAGGGTTGATTCGGTGCCATTTCACACAGTCAGAACTCAGAGGAAAGCTTGCTTTGTAGCCATTACTATTTCAGGAGAGATAACCACACCTCTCTTGCTTTCCAGGTCACGGTGCATACCTGTTTACCATCCAGAGTTCATCACTGCTGAAGAGTCTTGGGAAGACAGCTCTGCTGACTGGGAGCGAAGATACCTGCTAAGCAGGGAGGTGTCTGGTCTGTCTGCATCTGCCTCCTCCGAGAAGGGAGACCTTCTGGACAGCCCGCACATCCGACTCCGTCTTTCCAAGCTGAGGTAGGCGGACTTGGGGTGCCCACCCTGGCAGCAGCGGTGGCCGCACATCGCGTCCTACATGGCCCCTCCATCTTTCAAACCAGCAGCGTGAAGAAGAGGATGAGTTTTGTCTCATCTGGCCAGGCTGCACTTTTCCTCCAAGGTGATTTATTTTTACCTGGGCCTAGGGAGACATTTAAGACCTCCTGCAAATCATGCAGCGCCGGAGAGGACAAACCTAAATGATTGACACAGTACACTCCTCTCCTTCCTGCTTGTGTGGCTGGGGTCTTCATGGCCATTAGGTTTGCAGATAGGATCTGTTTGCTTCAGGCGTCCCCGTGGCGTTTTGGAATTTGATATACCTTTGTAGTTATTGACGAAGGAGTGGGTCTGGCCCAGCGCACAGCCTGAGGGGTGGGGTTCCCTTCTGTGCTGTGGGCTCCAGAAACCTTGTTAAGGCTGGAAACATTTTAGAACTTACAATCCGTTGGAAAACCATTAATGTGTAAGCATTTGTCCGGGGCACACGGAGCACAGAGCCATGCTTGGGGAAGCAGAGTTGCATAGAGAAAGTGGATGGTGCACATGCCTACGGGAGCAATGGGTGGGGAGGGGATGCGCATGCGTAGGGGGACGGCGGGCGTGGGAGTGGGAGTACGCATGCGTGTGTAGGCCTAGGGCGCGCATGCGTGGGAGGCCGAGCGTGTGCGCGGGCAGTAGCGCTCTCACCTTACTGGCCTATTTATCTAATGGGTTTCCTCCCATGCGCCCGTTCATTTGAAAGGGTTCTTTTGAGAGGGACATGTTTGAAAGCATCATTTCCAGGACAGAACAAGGTTTTGGAGCCGGGACCAGTGGGCTTCCATTCTGGATCCGACCTGAAGTCGCTGAGCGCCCATCGCAGGGCCTTGCCTGGCCACGCGACGGTACCCTGTCACGCGATGCCCTCCTGGCTTTGTGGCCTCTCACGGGCCTACACTAAGATAATATGTGTGAAAGCCCTAGAAAAGTGAAAAAACACTACTTAGTCATCAAATATTAGCGTCACCGTGTCTCTGTGTGTGGGGACCAGTCTTTTCTGAAGATGCTCGCGGTTGGTTGGAAGTGTACCCGCCTGCACGCTCCAAGTGCACCTCCCGGGGTGCGAAGAGGCCCGCCTCAGACTCCCTGAGGTGCGTAGGGATCCGCTATCCTATACATCTTCCCAACAATCCTGGGAGGTACACGGAGGGTACCTCAAGGAGGATAAGGCTTTTGCCCAAGGCCACACTGAGCCAAGCCAAGGGGCAGGGATTCGACCCTAGATCCCCCACATCGCTGCTTGACATGGAGCTGTCTCTTCCCACTGTGACTCTCAACGGCCTGTAGCTTCTTCCTGATGAGAAGAAGGGGTCTCAGCCCCCCTCGTGGGTGCAATAAACATTTGGCCAATGAATCCGCTATGAGATTATGTGAGTTGGGTGAAATTGTGTGAGTGGGGTTCTGGCGCCATGGGTCAACAAGATGGCAAACGCTGACACTGTTCATGCCTTTTCCCAGCTGGACGGGTAACCACTCCTGAGGATGCCGTGTCCTCAGCTGTCCCACAACATGGAAAAATAGAATCAAGTACATTTGAGACTTTTGCATTCAGTACTTGTTTTATCTTCTATGATTCATGGAATATTTGCCTTTGAGCTTGCCACTGAACTAAAAGACGTTAGCTCCATTCTTTATAACATGTCTAAAAAGTACCATGCGTGATCAGTGAAGAATCTTGTAAAAAACCTTTTATTTTGGGTTGTCAGCTCTGCTGCAGATGTCAGTTACGTAGAAAGAAATTTGTATTTAGAATAGCTCAATTAATGCTTCATGCTTTAAAAAGAAATGTCATTTTGATTCCTATTTAAGTAGGAGCTGTTGAATCGTAATTGGGAAGCGTGAACTGATTATTCATCAAATTCATTAAATCTAAGAGAATGCAAAACAAGATTTTACCATTTTCAAAGGATCAGAAAGAAGGTTTTCAAAGACAGATGCAACTTAACTAAGTGAGGAGAGTATTAAAAAGATGTTCCAACATAGAGTTTCTTATTTCATTCTACACACATACATCAAGCATGGGCTATGTACCAGCATCCTTCCATGTGTGGGGACAAAGCAAAAACGCTCTAGTGCCTGCCCTCACGGAGCAGCCGGTGGGAGAGCACAACCTGGACTGGGCAGTGATGGTGCCATTGGGTGATGGGGTCTGGCTGCTGAGTGAGCAGAGAAGGGCATGACAGGAGGACTGCAGTCAGGGAGCATCCCGGCAGGCAAAGGCCCTGTGGTCCGGTCTGGGAGCAGCAAGGACGTTGGTAGGATGGAAGGGCAGCAGAGTGCAGGCCAGGCCCAGGTTCACATAGGGCCTTGGGGGTCATGGTTAAGAAATGGGTAATGGTAAGGGGGCCGGGATGGCTTTGGAAGTCCTTGGTAGGGGCTGAGTGTGTGGCTTGATGGTTAATTAAGTTATCGCCTAAGGAATTCTTAACAGACTGCTGGTACAACCAGTAACGGCATAGCAATTTCTTTCTTAAGTTATTTGTTTTTGTATTTGATGATCAAATCTGTATTCCTACCTTTCAGAAAACTTAGGGGAAAATAATTGATAAATATGAATCAGAGAGACAAGATAAGGCATTCAGTTTACTTTTTTTCCAGGAAACAGGAGCCTTTAAACAGCTATCAAAAAGTCTCAAATCTTGAACTTTAGTTTCCCCAACAACAAGCTATGTGCAAACACTTTGGTTAACTTTGTTCTCCTCTGGAACCTCCACCATGCTCCTTTGGATGGGGCTGTGGGTTTACTGGTCACTGATATGAGGGTGTTCTCCCTCATATCATGTTATGGAAAGAATTCAAAACACATGCTTTGAGATGGAAGTTACTCAAGGCTGCAGAAAAGTGTCTGAGTCTGGGCAACAGGACTGCTGCCCTTGCCACTAAGGCCCTACTTTTTCTCTTGCAGGCGCTGTGTGCAGTGGCTGAAAGTCATGGGCCTGTTTGCCTTTGTGGTGCTGTGTTCTGTGAGTACCTTAGCTGCCCCAGCACTACTGTTGGGTCCGTGGAAGCCCTGTGTGCCTTTGGCTGTATAGCAGGGGGAACCTGAGGTGTGGGGCTCAGTGCCTGGCCCTCTTCGCCTGATTCTCTGACTGTCTTTGGAGGAGATGCTGAGGGTTGTGGGGCAGCGGGCTGAGGGGGTCGAGGCCGCAGCTGTGCTCCTCTGCTGTGGTCCCAGTCACACGGCAGAAGCCGGGCAGCATGTTGTTGCCATATGGAAGGTCGGGTAGCTGGCTGTGGGGCTCCCTTCCCCCTCGAGTGGCTTACCACTTCCCTGTTCAGCCCTGGACAGTAGCACTCTTCATGTGTGTTGGAACACATCTGGAGATCGTGGATAGCCCAGAGTGTCTCAGCACCCCTTTGAGATTGTGCCCTGGGCCTCTGCCCAGCGGTAAGTGTTGAAGCTCTGAGGTTTGCCCCCTCTGGGGAGGTGTCTCTGATTTTATTTGCCCAGACATCTCCATCCTTTCAAATACATGAACATTCACAACAGACTCATTCTGGAGCCAAACCAACGTGAGATGCCCTTGTAGGGAACAGAGTGTGGGAACGAGGGGAGGGCGAGGGCTGCTCTGGTGAGCCCATGGCAGTGGGCGGTGCTGTTCTTCATTGGAGGGGTCCTAGCAGATGGACCCATCAAGGGAAAGGCACAGGAGCCCGAGCAGGGAGCCAGGGCTGCAGAGACACCTCTGTGCCCTCCGAGGCGACAGTCACAGGTCCCACTGCCAGCCTTGGTGTGCTTTGTGGCCTGATGTAGCCTGAGCCAGGGTCACATAGCGGCACTCAAAATACATTTGCCCAATGAGTGGGTGTGTGGTCTCCTGTCTGGTTGTGTGTCTGTGTGTGTGCAGGTGAGTATATGGTCTCCTGTCTGTGGCTGTGTGTCTTCGTGTCTGCACGTGGGTGTATGGTCCCCTGTGCCTGCTCTATGTCTGTGTGTGTGCACCATTGTGAACTGTGTAGGTTGTGTGTGGTCCCCTGTGCCTGCTGTATGTCTCTGTGTGTGCACCTGTGTGAGCTGTGTAGGTTGTGGTCAGTGACCATGATGGGTTGTGCCTGTGCTTTGCGGAGTTATTTTGGGTGAGTGCCACTTTTGAGTGTTGCTCCAAGATGGTGTGCATGGGCAGTTGCTGGGAGACCACAGTGGGTGGTAGGTGCTGCTGTGATGGGGGTGTGACTGTGGTTGTGGGCAAGGGTGGGTCTGAGCTGTGTTTCATGATGTGCACCAGCTTAGGGGGTGGTGTGCTCTCCCACGCAGCCTGCCCTGGTGACAGGGTCCCCTGTGCATGAGATGTGTGGCTGTTGCTGGCTGTTTCGTGACCTGCACGCGTGGCATGTGTGTTGTGGCTCTGCGTGCGTGCAGGAATGTCTGTGGCCCTGGGTCCGCTCTCAGCTGTGACATGTGGACAGCAGGGTGGTGTACGAAGTCAGTGCTGATTGCATTGAGCTGAGTACAGTCAACTTCTTAATAACCAACCCATGAGGGAGGAGATCTGTGACCCAGAGAAAGGAAACCTATGCTAGAAATGGAAAACCAATTACATTGAGCTCTGAAAGCATCACGATTTGATATTTTTGGCTACCAATTTGCTTCCCCACTTCCTACTCACATGAATGTGTGTTTCTGAAGCCCTGCTGCTCAGCAGGGCCTGGCAGGTGCTCTGAGATTTCAAAGGAACCGGGCAGGGTGGGCCAGGTCTCCCCTGGTCCCCAAGAGCTGACCTGAGCTCTGTGTCCAGTCTTCAGCCTTCTTCTGTGAGATGGAGTTTAGGTGATTTGTGGAGATATCCAAAATAGAATTTGAGGAATGATTTGAACTTCTATAATCTCATGTTATCATCAGTTTAATTTACTTTTTGATGGTGTATAAGGTGCTTTGCAAATTTCACAAACACCTGCTACCACAAACACATGCTCTAACCATCACAGGGGTCATATGCCTTTATTCTCCATTGTGAGAAAACCACATTTATCCTTCTTCGATGATTTAATTTTATGGCCAGGCATTTAATCCTTAAATTTGGCAGGTATCAATAATCAGGGCCCATTGTAGCTGAACACTGTAATGAATCAGAATATTATAATATTTAAGACAAAGCTATTCAGAGTAAGCTGGCGCGTACTGGATGCACACAGTAGCCCCATCATCACATCTGTTTTCGACTGTTATCAAAATGATTTATACCTTACTGCTCTCATACCACACCTCTGTCATTCAACGTTTCTGATTGTTACAGATTTTGTTCAGCCTATATCCGGATCAAGGAAAGCTCTGGCAGCTGTTGGCCTTATCACCGCTGGAGAACTACTGTATCCAAAATCCACTCTGAGATGGCCAGCCGCCTGGCTGAGATCTGAAACACAAGGAGACACTTGCAGACGGTTGTGACTGCTGCTGAAGGCCACGGCACAGGCCATTACCACTCGAATTTTGTTTCTCCAGGATGTCTGATGAGAGATGGAGTCTCAGGACAGAGGGGCGGGGAGCTCCAGGGAGACAGTGGCGGGGTTGGTGGTGGAGCTCTCCGAGTGAGGAAGGGGGACAGCAGGGCACATTCCAGCCAGGACCTGGCTTTCCCTAGCTCCCCGATACTCCTTTCCTCCCCCGTCTCTTTTGCGTTCAGCGTGACCCATCTTCCAGTCCCTGCTGTCCTGGCTGTGTCACCTTGCTCTGATGACTGCTGTGGCACCTCCTACTGTGCTTGCTCTGGCCTTCTTGCATGCCTCAGAATTTTTAGTTAGAAGTCATACACATCCTGTAGGATAGTAGATACAGAGGCCAGTGGTGTTTAAGCTTGGAGATGAGCATGCCTTGACTTCTGCAGGCATTAGTTGGAGGGTTCATGTAAATCTAGTGAGAATCTGGCTGTGTTGAGGTTTGCGGTTGCTGTGGCAACCTGCGGTGCACTAGACACTCAGAATTACCGGGCGCCCTGCCAGCTGTCTGCCAGACCTTGCTCTATGCCCACCCCTCCCACTGGGGTAAGAGCTACTTTTTCCCCTCCTACCTTCTCATGGCTGCAGGAATTCCCACTGCGCCCTCTGGCTGCCAGATTAGATGCGCTTCCCAAGCAAATGAAGGCCTTTGCTCCTTAGGGGAGATAGAGGCAGCGGGAGAGGGTGAAGCTTGGCATCACTGGGGGATGCTTTCCCGGGATCTTCCCCAGGCTTCCTGTCTTCCTGGGGAGCGTCCGCTGGGGTTCCTGGAGGAAAAGCCTGCAAGAAAATGTGAACACCTCCATCTGTGGCTCTCAGAGGCTCCCACGCTCAAGCGAGCCCACACTTGACCTTGAGCAATGTCTACATTTTCTGGCTGAATCCCGCCTGATTCTGAAGTGTGGGGCTGGCACCTGTCCCAGGGAAGCCGCCTCTTCCTACAGTCACCTGTTTTGCTCTAGGTTTCAGGCGAGTTGTTTCTGCTGCAGCCTTATTCTGGGATCAGGAGTGGGCGGTTAACTGATGTCCGCCCAGCCTTTTCTGGGTGAAAGGGTGGGAGGGCTGTTTCTCAGCTCTCCAGCCAGGGTCCAGAGCCTATTTTGGAATGGACATGGTCATTAAGGTGTCTGTGCATGAAGGCCCCTGAAGCCCCCGGTACTGCTAGTGCGGCGGGCATCCGTGGAGGGTCCTGGAGAGGTGGGACCCTCCGATGCAGTGCTCTGATCAGGCAAATATTTTTGATGATTATTATTTAAAAAGGAATTAATTCAGTTAGCTAAATGGCAAGTGTTTTTTTCTTTAGTCTACTTACTTGATAGCCTCAGTGAACTGAAATTTTAGGAAACTGGCTTGCTTTCCTTGCAGTTGCTGTAATCTGTTGCATAGTCTTGGTTTTTGTAGTCCTTCTGGCAGTCTCACTACATCTTCCCAGGACACCCTCTCCTTAGCCAGTGACCTACCCAGCAGGGCACCAGCAGCCTTCCAGAAAGGCCTGGCACTTGAGGCTTTCTGGTGAGCCGGGGGCACACTGGTCACAGTTTGTGCTTCCCTCTGCTCAGTGGATGGAGGCACCCACAGTTTTAGAAGCACTCCACTTCCACTGGGGTCAGGGCGGTGCTGATGTCAGCTGAGTGCGTGTGCACGTGTTTGTATTTTCTTCATCACTTTAAAACCGTGCCTGAGCTGTAAAGTATCTCCATGTGAGAGAACCGAAGAGCTGTGTGATGTTGACAGACTTTGTTTCTCATTCTTGTGCCTCGACCTCTGCATTACTTCTCCAGGATGAAGAAAGCCAAGACTTGCCCTGTGTTCCTGGCCCCCCTCATGAAGTTCCCAGGACATGCCACCCTCCTGGGCAGGACTTTCCCGCAGGGGGAAGGGGAGATAGAGCAACCGGCTGCCAGGCTGACCCAGGAACCTGAAGGGGGAGGCTGGATCCTGTCCAGAAACCGTCCTCAGTGGGACTCAGGCAGGAGGGGGAGATTTCGGGGAACACTGGCACCAAACTTGATCAGTCAGTAGAGATCCCAGGCGAGCACAGCAGCTTAGGTCACTAAGATGAGATGATAGCCTCAGCCCTCTGGTCATCCCACCCAGGCCCCAGTGTGTCCCCTTTATTCTAAGGCATTTTGCCGAGCTCCTTCTCGAGCAGCCTGAGTGCACCAGGCCCCACGCAGGACCCCACAGCCTGAGTCCCTCCCAGCAGGGGGCAGGGCAGCCTGCCTTTCTTGGCAGGGGGTGGGGATGGGTGGGGGCGGGGAGCTGTCTCGCCTGCTCCCTGTGTGGCCTTCGAATTTGGATGAAGAGGGAGAGAGAGAGCCTGGGAGAGATGAAGGCCGCAGGGGGGAAGACGGGTGCTGCGTCCTCCAGCGCAGTGGGTCACCAGCCACGATGAGGGGTTGATTTGAGCCTCCAGCAGGCTCCTTGGAAAAGGGCAGTGTTCCCAGGGATTAACCACGCTTTCCGGAAACTCACGGACCCTCTCTTTGTGAAAGCTGAGCTTTGTGAAAGCTGCAGGCCTGAGGCCTGCCTGGGGAGGAGGGGAAGCCAGCTGGACCCTGCCCCCCACAAGGTGATTCCCTGAGAAAGGGCGTGCAGTATAGGCGTGAGGTAGGAGGGGCCTCGGCCTGGTTGGAAAGGCCCACAGCAATGTCCTCAGGGCTGTCTTCTGAGCAAGGAGCTCGAGGCCTCCTCCCGGCCCTCTGGCCTGCCCTGTGGAGGAGGCTGGGTGAAGGACACCCAGGGTGTCTGCTGTGAGGGGAGGAGCTTCTGGAGAAAGCACCACTCTCCTTTAGCCGGTGAATAGCGAAGCCACCTTTCTTTCGGAACCTCAGTGTCTCCCGCAGCAGCCAGGCGGTGTCGGTTCGGTAGTTGCAGGGTCTATTTCAGAAGCCTGTAATTGTAGCACCTGAAGTTCTTTGTCCCTGAATTGTTGTCTGAAGGAGGCCTGTCAGGCTCCCAGGGCACTGGGCAAATGAACAGAAGCCAGCAAACCTCTACAACCAGGTCAGTTAAGGGCGCCGTCCTTGTCTCCCGCTCTCCTTTCTCTTCCTCCCTCCCTTCCTGCTCTTCTTTGCTGCGTCCTCTTCTTTCTCCTCTCCCTTTCTCTCTCCCTCCCTTCTCCCCATTCTCCCTATTCTCTCCCTCCCTCTTTCCCCATCCCTTTCATTCTCTCCTTTTTCCCATGTGATGCATTTTGTATCACACCCAGCGCTGCATCCTGGGCTCTCAGAGGACATGGAGGAGACTGTGAGATTCAGAGGGGAGGAGAAAACACTGTTTCCCCACCCTCCTAGCTTCTCCAACCAGGGCCCTGCAGATTAGACACGAAGGACAGGTTAACAAGAAAAAGGCATACTCATGTATTTCATATAAGCGTTGCTTGACAAGAAACAGCTGAGCTTGGTGTTTTGATGCTAGGTTTGATGAAGAGTGGGGTCCTGAAAGGTGTGATAGGACGAGAGCACATGAGCAAGCGCAGGAAACGGGCCGGGAGGGGCCCTGGCGAGGCCTGTCCATTCAGGTCCCTCTTGGCCTCCCTCCATCTTTGGAGCTAAGGATGCACCCTTTCCCTGGTGTGGGGGGCACCTCTCACAAGAGGGTCACGACGATCTGCTTCAGGGGAGTTAGGTCTTGAATGAGGGCTGAGATGTGGGTAATAAGAAAGGCAGGAAGATCGTGTTAATGGCCAAGGGCGTGGGGCACCTGGGGAAACGCATTTCTTCACACACTGTCAGAGGAGGGTGTGCGTCTGGCGGGCGGCGGGGACATGGGGTTTCTCCTGTCTGCCTTGTGGTTCTCCTTGACACTCTCCGAGCCGTGAACCTTAGCAGCCACGTGGACTCCACGCTGCTGCAGGTGGACCTGGCAGGGGCCCTAGTGGCCAGTGGGCCGAGTCGTCCTGGGAGGGAAGAGCACATCGTGGTGGAGCTGACCCAGGCTGACGCTTTGGGCTCCAGGTGGCGGCGGCCACAGCAGGTTATGCTGATAATTTATTTGAAAGGAATTGTGAAATCTCATTTCATCTCATAATAAATTGTGTTTCCTCTTGAATGGATTTGATGGGGAGCCACAGGCGAGGACACCATTCTTAGTCAATTCATTGGCTCTTCTTATCTTTTGCTTTGTCTTTGAAATTCTCTTTTTACCATTTCTCTATTTATGAAACTCTTGCCATTTCAGTAAAATCAGGCTTGCAAGTTCTTTATTCAAAACTGTTTTGCTGGGCCATTCAGGAAACATACATTTGAAATGAAAAAACTTTTTTTTTTTTTTTTGGTGTCGTTGAAGTGCAGTTAAGTCCGGGCCTTACGTCAGGGTTCAGAAGACACTTCCACAGCACGGTTACTGTGTTTGTGGACATCTGCTAAGACAGTGCCTACGTTCTGAGCTGCTGTATCTGTGTAGGCCTGTGCTCAGCCTTGTCTCTGAGCCTTGTCAAGCCTTCATTCACATCCTGCAAAGGCAGCCAGGAAGCGGTGGCTGTCATGGCAGCCCAGAGCCTAGACTCCAGAGGCAGGGCTCCTTCCACGCAAGCCTGACTCCCCCGAGCCCTGGCCTCGGAGACTCCACTGGATTATCACGGTGACTTCTGCATGGAAGTCGTAGCCCTGGTTCATGGATGTTCCCTGTTATAACCAGTAGAGGGAAACCCCGCCCATGCACAGGCTGTGTCACCTGCAGTGGAGCATCTGAAGAATGAATGCACCCTCCCCTTTTCCTGCCTTGTAGAGCATGGTCCACAGAGCAAAGGTCTCATTATGAACTAGCATGCAGTGTCCTGGACCGTGGCTGACGCAACACCAATGTTCTGAACCGGCTGCCCTGGCCAGGGTCTTAGGATGTCAACTTGGTTCCCTGTGTGAAAAGCACAGCCCTCTGGCAAGGGGCTCCTTGGTGATGAGCAATGACCTTTGCCCTCTGACCTGGGACTTGCATGGAGAAGGGCAGGACCTTACACAGCCTGCGGTCCCGCTGCCTCCCCAGCACTTGCATATTAATAACCCAGATTAAATGATCTGTATGGCACCTCCCTGCTCTCTTGGGGTGGCCCTTCCTAACATGCTGATGCACCCAAAATGCCCACAGGCAAATCCAGCCCCAGAAACATGGGAAACCCAAGAGATCTTTACTAAAGGATTTTTCCCCCCAGATACGCTCTTTGCAAACACTGAAGTACCTAAAAGAACTTCTGTTCTCTCATGCGTGTGCTTCTTTGCTTTGACCGGTTTCAGAGATCCTATTTTCAGTGTCCTTTGTGATTTGTGGGCGAGATTCGCATCTTCCCATTGAGGGTCCCCCCCCGCCCCCCGCTCCCCAGGCTGCCTCCCCAGGTGATCACTCTCCTGCACCCCAGGGGCAAGAACATGCAAGGCAGGGAATGAAGCTTCACTCTGGGGCCCTTCCTTGCAGGGGCTCCTGTGCACAGGGGTGTGGAAGGTTTGCTGGGGGTGGGTTTGTTGCCTCCAGGTTGCAAGCAGTTGCAGAAGCAGTTCTCAGGACTCAGAGCACTCAGAAGAGTTCTCCAAGTCTCTAGTAACTTGTAGTGATTTCATTTTTTAAATTAAAAAAAATTTATATTAGAAAATTTTTAGAGTCGGGGGTCTCACTCTGTTGCCCAGGCTGGGGTGTAGTGGTATGATCTCAGCTCACTGTAACTTGGAACTTCTGGGCTCACAGGATCCTCCCGCCTCAGCCCCTAAGTGGCTGGGACCACAAGCACATGCCACCAGGCCTGGCTAATTTTTAAAACTTTTTTGTGCAGACAGGGGTCTTGCTCTGTTGCCCAGGCTGATCTTGAACTCTTGGCCTCAAGTGATCCTCCCACCTTGGCCTCCCAAAGTGTTGGGATTACAGGCGTGAGCCAGCGCGTCTGGGCATGATTTCTTTTTCTCGTATTAAATCACTATTTACTTCTATGCCTTTTGTACTTTTGTACACTAATTCTGCATTTTTTCTTTTGAATCCTTTTTCTTAAACAAAGCTCTCTAAATTGTGGAAATTCCCAGCTCCAACCACCTGCACTAGCTCCTAACATCAGAGATGTGAGAGCTCAAATAAAGATGCTCTCCTGTTTCTTTCTTTCTCCTTTTCTTTTTTGAAACAAATACCTAGACCGAGCAGTGCCAGATCCCAGATGGTGTCTCAGGTGAAAAGCCTCACCATAACTTATGCTTTGGCTTGTACAGGTCACTCACAACTGGACGGTGTATTTAAATCCGAGGAGAAGCGAGCACTCAGTGATGAGCAGGACCTTTGAGGTACTGACCAGGTGAGTTCTCAGTGAGTGAGGTGTTGGGGCAGGCTCTCTGGGACACGTGCGTTTAAAGGAGTCTGACCTATAGGACACTGATTTCGGCCCACACAGCACCAGGTCAGCATGTGACTTGGACACGGCACTCATGCTGTGTAGACAGTGAGCTCAAAGGCTGTGGGAGGACATCGTAGCCATGGGTGTCAGGATGTGAGAGGGTCGACTGCAGAAGTCACTTTGAAACAAATGGTATTTTTTGGTTGACGTTCTAATTTCATTAATGTGAAGCTGTACAATGGAGAATTCTAGGAAATTTAGGATTCTTCTTCCTTAACTAATGCTGCTTCATATTCAATCGGTACTCTTGCTTGGTGTGTTAGACAGCTAAGGCTGCCGTATCATAGTACTACACACTGGGTGGCTTAAATGTCAGTCATTTACCTTGTAATTCTAGAGGCTGGAAGTCCGAGGTCAAGGTGTCGACAGGGTCAGTTTCTCCCAAGGCCTCTCCCCTGGCTTACAGGTGACCATCCCTCTGTGCCTGTCTTCTCATCTCTCCTTGTATGGACACCCATCCTACTGGATTAGGAGTCATCCCCATAACCTCATTTAACCTTCTTCACCTTGTTAAAGACCCTCCCTCTACCTACAGTCACATTTGGAGGTACTCGGGGTTAGGACTTCAACAGAGGAATTGTTTTTGGAGGAAGGGGACATAATTCGGCCCATAAAACATATTGGCCTGAACTTGAAAAAACGCTTCAGTGTTCGCCACAGACCTGTGGTCACTTGCAGGCTTCTCGTCTGTAGTGCGTCTCCCCACTCTCAGGGACTGGAGTTCAAATAGCTGGCTTTGCTCTTAGTTAGCAGGTAAACTGGTCGGGTATGTTGGGGAGGAGGAAGAGCCAGTTCAATGGCTGGCGTCTTCTGTGCAGGCCCCTACTCACTGTTCATTGTCGGGTGGTGTCACAGGAAGGCTGAGGGGCCTGCTTGGACCAGTCGGGCTTGGCTGCAGGGAGGCTGCATCCTATGTCTCACGCCGCTGGCCTGTGCTCACTGCTCTTCCAGCTGTGAGATTGGGCGTTGGGCTGAATTGTTCCATTTGCACTCTGGTTAATGCCATGGCTGATACAGAGGGAGGTCCCCTAACTGTTGACCTTGTGAACAGTAAGGTCGTTGTTTCGTTCTGCAGAGAGACGGTGTCCATCAGCATCCGGGCCTCCCTGCAGCAGACCCAGGCTGTCCCTCTTTTGATGGCTCATCAGTACCTCCGCGGAAGTGTAGAAACCCAGGTGACCATCGCGACGGCCATCCTCGCGGGCGTCTACGCGCTGATCATATTTGAGGTAACTTTCACACCTGCTCCCCCGATCTGTCTGGGCCCACAGTCAGGGAGGCTTGAGATCCGTGAGACACTCTGGATGGGCTCAGTCCTGACTCCTTAATCAAACTGGACTAGTGTCATCATTCCTAAAGATTAGCGTGTCCCTCTCTCTAGGTAGAAAGGGAACCATACAGGAATATTTGCTGAATCTTGGCAACTGACATGAGAAGGATGGACTTTAGGAGCAGAAGTGTACCTGAGAAAACAGAATGTGCATACGATTTTCTACTCTCTCTCCGCTGCTCACTCCAAGTGTGACCTTGAGGGAACAAGAGTCACAGTCTCCTCTGAGACTCAGAGTCTGCACCTGTGTGATGGGTGTGCTCATTTGCGCCCACCTGCACCGTGGGGTTGTGTGTGTGAGGGGACACGGATGGCCTGGGGCTGTGTGCCCGGAGGGATTATTTGATTATCTGTTCCGTCTACCAACTTGGCTTATGGGCATTTCCACATGTGATCTTAAGTCCAGTCAATGTTATGTTTCTGGGAAGTTCTAAGTGTGGCTATGCCTTCAATAGCACGAAGCAATGTGCAGACCCTTCCTGGGCTGGGCAGGTCCGTTGTTGCTTTAACTATGAAATCAAACTTAACCACAACACGGACAGGAGCCTGGAAGGTCAGTGCATGATGTGACCGTTAGAGGCGCGTCCTAGTGAGCTTGGGATAGGTCTGAGAAATACCTGGGGATGTTGAGGAGATGGCAGGCTGGAGGAGTGGCCAGGAAAGTTCCAGAACTTTGCTTGTGGTTGTTGAGTACACTTGCTGAGGAATGATGACCCCAGTAAGTTGAGCCCTCACCTGTCTAACAAGGACCACTCACAGGATTAATTGTTATCTCTTACATCTCTTCAGTTCTAGAACAGTTTTGTTCCCTCCATTTTCTATCCATTTTCTTTTAAATTAATATTACTGTTGTTTCACGGTTCCCATGACCACCCTGTGATTTGACACAGGAACTCGCAGGCTCAGGGGCAGCTGTCCTCTGGGCTGGGGTTTATTGCCATGCCCGGCAGTGGAAACCTGCTGAGCCTGGAGGAACCCAGGAGTGGGCTTCTGAAAGGTCTCCTCTCCCAGGTGGGCCCACACAGAGCACGCCCCTCCCTCCAGCAGCCAGAGGCAGCCATATGCGGTGTTTCTGCCCTGGGCAACCTGTTGGAGACTGAGTTTTTGTGGAGGCCGGTTAGATGGTCACCCTCAGCTTACCAAGATCCCTGCTCCCAGGAAGCAAGCAGGTGCGCACCATTTATAAATCACATTTTATACAGTCTGGGCATGCAGGTAATACAGCAGAACACACTGCCCCAGGCCCACAAGACAGCCTTCTCTTTGGTAATGAGGGAATAGTCCCGAAGCTGAGTACCCAGAAGCCAGCCAAGGGCCCTTCTAAAGGTGACGTTAGGTGAAATCTTTACTGCGCCACCATCTAGTTGACAAATCCTATTCTGTTGTTCTGTAGAATATTCTATACCCTGATTCAGTGCTGGGTTCCTCATGGGATTAATTAGCTGCTCTATCCTATTTCCTACAGACTACAATTGAGATCTGAAGCCTTCAGGTTCCATTTTGGGGCACCTGTGCTTCACAGGTGTGCAGGGGTCTGGCCTGTGTCCAGGAGGAGGACCCTATGTCTGGATGTCCTGCTGTCAGGGGTGCGGAGAATGCTCAGGGAGTTGAGGTGGTGGAGAAAGGTGCCCAGCTCCCTGCCACTTTTTCTCTTAATGATTTTAATACCCACCAGGGCCCACTGCCCGCCTAAGATAAATCCTATTTCTGTAATGATCAACTTTCTTAGTAATGAGCTCTTCCCTTAGTAACTTCCAGTGGTGTCCACTGAATTTATTTAGTTTCCCTCTTCCCCTTTTTTACTATTATTTTGCAATTATAGATTTAATAAATTCAATGTGCTTTAATTAGTTACAGTCATTAATTAAAAAATACAATACAATGCCAATTATTTTTAATGGGCTTCTCTGTTATTCTAAGGTTTGTTCACTTTTTTTGTAAAATTGTTCAACCTTTGAAAACTACATAATTTGCAAAGATTTATTTTCATTAATTAATGGTTAGTATTATTTGTCATTTAGAAAAAACCTCTCCTTCTCTACAAAAAGCCATTTCTAGATTTTAAAAGTCCTGTACTTTGATTTTTTTTTTATTACGGCTAGCAGATATTTAAGAGGCCAGTTCGACATGGTTTCCACCCTTACAGAAACAAAAAGCAGAGGCCACCACACAGAAACCAGCCACACATAGAAGGGAGCATGGCAGGGTCTCAGGAAGGGCCTTGGAGGGCAGTCCCTGGATTCCATGAGTAGTGTGGCAGCCCAAGACCTCCCAGAGGCTGCCTCCCCATGCAGCCCATCCGTTCCCTGGCAATCTTTCAGTAGGTCTCCCTACACGGCTTGTTCTACACATCTGGTGGTCCAAGGCCCTTCTGTCATAGCTGTCCATGTGCCCCTGCCTATGACAGGGTGTGGTCTTTCTATTGGTGTGTAGTGATATCTTACTGTGCTTTCAACTTAATTTCTCTAATGATGATAATGTTGGATATTATCTTTTCATGTATTTATTTGCCACCTGTCTATCTTCTTCAGCGTGATGTCTGTATGTGCCTTTTGCTTATTTTCTAATTGAATTGTTTTTAAAAATGTTGAGCTTTGACTGTTCTTTATATATTATAGATATACAGACTGTTGGATATGTGGTTTGCAAATATTTTCTCTTAGTCTAGTTTATAATTTTTTTTCCTTTTTTTTTTTTGGAGACAAAGCGCTGGGATTACAGGCATGAGCCACAGTGCCGGCCTTTTTTTTTCTTTTTTGAGATGGAGTCTCCCTCTGTTGCCCAGGCTGGAGTGCAATGGTCCAATCTCGGCTCACTGCAACACCATCTCCTGGGTTCGAGTGATTCTCCTGCCTCAGCCTCCCAAGTAGCTAAAACTACAGGTGCGTGCCACCACACCTGACTAATTTTTTTGTATTTTTTGTAGAGACAGGGTTTTACCATGTTGGCCAGGCTGGTCTTGAACTCCTGACCTCAAGTGATCCACC
The DNA here is from genome assembly GCF_000001405.40 of Homo sapiens. NCBI lineage: Eukaryota > Metazoa > Chordata > Mammalia > Primates > Hominidae > Homo > Homo sapiens. The sequence goes on along the minus strand of NC_000015.10, from coordinate 28,011,687 downwards.
CACTTCAGCCTCCCAAAGTTCTGGGATTACAGTCATGAGCCACTGTGCCGGGCCAGTTTTTTTCTGTTATAGATTGCGGTTTGGGTGTCAAGTCTGAGAACTTATTGCTTAGTTGCAATAATTCCAGAGTCCAAAGATTGGTTTTCTTTTTTTTTTTCAGTTTTACTTTTAAGACCAGGATCTATTTTGAGTTAGTTTTATTATTATTATTATTTTCTTTGAGATGAGGTTTCAGTCTGTCACCCTGGCTGGAGTGCAGTAGCATGATCACAGCTCACTGCAGCCTCAAACTCCTGGGCTCAAGTGATCCTCCTACCTCGGTCTCCCGAGTAGCTGGGACTACAGGCATGCAATACCATACTTGGCTAAGTTTTAAAATTTTTTTTGTAGAATCAGGGTCTTGCTATGTTGCCCAGGATGGTCTTGAATTCCTGGCCTCAAGAGATTCTCCTGCTTTGGCTTCTTAAAGTGCTAAGATTACAGGTGTGAGTGACTGTGCCAGGCCTTGAGTTATTTTTTGTGTTTGTGTGAGAGTTTTAAGTGAAGGTTCATTTTTAAACCTATGGATGTCCAACTGGGCCAGCATCATTTATCGACAAGACTACCCCTCCTCAGTTGAATTGCATTTGCTCCTTGGTTAAAAATTAATCGGACATATTTGTGGGGTATCTCTCTGGGTTCTCTATTCTGTCCCATTGGTAATGTGTCTGTTCCTCTACCAGTACCACACTATCTTGATTACTGCAGGTGTAAGTTTGGACACTGGGAAGAGTGATTCCTCACACTTATTATTTTTTTTCCCAAAATTGTTCTGGCTATTCTGTGGCCATTTGTTTTCCAAATACATTTTCCCCTCTTTGTCCTCCAGCTTTATTGGAATAAAGTTACATTTCTATTTTCTAGGACTTCAGTTGCTTTTTCATGTGGTGCTTTGACATCCACATTTTAGAATGGCCTTCTAGTCCCTAAACATAGTATTTATTTTGGTCTTCTTTGATTTTTTAAATAATTTTCATGATACTGATCTTGTACATCTTTTCTTAAATTTATACCTAAGTGTTTCCTTTTCTTTGGAGCAATTGTAAATGGTACTGAGTTTTTATTTTGATTTCCACCTATCTATTGTCAGTACATATAAATACATTTTTCTGTGTATTAATCTTATACCTTGTCATTTTATTGAATTTACCTATTACTTCTCAGAGTTTTTAAAAAATAAAATTATTGAGATTTCCTATGTAGACAATCATGTCATTTGCAATGAGGACAGTTTTATTTCTTCTTTTCCAATCTGTATGTCTTTAATTTCCTTTTCTTGCCTTACTGCAGTGGCTAGAATGGGAATGGTAAGACTGGCATTGTTCTCAATCTTAAAGGGAAAGCATTCAGTCTTTCACCATGAAGTATGACATTATTAGTTTTTGTAGGTGCTCTTTATGAGACTGAGGAAATTCTTTTCCTAATGTACTAAGAGGGGTTTTTTGTTGTGTTTTTTCTTTTCTTCTCTCTCTCTCTTTTTTTTTAAAAACCATAATTGGGTGTTGAGTTTTGTCAGCATCTTTTTTGTGTCAACTGATGTGCTCATATGGTTTTTTTTCATTAGCTGCTTGAGATGGTGGATTACATTGATTTATTTTAGAATATTGGACTAGACTTGCATATCTGGAATAAATCCTTCCTTTCTAATGTGAGCGTTTATTACTATAATTTTCCCTGTCAGCACTGCTGTAGCTGCATCTTACAGATTTTGATCTGTAGTGTTTTCAGTTTCAGTTAGTTCTCTCTAATTCTTACATTTCCCTGAGACTTCCACTTTGACCCATAGATTATTTAGATGTGTGTTGTTTAAATTCTAGATATTATAGATTTTCCTGTTGTCTTTCTATTACTAAATTACAGTTTGATTCATTTATAGTTAGAGAACTTACACTATATTTAATCCTTTAAATTTGTTGACTTTGTGTGTGTGTGTGTGTGTGTGTGTGTGTGTGTGTGTGTGTGTGACAGAATCTCGCTCTGTTGCCCAGGCTGGAGTGCAGTGGCGCAATCTCAGCCCACTGCAACCTGCGCCTTGTGGGTTCAAGTGATTCCCCTGCCTCAGCCTCCCAAGTAGCTGAGACCACAGGCGCATACCATCATGCCTGGCTACTTTTTGTGTTTTTAGTAGAGACGGGCTTTTGCCATGTTGGCCAGGCTGGTCATGAACTCCTGGCCTCAAGTGATCTGCCTGCCTCGGTCTCCCAAAGTGCTGGGATTACAGATGTGAGCCACTGTGCCCGGGCATTGTTGACTTTTTTTTAAATGACTCAGGTTTATGGTCTATCTTGATGAATATTCTGTGGGCTTAAAGTAATATGATTTTTCCTTTCTTATAATACTAGTGTAACTTGCAAATATAAATTTTTTATAGGTAGTCTAAGCAACAACTTGTGAAAACCCAACACTGACCTTTTGTTGTGTCTGTAACTTGATGTGGAAGGTAGAGAAGGCTGCAGGGGTGTTAAAGGAATAGTATGTTCTACCTTATGTTTCTGTGACTTCTGTGTGTCCATAACTCCCTAGGGGAAGGTCCACATTATGAGGGGAGGGCTGGATGCAATCGCCAGCCCTATGGGCTCTCCAGCAGTGGAGCCAACATTGCATTATTCCTAGGATCTACTCTAGGGGTAGAATTTGCCTTGGGCAATGACTCAGAAGTTGTCTTGTTTCAGGCAAAGCTGCTTCCCCAGAACTGGAGGTCTCTAGATTCTGCAGGCAGGCATGCTTAGGCTGTGCCACTGCTGTCTGCATCCTGCTCTACTCAGGGGAGTCTTGGGGTGGCTTGCAGATGCCCCTGCCTGTCCTCCCAATCTGCTGCTGCCAGCTGCTCCCCAGATGCTGACACTGTTGCCTCAGGCTATGGCCTCCTCCCTGATCCCTTCTCATCTGCTCTGTTTGAAATGTTTGTTTTTTGGTGCCGAAAAGAAATAGCACTTGAACATAAATTTAATTTCCTCAGCAAGGCCATTTTTATACTTTCTGCAGAAAGGGCACACTCGCCAGTAGTTTTGCCATGAGAGTATACCAAACAAAGGAGACAGGGTCATTTATAACCTGACGTGTCCACCTTACTACTGTGTCTGGTTTCCATTGGCTAGGACGGGACCTCACATTTTGTATTTGTTTTGATTGGCTAGCAACTTAGAACTTTTTAAAAGAGGCAAAGGCAGAGGACAACAAAGGAAGGAGGAAGTAACTTGTAGAATGCTGAGAAAGGTAAAAACAAACACCTTTAAATAAGGAAGAGGAACAGGCTATGAGCTAATGCTTGCTTGGATTAGTATAAGCATGCCAGGACAAGTATTTAGGCTAAATTGTGGGAGCTAAGAACATAAAGTACATTGATTTCTTTATTACGGCCAGCAGATATTTAAGAATGTTAGCACAGGTATTTGAATAAATTTTGCTTCTAAGAGAAGTTACTATTTATTTCTAATGAGATGGGGAGGAAGTCTTTGAAGAGGAAACTCTACTCTACTTTTTACATGCTTTGTCGTGGGCGCTCCATCTCACTTATTGTGTCTGTTGTTGGTTGCTTTTGTTCAGTGTTGATTCCCAGTGCCTTGGACACTGCCTGGCCTAGAGCAAGTGCTCAATAAATATTAAACAAATGTTTCCAGAGCATCTTCAGATATTTGAGACAGGTGCTAAGGTCCTCTGGGTCTGGTCTAACTTGGCTCCTACGTGGGGGGCACTTTCCACCCCTGACTTTGTGCCCAGTGATCCATGAGTGACTGAATGGGAACAAAGGATCAGCCAGGGTTCCCTTAGGTCTTTTAATAGCTTGATGGGATGAAATTATTTCAGGAAATACCTTGGGTTATTTATACTTCTGGTCCTACAGATAATCATCCTGATTGGCACTTTCTTGCCTGAGGATTTGGGGTTGTATCTTTCATCCTTGTACAGTAGGTCTTTTTTTTTTTTGAGATGGAGTCTTGCCCAGGCTGGAGTGCAATAGTGCAATCTCGGCTCACTGCAACCTCCACCTCCCGGGTTCAAGCAGTTCTCCTGCCTCAGCTTCCCAAGTATCTGGGATTACAGGTGCGAGACACCACCCCCGGCTAATTTTTTGTATCTTTAGTAGAGATGGGGTTTCACCATGTTGGCCAGGCTGGTCTCGAACTCCTGACCTCGTGATCTGCCTGCCTTGGCCTCCCAAAGTGCTGGGATTACAGGCGTGAGCCACCATGCCCGGCCCATCCTTGTAAAGTAGTTCTTGTTGAAAGTCCCAAAGAACACAGTTGGAGCAATCCTCCTAACTCTTGCACTTTGCATCTATAATACGGCTCTGGGAGATTTCCCAATGCAGCATTCTAAAAATTCCATTATCAGAGCTAAGGCTTCTATGCCCTTATACTGTATAAAATTAAAATAGTTCTGACACAGTCTTAATGAACAATATTTCACAACATAAATGAGACAGTGCATTTTCTCCATATGTCTTCCATCCAACCCCTGGTATTATGTTTTAAGAAGGATTGCCACCACAGCTCCTTTCTGCTGGAAACAAGCGAGCCCTTTCTTTCCCTTCACCCACTTTATGTAATTGTAGCAAAATGATGCAGCCTTTGTGTAACATCGTGTTTCATTGCTCTGGGTCCTTTCATATTTAATTTAGGAGTTCGTGTAGTGTTTGGTTTAAAAATTAACTGTGAAATTAAATTCGAGGGAGATGAATAGAGAACACCTTCCATCTTCCAGGGAGTTTCCATTTTTAATTTACAGAAATGGGAAGCATATTTGGAGAGAGAAGAGCTGCATTTCAAAACCCAATGCACGTATCATAACACTGCAAACCTCCAAGTTAGGTTTTCCTAATTTCTGTTCTTATGATGCTCTGCAGGGCTGCAATTTAAATCTGTAGCCATTGGCTCTGCCCCCTCATTCATTTCTTTTTGTCTGCAAGCCTCTTCTTACTGCTGATTCATGGAACATATTGCATAAGTAGCACTGGCAAACTTGCTCCATTACCTTGTTCCAGAGATACCTCTCCTTTTCTTTCTTGAAAAGGACTCCTTCAGAACTGCAGGAAAACTGGTGGATTATGTAATACACTCCCTCTGCTTAACACATAAACTGAATTGCAGAGACACTTTTGCAGTTGAAGGAGTCGGGATGGGACATAGGTCTTCTGGCCACTGGGCCATGCTACTCACATTTTTTTCTGGCAAGCTCACAATCCAGCATTTCTTCTCAAAGTGAGTAGCCACATCATTCCTTAGAAAAATGGCAAGTATTTTGCAGACTGCTTGAAGTAGGTGGACCCTTTCCAACCTCGCCTCCTGGATGGCTCTCTTTCGCATGCCCTTGGCTGTTCCTGCACATGCAGTGAGCTCTGGAGCATGCTGTTGTTCGAAGCCAGATCCAATGAGAGGTGGGGGGTGGTGGGGCGAAAGGAAGCCAGTGCAGGAAGGAGGGCCACAGTGAATCTTGAGGGCTCTGATTTCAAAGAAAATGATGATGGTGATAACCACCGGAGCTAACGTGTGCGGAGGGGCCAGCCCTGTTCTGGGAATTCTCTGTGTGTTAATGGACAACCCCACAACCCCATGAGGCAGACTTTATCACCACCTCCATTTTATAGTTGAGGACATCAAGCACAGAGAAGTCAGACCACTTGCCCAAAGTTCCCCAGCTGGCCAGTGGCTGCCTTTGGAGTCCACATTTCTCACCAGGGTGTGGCGCTTCTCAAGGAGATGGGAATTATCTGTAGCCAATGCCCAGAAGGCTGTGCAAGGTGAACAGATGTCTGTCATGCTCCTACCATGGGTCTGGCTCTATGTTTTCATCATCTATGTTGATTCTGAAAAGGTGCAGTAGGCTGATTAAATGACCACTTCCAAGATGCCACATCCTAACCCCCAGACCATTTGCATATGGGACCTCACACGGCAAAAGGGGCTTTGCAGAGTGATTATGCCAATGACCTTGTGATGTAGAGACTATCTGGGTGAGCTCAGTGGGTCTTTACAAATGGAGAGCCCTCCCAGCTGTGGTCAGTGGGAGAGGTGACTATGGAATAAAGGGTCACAGAAGTGTGATGCGAGGGCTTGATTCACCGTTGATGGCTTCGAAGCTGGAAAAGAGGGGTCCTGTTCATGGGATTTGGGTGTTAGGGGAAGGTGAGGGATGGATTCTCCTCTAGAGCCTGCAGAAGGAATGCGTTCCTGCGACGCCTCGATGTAGGATGTAGCGCACCTGCTGGATGTCTTACCTGCAGGACCAGAGGAGGGTGGGTTTGGTGACAGCAGCCCGGGAAACTCATACAGAAGGTCTCTGAAGGAGGTGTTGTGCTCCGGTTTTGCCAATGGAGATGTGAGCTTGGGGAGATGTGGGCTTGGGGAGACGGGGGCTTGGGAGGCAGTGAAGGCAGGGTTGAACCTAGGTTCAAGACACCCCCCAGCCCTTTCTGTGGAATCACAGCCATTTCCATGGAATCAGCCTCCTTCTGAGGAGGGGAAGTGGGGGTGCTGAGGACTGGCGGGCTGAACTGAGCTGAGCTGAGCTACAGGCAGTGTGAGAGGAGCCTCCCAAGCCTGCCTGCCTCCTGGACGCCCTGACACCACGGTCCAGCTCGCAGGGGCAGTGCGAGGCGAGGCCGGCACACAGTTTCTGTCACAGCCACATTGTGAGGCATGGTGATTTTCTTTGATATACAGGAAGAAATCTGGGGCTCAAGGGGTGGAGGGGCTTCCTCCCCCACAGTCTGATGGCCTTGTCTGTCATCAAAAGATCGGGCTGCCGTGAGAGTGTGGGATCAAGTGGAAGGACGTTGGGGTGCATGTGAGTGTGTGACTGTGTGTGTGTTAGTACATGAGTATGTGTATTACTGTTTAAGTGCATGTGAGGCTGTGTGTGAGTCACAGCGAGGGTGTGTGTGTGAGACCATGTGTCTGTGTGTGATTGCATGTGAGAGTGTGACTCTGTTGTGTCTGTGCAAGTTAGTGTGTGAGTCAGCGTGTGAGACTGTTAGTGTGTGGGCATGTGAGGGTGTGTGTCAGACCATGTGTCTGGGTGTCACAGTGTGTGACTGCATGGTTGTGTCTGTGTATACCAGTTAGTGTGTGAGTGTGAGACTGTGTTAGTGTGTGGGCATGTGAGGGAGGGTGAGTGTGAGACCGTGTATGTGAGGTGAGGGCGTGTGACTGTGTGTGTGTCTGTGTGTGGGTGTGTGCCAGACGGTCCGGGTGCCCCGCTGGCGTCCCCGCAGGCTCCCCTGCAGCCCAGCTTGGAAGTCAGGGCCTCGGCCTGTTGCTCACACTCTGGTTGGAGAGGTGGTTTCCAGAGCGCGTGCTCTGGGGAGCTGGGTGGCAGGCAAGAGTGTCCCGGGGACAATGCAGCACACCACGGGGACAGCTGCCACAGGGCGCCTAGCAGGGGGGCTGAGAGGGGGCGGAGCCGCAGGGGATGCTCCCACCCCAGGGCCGGCAGCTTCTGCTGTCTATTGTGCACAGGTCTTTCGATGTCGTAGGCTGCTTTTCCATGTTGAAAACAGGAGACGATGGACTGATGTTCTTCTGTGGGCTACTTTGGTAAATGGAAGGATCAGTGACGTGCAGAGAGACCCACAGGAAGGAAGAGCAGGGTGTCTTGCAGACCTGTGGGGCCCAGGGCCTGGGTGGCAGCGGCTGGACGGTGTTTCCGCGCGGGCGCGCAGCGCGCTACGTGGACACCAGCAGAGCCGGGAAGGGACAGGTTGAGTCCCTCGGTTTCGCATCACTCTCAGGTCACCTTTCCCCGCTCGGGGCGTAGGCCGGAGCATGACGCGGTGGAGGGAGCAGGCGGCGCGGGCGGGTTCGTGGGGTGGCCCTTGGAAGGCCCACCTTCAGAGCACCCAGATCGAGGACGCGAGCAGGCTGGGCTAGGGGTGGGACCGCCACCCTCGTGGACGTCGAGGGCGGTCTTCAGACATCCGCCAACTCTGAGATCCCGTTTCTAAGAACCCCCGAGGGCCGTGTCATTGACACACCTCGGGCTCAGCGTTCGGGGGGCACACTGCCCTGCGCACGGCTCACGCGCTGCACCACGGAGGGCCCTGCTTTCCCGTCGTTCCCCGCAGCCAGCGTGTAGCAGCCAGAATGCAGGCTTTCAGACTCTAGGCTGTGGTTTTTCCACATTTTACTCCCCTCACCCACAAAACAGAGTAACATCTCCTGGCTTCTTGTGGGAGACGAACGCGGCAGCGCGCGTGGGGCACGGACGGGCGTCCTGGGTGGGGACCGCCAGCTTCTAGAGCCATCTTTCGTCTGAACCAGGGGTAGGGACGGCACCTGTTCAATTTTGTATATTTAGGGATACAGTCACGCGAAAGCAGCTTTGGGAACATCTCGATTCTCTAAGATGGGGAAGTGTGGCTGGCCAATGTGACTCTCCGAAGCTGGCGGAGTTGGCAGCTCACAGGCTATTTTATTGCGGAGCTAAGCTTCTATAGCTTCTGAGCAGAAAGCTTTTCCATATACAATAGGAATTTGTACCTTAGGAACTGAGTACTGAAAATTCAGCTCTCCTTGCAGGCCAGGCAGGATCACGTGGGGGAAGAAGCACAGTCCGTGCGTGGCTGACGCGGACCCGCAGGCCCACAGCCCACAGCTGGGCATCATCACTTCAGAACTGAAATCACAGCCAGGAGGTTTCGGATGCTGGAGGACTGCTCCACTGATTTCCTGTGGTGCCTTCGAGCTCTGGGATCTATTGTTCTGCATAACATAAGCCAGGCTAGAAAATCAGCTCAGTATTTGTGGGCAATACCTGAAAAGAAGATATTTGAATTTGGAGTGTATACCTTCTCCTTGGGTCACACGGTGTCCAAGGGGCCTTGCAAAGGGAACACATCAGATAACACACAATAATGACAAAATATCAACAAGAACAAGGGGCCAGGAACTCATCACATCCATGTAAGAGCAGAGGAAAGCAGGCCTTGGTGGCAGGGACAGACGCAGCCCTGTGAGGCTCCCGCGTGGCCTGGAGCCCACCCCATCAGCCCGCTGAGGAAAGGCCAGCAGAAGATGATTGGGAACACAGGAACCCGGCTCTCCTGGACCGATCGGCAGCCACAGGTTTACTCCTCAAACCAGGTACACAATCTCCTCCCCAAAAGCTTTCATCCTGTTAAGGGCTCCTGCCCCCAATGCAGGAGCCAGTGATGGGATAAGGACCAGTGGCCACAGCCTCCGAGTGGGCATTCTCTGCCCTCATGCACCCCACAGACCACAGTGAGGTAGGGCACTCACCATAGCCCACCTCCACCCTGCAGAGAAAGGAAGCAGGCGGAGCAGGCCCTGCAGGGAGGCCCCATGGGGTCAGACCATGCCCTGTAGCTCCATGGTCCAGCATCTGCCACACACCTCTTAGCTTCCTCTGTTCCAGCCTCAGCTCAAGCCTCTACGTTCCAAAGATCCAAGTTGGTTAGGTATATTTTCTGACTTCCTTGGTATCCCGGGGGACACCCCTACTTCATGTTTTGCTACTGTGCAAGCCTAGTTGCCATTTTTCTGGCCTCTTGTATCAGCTTTTTTGGTGCCTCCTGCCCAACCTTGAAAGTCTTGCCATATATTTTAGCATTTTGCTTCTGGAGTGCCCCACATCTGAACCAATTTCTGTTAGCCAGTGTTTGCCGTGTCAGTGACCTACTTGAACATCTTGGTGCACACAGCCCACTCTGTTGTACTTATGGTGCAGAGTGCCGTGAGCCCGGCAGCTCTCGGCCTCTCCAGGCTCCAGGTCGCCTAGCTGGAATCCAATGGCAGAGCCGATGCTGCAGAGAACCAGGTGCCTCTGTGGCTCCTCTGCAGCTCTGCCCGGCTGGGCATTTGTCAGGGCTGTGCACGGCCTCCGGGCATCGCTGAGGTGCATGCTGTCCTCCAGCACCACATTCTGGGGCTGCAGCTCCCTGGGGGCAGTGCTGTGAGTTCAGGCAGCTGTCCTGTGGCTTGGGTGCCTTCATCTCTTCCTTCCTGATGTGTCCAAGTCATTTGGAAGTTTCTCTGCAACATTTTTCCTGCACCCTTCCTCCTTGTTCTTTATTTTTTTCCTCCTTCACAGACACACAAGGAAAGAAAAATATGTGTTTTTTGGCAAGTAGTTGGTTATGTTTTAAATGAGAAATGTAGAATTAAATCCAAACCCTTCCCTGACCACACTGCCCCAGTGCCCAGCTCTGGCGGTCAGCTCTTCATCTCCCACACCCTCCTCTCCTTCCACCCCTGACCCCAGAGCTCCCTTTGGCCTCATATAAGTGGGATCATGCAGTATTTGTCTTTCTGTCTCACTTATTTCACTTAGCATTCAGGTTCGTCCATGTTGTCCCAAATTGGCAGGATTTCCTTCCTTTTTAAGGGTGAATAATATTCTATTTGTGTGTGTATGTGTGTGTGTGTGTGTGTGTTTGTATGTATATGAAACATGTTTTCTTTATTCATTCATCCATTGTGGACACTTAGGTTGTTTCTGTATCTTGGCTACTGTGAATAAGGTTGCAATGAACATGGCCGCACAGATATCTACTTGAGATTCTGATTCCATTTCCTTTGGATATAGACCCAGAAGTGGGATTTTTCTCAGTCATATGGTAGATCTATTTTTAAGTTTGGTGAAAGTTCTATATTGCTTTCCATGTGGCTGTACTAATTTGCACCCCCACAGCATACTAGGGTTCCCTTTTCTTCACATCCTACCCAACATTTGTTATCTCCTGTGTTTTTGATAACAGCCATTCTAACAGGTGTTAGGCCATATCTCATTGTGTTTTTGATGTGCATTTCTCTGATGATTAATGATGCTAAGCACCTTTTCATGTACCTGGGGGCCATTTGCATGTCTTCTTTGGGAAAATGTCTATTATCCTTTGCCCATTTTTTGATCAGGTTATTGATTTTTTTGCTCTTGATTCGTATGAGTTCCTTACATATGTTCAATATTAACCCCTTATTAGGTATATGGTTTGCAAATATTTTCTGAGTCTGTAGGTTGTCTTTTCATTTTGTTGTTTGTTTCCTTTGCTGTGCAAAAGCTTTTTAATTTGATATGGTTCCACTTGTTTATTTTTTGCTTTTGTTACCTGGGCTTTTAGTGTTATATCCAAAAAATCATTGTCAAGACCAGCATCAAGGAGCTTTTCTCCTGTGTTTTCTTCCAGAAGTTTTACAGTTTCAAGTCTTACATGTGAGTCTTTAATCAATTTTAAGTCAATTTCTGTATATGGTGTAGGATAGGGTCCACTTTCATTCTTTTGTATGTGGTTATCCAGCTTCCCAATACCATTTATTGAAGAGACTATCCTTTCCCCACTGTGTATTCTTGGCATTCTTGTCAAATATTAGTTGACTGTAACATGCATGGGTTTATTTCTGGGCTGTTGATTCTTCTGTTCTATTGGTCTATATATCTCTTTGTATGCCAGTCATACTGTTTTGATTGCTATAGATGTGTAATATAGTTTGATATCAGGAAGTGTCACGCCTCCAGCTTTTTCCTTCTTACTCAATGTTGACTTGGCTATGTAGGGTCTTCTGTGGTTCCATATAAATTAGAATTTTTTTCTATTTCTATGAAAAATGCCATTGGAATTTTGATAGGGATTGCATTGAATCTGTAGATTGCTTTGAGTAGTTATGGACATTTTAGCAATATTAATTCTTCCAAACCAGGAACATGGGATATCTTTCCATTTATTTGTATCTTCTTTGATTTCTTCATTCATGTCTTACTGTCCTGAGTGTACAGATCTTTAAACCTCTTTGGTTAAATTTATTCCTATTTTATTCTTTTTGATGCTATTATAGATGGGATTATTTTCTTTCTTTTTCGGATAGTACATTGTTAGCATATTGAAGTAAAACTGTTATTTTGTATGTGTTCTGATTTTGTATCCTACGAATTTACTGAATTTGTTTATTAGTGTTAGTAGAGTTTTGGTAGAGTCTTTAGGGTTTTCTATATATAAGATCACATCTGTAAACAAATAGAGTTTAACTTCATCCTTTCCAATTTGGACATTTTTAATTTTGTTGTTGTTGTTGTCTAATTGCTCTACTATGTACTTCTGGTACTATGTTGAATAGAAGTGGTGAGAGTGAGCATCCTTGTCTTGTTCCTGACCTTGGAAGAAAAGCTTTCAGCTTTTCACTATGGAGTATAATGTTAGCTGTGGGCTTGTTATATATGGTCTTTATTACGTTGTGGTACATTTATTCTATACCTTATTTGTTGAGAGCTTTTAATTATGAAAGGATGTTGAATTTTCTCAAATGCCTTTTCTGCATTCATTGAGATGATCCTATGATTTTTATCCTTCATTCTGTTAAGGCAATGTATCACATTTATTGATTTGCGTATGTTGAACCTGTCCTTGGATTTGGGAATAATTCCTACTTAATCATGGTATATGATCCTTGTGATGTGCTGCTGAATTCAGTTTGCTAGTATTTTGTTGAGCATTTTTTCTTGTTATACTTTAAGTTTTAGGGTACATGTGCACAATGTGCAGGTTAGTTACATATGTATACATGTGCCATGCTGGTGTGCTGCACCCATTAACTCGTCATTTAGCATTAGGTATATCTCCTAATGCTATCCCTCCCCCCTCTCCCCACCCCACAACAGTCCCCAGAGTGTGATGTTCCCCTTCCTGTGTCCATGTGTTCTCATTGTTCAATTCCCATCTACGAGTGAGAACATGCGGTGTTTGGTTTTTTGTCCTTGCGATAGTTTACTGAGAATGATGATTTCCAATTTCATCCATGTCCCTACAAAGGACATGAACTCATCATTTTTTATGGCTGCATAGTATTCCATGGTGTATATGTGCCACATTTTCTTAATCCAGTCTATCATTGTTGGACATTTGGGTTGGTTCCAAGTCTTTGCTATTGTGAATAGTGCCGCAATAAACATACATGTGCATGTGTCTTTATAGCAGCATGATTTATAGTCCTTTGGGTATATACCCAGTAATGGGATGGCTGGGTCAAATGGTATTTCTAGTTCTAGATCCCTGAGGAATCGCCACACTGACTTCCACAATGGTTGAACTAGTTTACAGTCCCACCAACAGTGTAAAAGTGTTCCTATTTCTCCACATCCTCTCCAGCACCTGTTGTTTCTTGACTTTTTAATGATCACCATTCTAACTGGTGTGAGATGGTATCTCATTGTGGTTTTGATTTGCATTTCTCTGATGGCCAGTGATGATGAGCATTTTTTCATGTGTCTTTTGGCTGCATAAATGTCTTCTTTTGAGAAGTGTCTGTTCATATCCTTCACCCACTTTTTGATGGGGTTGTTTGTTTTTTTCTTGTAAATTTGTTTGAGTTCATTGTAGATTCTGGATACTAGCCCTTTGTCAGATGAGTAGGTTGCAAAAATTTTCTCCCATTCTATAGGTTGCCTGTTCACTCTGATGGTAGTTTCTTTTGCTGTGCAGAAGCTCTTTAGTTTAATTAGATCCCATTTGTCAATTTTGTCTTTTGTTGCCATTGTTTTTGGTATTTTAGACATGAAGTCCTTGCCCATGCCTATGTCCTGAATGGTATTGCTTAGGTTTTCTTCTAGGGTTTTTATGGTTTTAGGTCTAACGTTTAAGTCAATATAAGCAACTTCAGCAAAGTCTCAGGATACAAAATCAATGTACAAAAATCACAAGCATTCTTATACACCAATAACAGACAAACAGAGAGCCAAATCATGAGTGAACTCCCATTCACAATTGCTTCAAAGAGAATAAAATACTTAGGAATCCAACTTACAAGGGACGTGAAGGACCTCTTCAAGGAGAACTACAAATCACTGCTCAATGAAATAAAAGAGAATACAAACAAATGGAAGAACATTCCATGCTCATGGGTAGGAAGAATCAATATCGTGAAAATGGCCATACTGCCCAAGGTAATTTATAGATTCAATGCCATCCCCAGCAAGCTACCAATGACTTTCTTCACAGAATTGGAAAAAACTACTTTAAAGTTCATATGGAACCAAAAAAGAGCCCGCATCGCCAAGTCAATCCTAAGCCAAAAGAACAAAGCTGGAGGCATCATGCTACCTGACTTCAAACTATACTACAAGGCTACAGTAAGCAAAACAGCATGGTACTGGTACCAAAACAGAGATATAGATCAATGGAACAGAACAGAGCCCTCAGAAATAACGCCGCATATCTACAACTATCTGATCTTTGACAGACCTGAGAAAAACAAGCAATGGGGAAAGGATTCCCTATTTAATAAATGGTGCTGGGAAAACTGGCTAGCCATATGTAGAAAGCCGAAACTGGATCCCTTCCTTACACCTTATACAAAAATTAATTCAAGATGGATTAAAGACTTGTTGAGCATTTTTACATCTAAGTTCATCAGGGATATTGGCCTGAAATTAATTAATTTTCCCTTTCTTTCTTTCTTTCTTTCCTCCTTCCTTCCTTTCTTTCTTTCCTTTCCTTTATATCCTTTCCTCTCTTCTTTTCTTTCTCTCTCCTTCCTTCCTTCCTTTCTTTCTTTCTCTCTCTCTTCCTTCCTTCTTCCTTCCTTCCTTCCTTTCTTTTCTTTCTTCCTTTCTTTCTTTCTCTCTCTTTCTCCCTTCCTTCCTTCTTTCCTTCCTTCCTTCTTTCTCTCTCTCTCTCTTTCTTTCTTTCTTTCTCTCTTTCTCTCTTCTTTTTTTTTGTTGTGTCCTTATCTGGCTTTGGTATGAAGGGTAACACCAGCTTTATAAAACAAGTTTCGAAGTGTTCTCTCTTCATTTTTTGCAAAAGTTTGAAGTTTTACAAAAGTTCCAGTATTGGCATTCTTTAAATGTTTGGTAGAATTTACCTGTGAAGCCATTGGTGAGACTTTCTTTGTTGGAAGGTTTTTGATTAGTGCTTCAATCTTCTTACTTCTTATTGGTCTGTTCAGGTTTTCTATTTTTTCTTGATTCAGTCTTGGTAGGTTGCATGTTTCTAGGAATTTACCAGTTTCTTCTAGGCTATCAATTTGTAGGCATGTAATCTTATGATATCAGTTGTAATGTCTTCTTTTTCATTTATAATTTTATTTATGTGAGTGCTCTTTTTTTTTCTTGGTAGGTCTAGATAAAGTTCCATCAATTTTGTTTATCCTTTCAAACCCAACTCTTAGTTTTGCTGATCTCTTCAATTGTCTTTCTAGTCTCTGTTTCATTTCTTTCTGCCAATATTTTTTTCCTTCTGTCAACTTTGGGCTTAGCTGGCTCTTCTATTTCCTTGAGGTATAAAGTTAGGTTGTTTATTTGAGCTCTTTCTTCTTTTTTAAAGTTTTATTTTATTTTTAATTAACAAATAAAAATTGTATATATGTATGGGGCACAATGTGGTTTTCAATTCATTTATACACTGTAGTGTCATCCAATCAGGCTAATGATTTTGAGGTAGGTATTCATCACTATAAACTTCCCTCCTAAAACTGCTTTTGCTGTGTCCCATAAATTTTGGTATGTTGTGTTTCCATTTTTGTCTGTCTCAAGATACTTTCTGATTTCCATTTTATTTCTTTTATGACACATTGGTTGCTCAAGAGTGTGTTGCGGCTGGGTGTGGTGGCTCACACCTGTAATCCCAGCACTTCAGGAGGCTGAGGTGGGCGGATCATGAGTTCAGGAGTTCAAGACCATCCTGGCCAACACAGTGAAACCCCGTCTCTACTGAAAATACAAAAATTAGTCAGGCATGGTGGTGCTTGCCTGTAGTCCCAGCTACTTGGGAGGCTGAGGCAGGAGAATTGCTTGAACCTGGGAGGCAGAGGCTGCAGTGAGCCAAGACTGTACCACTGCACTCCAGCCTGGGTGACAGAGCGAGACTCCATCTCAAAAAAAAAAAAAAAAAGTGTTGCTTAATTTTTGCATATTTATCAATTTCCCTATTTTCCTTCTGTTATGAATTTCTAGTTTTATACCATTGTGTTCGGAAAATATACTTGATATTATTTACATCTTCTAAAATTTGTTAAGTTCAAGCATGGTGGCTCATGCTTATAATCTTAGTGCTTTAGGAGGTTGAGGCAGGAGGATCACTTGAGACCAGGAGTTCAAGACCAGCTTGGGCAACATAGCAAGACCTCCATCTCTGAAAAAAAAAAATTAGCTGGACATGGTGGTGTACACTTGTAGTCCTAGTTACTCAGGAGGCTGGGGCAAGGGGATTGCTTAAGTCCAGGAGTTCAAGACTAAAGGGAGCTTTGATTGCACCACTGCACTCCAGCCTGGGTGACAGAGCAAGACTCTGTCTCTAAGACAAAATTTTTTTTAAAAGAAATAAAATTTGTTAAGACTTGTTTGTGACCTAATATGTGATATATCCTGAAGACTTTTTTGTGTGTGCTAGAGAAGAATGTCTTTTTCTGCTGTTGGGTGGAAAGTTCGGTCTATGTCTGTTAGGTCCACTTGGTGTACAGTGCTGTTCACGTCTGCTGTTTCCTGTCTGGATGTTCTATCCATTGTCTTAAATGGGATATTGAAGTCCCCTATTACATTGCATTGCTTTCAATTTCTCCCTTTATCTCTGTTAATACTGCTGTGCATATTTAGGTGCTCTGGTGTTGGGTGTGTACTTATTTATAACTGTGATAGGTCCCTGTTGAATTGACCATTTTATCAGTGGAAGAGGGTGGGTAATGACCTTCTTTGTCTCTAGAGACAGTTTTTGACTTACAGTCTATTTTGTCTGATATAACTTTAGCTATCCCTGCTGTCTTTTGGTTACCATTTCCATGCAAATGGTAACCAAAAGAAGTTTTGTCTTTCCATCTGCTCGGTATCCCACCTATCTGGAATTTACATGATGACTAGCTGTAAACCTGTGTGACTATGGAGGGGCAGATGCGTGAAGATCAGAGATGCCCTAGATAATTTCCTTGGGGGCTGCCCCCAAACTCTTTCCTTTCTTCTCCCAGGAAGCGATGCTGGCCTTCTGTTTTGCAGGCTCTGTTCATGCATTTTCTGCTTCTCATTTGCTCAGCATGTATTGCTTGCGCTGCAGAGCACTGAAGAAACCAAGAGAGGCACGCCATGCTCACAGGAGCTCACAGCTGGACTCTTGCCAAAGAAACTCATAGGCACAGAGTGTCGGCTCGACCAGAGAGGAGTGCAGTGATAGAACGGTGGCTGGGTCTGTGAGGCGATGCCTGGGAAGCTAGGTGGTGCGTTCTGTGCCTGGGAAGTGGTTTGGGTGTAGGAAGAGGTGTGCTATATTTCCCAGAGCATGGGCAGGAAGAGAACCTTTGTACAGTCCTTTAAGGCAGTGGTCCCCAACCTTTTTGGCACCAGGGACTAGTTTCATGGAAGACAATTTTTCCATGGACCGTGGGGTGGGACATCATTTTGGGATGAAACTGTTCCACCTCAGATCATCGGGCATTAGTTAGATTCTCATAAGGAGTGTGCAACCTAGATCCCTCACATGCGCAGTTCACAGTAAGGTTCACGCTCCTATGAGAATCTGATGCTGCCGCTGATCTGACAGGAGGCAGAGCCCAGGCGGTCATGTTCACTTGCCCAGCTCACCTCCCACTGTGCGGCCCTGGTACTAGTCCGTGGCAGGGTTAGGAGGGTTGGGGACCCCTGCTTTAAAGCATCTTTTAAGAATTTTTATTATTTTTACTCTTTAGGTCCATTTACCAGAAATTTTTTTATTCCTGATAGCTGAAAATTCTTTTTCTTAAGCATAGAAATTTAGTAGTGTCCATCATTATATCTGAAGTAATGAACTCATCTTCTTCTACAACCATGTAGTTTAAAAAGTTTTATTCCACATCCTAGAGGCGGATCATCAGCGTGCTTTTCCATTTTTTAAATGGGAAGTGATGGTTTCGCCTCCCACGTGGTGTGTGGGGCCCCTTAGCTGGTGGAAGAGGGTGGGTTTCTGAGTGAGGATAGCTGCATCCACATGTCCTAAGCACTCACTGTGGGCCACAGAGATGCTCATGTGTGGATCACTTGCAAGCCGGTGTGTGTGACGAGGGAGGGGAGAAAGGTGTTGATGGTGGCAGTGGGCGGAGCAAACTTAGCGAGGGTGCTAGGGGTGTCAGTGAGACCACGATGAGCCCAGCTGTCCTGAGAGGGCCATGGCTGTCTGCCTTGTCGTTTGCTCATTTGTGTGTTAATCTGCTAGGACTCATGATTTCATGATGTCCACGGACCTCCTCCAGAGCTGAGGGCTCCTTGAGGTATGTAGTGCAGTTTTCTGATTTTACAAATGAGCAAACAAGGCCCCACGAGGAGAGAGGAGGTGCTCTGGAGTAAGAAAATGCTGGTCTGTATCCTGGGTGTGCGTGTCCTTTGTTTTCCGACACGGGGACAATTATTCAGCTGAGACTGTTTCCTCCTCTGCAAAGTGGATTATCATAGTTCTACTTCATGCAGTTGCTGTGAAAGGTGCAGATGGTGTGTGTAGAGCACTTAATCCAGGGCCGGGTGCACAGTAGGTGCTCAATAAAAATTAGTTATTTTTGCTGCTATCCAATCCTGCTGACCAGTGGCTGGCAGTCATGGCTCTTCACTCTTTTTTGTTTTTTGTTTGAGACGGGGTCTCGCTCTGTTGCCCAGGCTGGAGTGCAGTGGTGCAATCTTGGCTCACTGCAGGCTCTGCCTCCAGGGCTCAAGCAATTCTCCCACCTCAGACTCCCGAGTCACTGGGACTATAGGTGTGTGCCACCACACCTGGCTAATTTTTTTTATTTTTAGTAGAGATGAGGTCTTGTGATGCTGGCCAGGCCGGTCTTGAACACCTGGCCTTAAGCAATCTGCCTGCCTTGGCCTCCCAAAGTGCTGCGATTACAGGTGTGAGCCACTGTGCCAGGCCGGCTCTTTGCTCTTTACTGGAAGTCTCCTTTCCGTCCAGACAAAGTTAGCCCAAAGGTTAAGCCAGAAGAAAGGAACATGTCATAGAGTGAGGTCACAGGGCTGGCTTGGAGCAGGCTTCATCCCTATCTGCTCTGTCCCTGCAGTGACTTCCTCCTGTCATCCATGGGCTGTATTTGCATGCTGTCACATCCTGTTCTACTAATGAAGACTTAATTAA
The DNA here is from genome assembly GCF_000001405.40 of Homo sapiens. Taxonomy (NCBI): domain Eukaryota; kingdom Metazoa; phylum Chordata; class Mammalia; order Primates; family Hominidae; genus Homo; species Homo sapiens. Next base: position 27,992,621 of record NC_000015.10, on the reverse strand, counting down.
ATATCAAAAAAGAGACATACCAAAGTGGGAAGTGTCTTCGCCTTGTTCTCTGTAGGGCGGATAGGACAGCCTGGCTCTGGTGCCTGCTCACCATGTCCAGCGGGTGACCCTCCACTCTCAGCGCCATGGCTGTCAAGTTGGGGATGAATGCCTGCCCTGCCTGCTTCCTGGGGCCACCCTTGGCATTGGATAAGGAAGTATCCTTAAAATGGGTCCTAAACTGGCTGGGCGCGGTGGCTCATGCCTATAATCCCAGCAGTTTGGGAGGCGAGGTGGGTGGATCACCTGAGGTCAGGAGTTGGAGACCAGCCTGGCCAACATGGTGAAACCCCGTCTCTACTAAAAATATAAAAACTAGCCAGGTGTGGTGGTGGGTGCCTGTAATTGCAGCTACTTGGGAGGCTGAGGCAAGAGAATTGCTTGAACCCAGGAGATGGAGGTTGCAGTGAGCCAACGTGGTGCCACTGCACTCCAGCCTCGGCAACGGAGTGAGACTCCGTCTCAAAAAAAAAAAAAGCGTCCTAAACTAAGACTGAAAAGCAGAGAACGAACAGAAGGAATTATTAGAGTTTGGTAGCAAGTTATTGGATTTTAGGTATTTACATTTAAAACAAACAAAACAACTCTTAAAAAGTGAAACTGTGAAAAGCCAACACCTAGTATCACATTTCCTGAAAATGAACTTTGAATCTAGTACTACACATTATAAATGATATAATTTTAGTCAGAATTTGCATTTCAGGTAATTACTGGTAAAGGGAGTCAGTTTCTGTGAGATGGAAGCTGTGAAAAAATGGAGTGGAAGTCCCTTTAGGGGATTAAGAAATGAATAATGCATGCTAGCGTTTAATTTTCCGCTTGTTCTTGCCACATTCTTTTTGTATTTTTTTAACAAATTTATTGAGGTATAATTTAAATACCATTAATTTCACCCCTTGGAAATGTACAATTAAGTTATTTTTACCAGTTTAGAGTTCTGCCACCATCACAAGTTCTAGAACATTTCATCACCCCATAAGGATCCCTGGGACCCGTTTCCAGTCAACCTTTGTTGCTTTCCCCAGCCTTGGGCAGCCCTGATCTTTCTGTTTCTCTAAATTTACTTTTTCTGGAAAGTTCATATAGATGGACCGACCCCATCTTCTGTGTCTGGCTTCTTTCCCCAGCATCACTTCTAAGCATTCATCCGTGCACGAGCTGTGCCGCATTTTCTTTATCCCTTCACCACGGATGGACATTTGGAAAGTTTCCAGTTTTCGCCTCCTTTGTATAATGTTGTTATGAGCATCAGTGCTTTGTGTGGACATGTGTTTTCATTTCTTTTGGGTGGATTCCTAGTAGAATTGCTGGGTCATATGGTAAATTTATGTTTAACTTCGTAAGAAACTGCCAAACTGCTTTCCACAGTGGCTAGCCCATTTTACATTCCCACTAGCAATGTATGAGGGCTCCAATTCTCCACATCTTGGCCTTTTCTCATATTTTGTCTTAGAAATTCCACTTCCATTTGAATTATAATCAAATAGAAAAGATGCTTTTGTGATAACACAGACATCTCAATTAGATGAAGTGTTGGACTGTGTACCTTTGGTTTAACAGCAGCCTAGTAATTGGGAGGAATTGATTTATGTTGCTGAACAAATGGGCCAGTTGCCAAGGGAGCATATGGCAAATAATTAATGACAGTTTGCTATGGCCTTTCTCATAGAACATACTCCATCTGGCCTTCCGCTGCTTTATCAGGGTCATCTAATTATTTAGGAAATGCAAGCAGCTTCCCTTAGATGGCACGTTGGTGGTAGCTGTATGTGTCTGTGGGGTGTCCAGGCCTGAAACATCAAGACCCATGACTTATCATTTGAATAGATGTGGTACACAGTGGCAGATATAGACCCCCTCATGTCCACACAGGCTTTCGTGTGTGCTAACTCCCTCGTGCACTGGAACGCGGTAATTTCCTGTGCTTCTTTCCAGATCGTGCACAGAACTCTGGCGGCCATGCTGGGTTCCCTTGCAGCACTGGCAGCACTGGCTGTGATTGGCGATGTAAGTTGTCACAGTCCCAATCCCTGGCTTACCACTCAGTGGGATGTCAGCTCAAAGATGTTCCAGGATTCAGGCTTTCGCTGGTTTTTTCACTATTTTATATGCCACGTCCATGTTTTTGCCCAAGAACCATGCTAGAGGTATGAACTAACAAGCTACAGCATTGAAGAGTACTTTTCATTAGGTTTTGTCACACACTCACATCCCAGTGGTGTGATTCCTCATCGTGGTGGAGGAAAGGCTCCTCATGGGCATGTTTGCCTAGGGCTGTGGAGCTGGGTTGTGATGGGGCTGGATCTGGGTGTTGGAACTAGAGGGGACCGTCCTAGCTGGTGCAGAAAGGTGGGAGTCAGTTGGGCCAGGGTCTGTCCTGAAGAGATCAGGAGGCCCCTGGAGAGGCGTGTTTGGGGATGAGGGTGTCCTGTTTGGGTCTGAGCAGGGCCTCTCTGGCAGGGACATGGGAAACAAATGTAGGGAAACAACAGAGACCAGTGGCCACTGGGGATGGAGGCCCAGAGTTGTCTGAGAGGCAGTGCTGGAACCCAGCTGAGAGTGGGACAGCTGCCATGCCAGTTCCTGTCATCTGGTCTCAGGCACGGCACTGCAGAGAGCACATACAGACTCCACTCGGAATGTAACCAGGGGCCAGTCCCGCCATGTGGGAGCTGCCAGAGGCAGGGGCTAGAAAAAACTTTATTACTAAATGCATAGATTTGACATTATAGATGCCCTGGGTCAAGACTGTTTTTCAGCAGCGATATAATCCAACTTCAAAGGCAAGTGGATGGTGAGATTTCCAACCCTGGCCCGCCCACTGAGTGGGTCTGCAGCAGGGGGCAGCGCTTCATTAGGCTCATCACTGGGATGGCGGCGCACGGATTAATTGGCAAATTTGTGCTTTGATTGCAGAGACCCAGCCTGACCCATGTGGTGGAGTGGATTGATTTTGAGACGCTGGCCCTGCTGTTTGGCATGGTAATTACAGCTCTCCCCGTGGGACTGGGCTCCACGCCTGCGGTAACCGGGCCTTCTCTGGCCTCCACCGCTGAGGGTCCTTCATTATGTTAAAGACACAGCGCCTAGGGCTTGACTGAGAAGTGTTAGTGCAGGTCTCATGAATCTCCTGAGGAGGAATGGAATGGGGCTATGGTTCGTGGGCGGGAGAATTTCAGCCCAAGGCGTGTCTGACGATGAAGTCATATTGCCATTTAGAAAAGCTAGCAATTCTTTTGAGTTATTTCCGTTAAAATAAAAAAAATGGACTATCCCAAATAAATAAACCATGTAGGAGTTTCAGTGGGAGAGAGAGTACCTTTCATTATGTGAATAAAGGAAGGTGTCACTCCTAAGTATTAGTTGGGTGTTTACCAATTGATCATAGTGCCCAGTGGCCACTCTGCTGTGAGGAATGCCACCAAGTCCACCTGCAGGATCTCGAAGTGCCCAAGCGGGCTAGTGTGGGACTCACTAGTGTGAGTCCTAACCCAGCTTAACTAGAACCAGTGGAGCCTGGGCAGCAGGGGCAGTCCACGTGTTCCTCAGCAGACCCCAAACAGTCCAGTGGTCTGCAGGAGGGCTCTTCCTCTCTGGGCTAGAAGACTTGCTCTGTGTACAGCTGGGCACGATAGATCCTCATTTTCCTTGCCAACATTTCGTCCCTCCCAAGGCTGGCTGACATAACGGAGGGCCCAGCTATGTGACCTGATGGAAACCGTGCCGCCATCCTCTGTGGGTGGTGCGCAGGGAGGCAGGCCAGTGCTCTAACCCTGGCTTCACAGAGTAACTAATACTTGTGTCGGGCCTGAGACGTATACAGAGTTTGGGCATCTGGATAGAAGAGAGGAAGTGTACCAGATATCCCTGAGATACGCCTTTTTTAAAAAAGGAATGCTATATTAGTTTGCTAGGACTATGTAACAAAGTACCACAGACCGTGTGGCTTAAATAATATAAATGTATTTTCTCACAGCTCTGGAGGCTGCAAGTCCGAGATCACGGTGTGGGCAGGCATGCTTTCTCCTGAGCCTCCCTCCTGGGCTTGTAGATGGCACCTTCTCCCAGCGTTTTCACTTTGTCTTCCCCGTGTGTTTCTGATTCCTGAGACCCTCATCCTATAAGGACATCAGTCACACTGAATGAGGGCTCACCCTAACAACCTCATTTTAATTTAATTACCTCCTTCAACGCCCTCACTCCAAATACAGTCTCACATTCCCAGGTACTAGGGGCTAGGAGGTGAACATATGAATTTTGGGGGACACAGCCTATAAAAATGGCTTCAGCACGTTTTTCTCGGTGGAATTCAGTTCAGCGAGCACTGGCAGGTTCTGTGATTCTGGAACTGCAGGGTACAGGGTCGTTACAACCAGGTCCCTGCCTCTTCTCCCCCATTTCCTGGCAGCCAACCACCCATGGGACCATTTACCCCCATCCCTGAGTTCTAGTCTCCCAGGGTGGTTCTGTCAGCAAATGTGTAAAACACCACATGGGTCTCCACACGCCTGTCTCCTCATGCGTATTCACGTGAAGCTACATTGGTGTGCGAAGCCCCACGCTCCACCGTCAGCTCTCAGTGGCCTTTTGGGTGAGGATGAACATTGATGGTCACTCTGGACATGGTGGATATTTACACTGGGTCTAAATTGACTGGGGACATTTTTGTTTTCTATAGTTTATTTGAGAGACAATAGTGTCTGTTGGGACTCCTGTTTACTGAGTATTGTAATTTGAATAATTATATTGCATTTTCATAACCTGACAAAGTATAGAACATTCACAGGTAAGGTGAGAAAACTGAAGGACAGAAAGGTTAATTCATATTTTTGTTCAAGTTCGGACTTTTTTTTTTGAGACAGAGTCTCGCTCTGTCTCCAGGCTGGAGTGCAGTGGCGTGATCTTGGCTCACTGCAAGCTCCCCGTCCTGGGTTCATGCCATTCTCCTGCCTCAGCCTCCTGAGTAGCTGGGACTACAGGCGCCCGCCACCCCACCCAGCTAATTTTTTGTATTTTTTTTTTTTTTTAGTAGAGATGGGGTTTCACCATGTTAGCCAGGAGGGTCTCGATCTCCTGATCTCGTGATCCGCCCGCCTTGGCCTCCCAAAGTGCTGGGATTACAGGCGTGAGCCACCACACCCAGCCTCAAGTTCAGACTATTTTTAAGTGGCAGAATCAGGATCTGAACTTGCATCTTCTCATTCCAAGTTCAACACATGGTGACTGCCATCAAAGAGGTGAAGCAGAGGAACTTCCAGAACATTCACTAGCTGAGATGTCTGGTTGATAAAATTCAGAATAACTGGGACATGACTTTTTATTAGGATCCAGGATGGCTGTTTCTGTTTTCACTAACTCATCATCCTCACTGGAAAGAAACAGGTGATAGGCATTCTGGGTTCACCTGGAACCCAGGGAGCAATCATTTCAATAAAACTCTCAAATTGGTGACAAAAATCAGTTTAATTATTTTAGAAAACAAAATTGAACCCAATTTTAGCATCATAGAATGTTTAAGTGTTGCTTGTGTGGACACGTAGGTGCAGAAGGCCACATGCTGGCTCCCGCCCGGCTTCTAGATTTGTGGCTGTGAGCAACCCACCTCGCACTCTGATCCCATTTTCTAGTCTATAAAACAGAGGGTGAAAATAACACCTGATTTTTTTGTGTGTGAGGATCAGATGGGATGGTAATGTGCCTTGAGGACAAATCCCTGGACACACATATAGGCACAAAACTGCTAGCAAGAGGCTCCATTCAAGGAGTGAGTGAGTGTACTATTCCAGGAAGTGACGGTCTTTCTGCATCTCAGAGTGAGGAGCTTGGTGATGTGGTGGCTTTCAGAGGCCAGAGCTCAAATGTGTAAGGGATCATGCTGATGTCGTTTTAATATGGTGTCCTGCTAAAAGATTATCCTTGTCTTCTTCTTTTCCCCATAGATGATCTTAGTAGCCATATTTTCAGAAACGGGATTTTTCGATTATTGTGCTGTAAAGGTAGGTATGATGTTGCATTTAATAATTCTATCCTGATTAATTTATATATGTATTTTTCTGACATTATATATTTAGGAAACAAACATTTAAAACAAACATTGAAAAATTCCATCCTTCTTTTAAAGGTTGCTTCTGCAGGGCAGGGTATACTTGCTATGTTAAGTTGTATGGCTCTGAGCAGCACTTTCAGCTGCTCAGTAAATAAATGAAGAAGGAGGTCAAGGAAAAGGGTACTCAGGTTGAATCGTTGTGTATTATTTAAATTGTCTGGTGAGAGCTACACATCAAAAATTGTTTTACATATTAGAGTATCCCAATATTTCAAGCCATTAGCTTCTGATTACTTTGCTTTTTGGTGAAATAATTTCCATGATTCCTTCCTAAATATTGAATATATACACATTTACATTTTTAACTGGAACCCTGGGGAGCTTCACCAGCCAGCTCTGGCCTCCAGGATTTGTACCTGTCCTGTCATTCAGGGTTGGCAAGAGGAGAGCTCAACATGTACCATGCCCTGCTAATGCAGTCTAGTGCTGTGCTTGAATATATATTATTTTTGAAACTGAAAAGGTCTTTTTAAAAATTACTCAACAGGCTGGGCGCAGTGGCTCACGCCTGTAATCCTAGTACTTTGGGAGCCCAAGGTGGGCAGATCACGAGGTCAAGAGGTTGAGACCATCCTGGTGAACATGGTGAAACCTCATCTCTACTAAAAATACAAAAATTAGCTGGGCGTGGTAGCACACGCCTGTAATCCCAGCTACTCGGGAGGCTGAGGCGAGAGAATTGCTTGAACCCCAGGCGTGGAGGTTGCAGTGAGCCGAGATCACACCACCAAACTCCAGCCTGGGTGGCAGAGTGAGACTCTGTCTCAAAAAAAAAAAAAAATTACTCAACAAAGCCCTTTGCAAACTCTGAATGATGGAACTGTGCTGTGATTTTTGTCATCTTTGAGCCCCACCTTATACATGCCAGGTAGATATTTGGTCTATTACTCCTTACTATTAAAAGTATCCCTTAGTTCCCCAGAGATCAGCAGACACTAGGCTCACATGGATCCCAAATGTCAAAGCCCAGGTTGTCTAACCAGAATACCGATGGCATTACGGGGACTGAGGGTCATCACCTTGTGACAAATTAACCATCACAGGGGCTCTGTGAAGGAAGAGGATCAGAGGGGTGACAGTGCTGGCTAGGGAGGATTTAGAATGTCTAGGAACTTCGATGGCCAGCACTGTCTCATCTCGGCCCCCCTAGGACTCCGTGGGTCTATGTCTTAACCCATGGGGTAATGTTAGTTTGGCTCCCTGTTCTTAAAGTCACTAATGAAAGGCTGCCTCTGTTCTACGAGCCTGCTCACTCTGGCTTGTACTCTCTCTGTGTGTGTGTGGCCAGGCATACCGGCTCTCCCGGGGACGGGTGTGGGCCATGATCATCATGCTCTGTCTCATCGCGGCCGTCCTCTCTGCCTTCTTGGACAACGTCACCACCATGCTCCTCTTCACGCCTGTGACCATAAGGTACGCAAAGCACCTCTGCCGTGGGAGTTGCGGCCAGGTTCTGGCAGGCAGGGGCTCTGCCTGCACTGCCTGGCTCCAGGTTCCATTCTCAGGTGCATGAAAAGGTGGGGGCGGTTGAGCCCACAGCTCACTGCATTCCAGTCCAGCTCGTGTCTGCTTTGTGTGACTGCAGTACATGCTACAAGCAGTGGGGCCTCAGAAGCTGGTGGCAGAAATGCCTGCAGGAGGTGGAAGACATAGGCCTTGCTTTCCTGGAGATTGTGGTCTCATGGGGAGACATGTGGACAAGAATGGCTCACCCCTGGTGAAACCCCGTCTCTACTAAAAATACAGAAATTAGCCAGGCGTGGTGGCACGTGCCTGTAATCCCAGCTACTGGGGAGGCTGAGGCAGGAGAATCCCTTGAACCCGGGAGGCGGAGGTTGCAGTGAGCTGAGATTGCGCCACCACACTCCAGCCTGGGCAACAGAGCGAGACTCCGTCTCAAAAAACAAACAAACAAACAAACAAAAAATGGCTCACCCCAGACCACCAGGTGCCCAGGTGCCAGGAGTCCCTGTCCATGTTCTTCTCCATCACCATCTGCTGAGGTGGTGGGAGGCCTCTGAGTGAGACCCAAGGCCGGGTCCTGTGTGGGAGTGGGCTGTGTGGATGAGCAGGTGTAGGGGATGCTGTGATGTGCCTTCTACACTTTCTTTAGAGCAATGTTTCCCAGCTGTGTGCATACTGGGTCCCCTGGGGAGCTGTAGAGCACCACTGCCCGGGCCCACTCCCAGGCACTGGTCTGCGCTGGGCGAGTTGTAGGACTCCCAGATTCCAGCACAAATCTAGTGTGAGGCCATGGTGGAGCTCCACAGCTGTAGAATGTGGCTTAGACAGATCTGTAGGGTGAATACAGTTAGCATGAATTGATTGTACACTCCAAGATAGCTAGAAGAGAATAACTGGAATGCTCCCAGGGTAAAGAACAGATTGATATTTAAGGGGATGGTTATCCTAGTTACCTGGTTTGATTATGTGAATTATTACATTATCATATGCACCCTGAAAATGTATGTATGTATATATATATCTAGTATGTTTTATAGCAATACAAAGTAAATACATAGAAAATACATAGATGAATAAAACAAAGGGAGGGGGTGAGAAGAGAGCCTAGGGCCTTGGTGTCCAGGAAGGGGGAGGTGGGAAAGGGGCTGAGTCAGCAGGCCCTGTGTGAGCCATCCGCACTGCCTCCACACTGACCCCCACAGCACTGGCTTGCCTGTGGAGGGCCTGCCCTGCCCTGGGGGCCAGTGCTCCCTCCAGACCTGGGAGCATTGGGGAAAGGGTACCTGACCACACCGAGGGTTTGGTGGCTGGAGGCTCACTCTGGAAAGGAATGTAACTCTCGGAGTGAGCTGTGGCCTGCGGGGGTTGTTGCAGTTGTTCATTCCCCCCAGCACTGCCTTCCCCACAGGGGTGTGTGTGTGTGCGCGCCTCCCTTATACGAGCAAGCGCCTTAAAAATCTCTGGGTTGCATGTGGGCCTTTCACGATGTGTATAGTGGGACTACTTTCATTTTCCTCCATTTGTGACAGGTTGTGTGAGGTGCTCAACCTTGATCCAAGACAAGTCCTGATTGCAGAAGTGATCTTCACAAACATTGGAGGAGCTGCCACTGCCATCGGGGACCCTCCAAATGTCATTATTGTTTCCAACCAAGAGCTGAGGAAGATGGTACGTACCAGCATGCTAGGGTTGCTTCCAGTAAACGCACACCTCCACTTAGTTAGAGCTCTACCCCACATGGACGCCTTTGTTAGAAATCAAGATCATCACGCCACCTCTTCACAGTAAGTGCTACTGGGCATCTCAAGACTGGGATGTTAGGTGACTGGTCCTTCAATCCTAGAGTTAACTGGCTTGAATTGACTTCATACTCATTCTGATCAGTTTTTAAAGAAATGACTGGATAGCATGATGTAGTTAGTCATAGTATGTTATATTAATTGTATTAATAGGAACTGAGGTTTCTTCCAACCTACATTAAAAACAAAATGACCTGTTCCCTCTCACTGGAGATATGGGATTCCCAAACTGTGGTGGATTAGTTTACTGATGAAGGACTTAAAATTTATTTTTTAAGGGTCAGAAATGAATGTCTTTAGAAATTCTTTGAAAGCCCCATATAAATATTAGGGTATAATTTCTTTGTATACTGTAATAAAGACAAAGTATTAGAAAGTGCAAGGTATTCTACATATCTTCAAGGTGAAAATTGAACTATATCATTAATTTTTATTCTCTACTCTTTGATCATTAGAATTTTCTCAATCTTCCTCCTCTGAGGCATCAGTGAAAATGCTTCCACATTGGTGTTATTTCTTGTAGATGATGTGTTTGTGTGTGTGTGTGCCTGAAGGGTAGCAGTGTGTTTGTATTTGAACGCTGTGTTCCATAAAAATATTTAAACATTTGAGAATCCATGGCTCCAGGGTGTTAATGGCCGCTTCATGGAAGCAGTGCGCTCCAGAGGTTCTGGGTATGGCTCTGCATTCCCTAGCTGCCGTGGGAAACTGCTTGGCAACACTTCACCAACTTTGCCATGTGAACTGAGGTGTGCAGCCATGGTCATGCCACCCTGGAGCATGTCAGGTGGTAACAGACCCTGCAGTTTATGCTAGGGGCACCTGTTATCCAGGATGGAGCTCATGCTCATGGAATAGAAGTATTTTTAGAAAAAAATTGTATTGTTAGTTTCATTCCATAAACAGGTAATACTTTTTTTGGTAGAAAACAGAAGTCTCACAGACATGCACATGCACATACAATAAAAATTCATAATTCCAAAAACCAGAGGTAAATTCTTTTAATATTTTGGTGCAAATAGCATCCTAGAGTGTTTGTATGTGGATATAGATGAGTACAAAAGACAGCACAGCTTCTGCTTCTGGCCAACATGGAATAACAGGGCCTGGATTTACTCTCTTGCCTGGGATAGTCAAACAAAACAAAAATAAACCAAAACCAGACAAAACACATGGAACAATGGTAACCAAGTCACTGGATAACAGGCACAAAGGGACAGTGATCCCTGTGAGACGGGAAACAAATGCGGTGAGCTCTATGACTGCTCCAGCTCACTACCTCAAGAGAGCTTCCAGAGTGCAGTGCAGGGAGGGACGACCCTGGCCAAGCCCATGACACCCCCTGAGTTGAGAGGATGAAGCTGAAAGTCTGGGGAGACCAGGGCAGCGAGAGTCCAGAGAGGACACAGCTGAACCACAGAGATCCTCAGAGGGTCCCTTTGGAGTGTTCAGCAGAGTGTTCAGATCAGTGCATTCATGCGAGGAGACTACATGAGACCCGGGGAGAACAACCCAGAAAGATGAGAGGGACAAGTGCTTGACGCACACGACAGGAATAGTAATGATATCTGTTCTGCCAGGCAGACTGGAACCTCTTAATTTATGGAGCACTGGGTAGAGTACTCACAAGTGTCTTGCCTCAGTTATGAGGGGTAATTAACTATAAACTGAACACTGCTCTGCTTCCACCTAAGAAATCTTGAAACTAAGACCCCAAAGAACCAAACTGTTTCTAAGTATTTTAACTGCATCCTAGAACAAACGTCAAGAATATTTAGAGTGATACAAAAATATTCAACAACACACAGGGTAAAATTTGCAATGTCTGGCAACCAATCACTGATTATCAGGCATGTAAAGAAGCAAGAAAATATAACCTATGACAGCGATGATACAAACCATTTGAAACTAACGTAGAACAGGCACAGGTGTTAGAATTAGCAGACTAGGACATTAAAAGTGTTATTATAATGGTGTTACAGATATTCACCAAGTAGCAACATTAAAGATATTAAAAAAGCCCCACATCAAACATCTAGACATGAACATTACAATGTCTGAGATAGAAATACACTTGCTGGGATTAGTGGCATATTAAATATTACATAAGGAAAGATTAATGAAGACATAAATCCAAAATGAAATGGAGTAAAAAGATAATAACAAGGACTGAAAAGCATTAGTGAGCTATGGGAAAATTTCAAGTGGCCTAACATATGCAATTCTCATCTCTGAAGGAGAGAGGGGAACGGAAAAAGGCATCTGAAAAATGGTCCTAAATTCCAAATTTTATGAATGGTATAAACCCACAGAATCAAGAAGTTCAATGAAGCCAGAGCCCAAGAAACACGTAGAATACTACAGTAAGACACATCATAATCAAATTATTTGAAAGCAAGATGAAGAGAAAATCTTAGTTTCCAAAGAAAAAGACATGTTACAGGCGAGGAAACAGAGATAAAGACGACAATATATTTCTCTTTAGAGATAATGCACGTGTGAAGGCAACGGAGCAATACCTTTAAATACTGAAAGAAAACACCTGTGATCTCAGAATACTACACCCGGTGAAAATCTTTTTCTTATGTACAAAAAACAGACTTTTTCTCATATAGAAAAGCTAAAAAGAATGCATCAGCAGCAGACCCACATGGTAAGACATACTAAAGGAAGTCCTTAAGGCAGAAGGAAAATAACACCAAATGGAAACATGGATCTTCACAAAGTCATGAAGAATACTGAAAAGGGTAACTACATGGGGAAATTCACATAATTTAAAAAATTACTGGCCGTGCGCGGTGGCTCACGCCTGTAATCCCAGCACTTTGGGAGGCTGAGGCGGTCGGATCATGAGGTCAGGAGATCAGGACCATCCTGGTTAACAAGGTGAAACCCCGTCTCTACTAAAAATACAAAAACTTAGCCAGGCGTGGTATTGGGTGCCTGTAGTCCCAGCTACTCTGGAGGCTGAGGCAGGAGAATGGCGTGAACCCATGAGGCGGAGCTTGCAGCGAGCCGAGATCGTGCCACTGCACTCCATCCAGCCTGGGCAACAGAGCGAGACTCTGTCTCAAAAAACAAAAAAAAATTAAGCCACTTTGAGATAATTGTTTAAAGAAAACAGTAATGTAACATGTAAGTAGAATTGATGACAACAATAAAATAAAGCCTGGAAGGGAAGAAATTAAAGTATATTAATGTGTCAGGTGCGGTGGCTCACACCTGTAATCCCAGCACTTTGGGAGGCTGAGGCGGGTGGATCATGAGGTGTGGAGATCGAGACCATCCTGGCTAACACGGTTAAAACCCGTCTCTACTAGAAATCCAAAAAAAAAAAAAAAAAAACACTAGCTGGGCATGGTGGCACGTGCTTGTAGTCCCAGCTACTCAGGAGGCTGAGGCAGAAGGATTGCTTGAACCCAGGAGGCGGAGGTTGCAGTGAGCCAAGACTGTGCCACTGCACTCCAGCCTGGGTGAAAGAGTGAGACTCTGTCTCAAAAAAAAAAAAAAAGTATATTAATGTAAGATTTTTTATAGTATATGTAAACTAATATAATTTGAAGGTAGTCCGTGAAAGTTAAAAATGTATATGATAAACTCTAAAGCAACCGCTAAAAGGAAAAACAAAGAGTAACAGCTAATGCCAACAAAGAATATAAGTGGAATCATAAATAGTATTTATTTAATGGAATGGAATTTAGAAAAAAGGCAAAAGGAAGCAAAGAAATGGTGGAACAAATATAAAACAAATTGCAAGAGTTAAACCTAACTATATTTAATAATTACATAACATATAAATAGTTTAAATATCCCAATTAAAAAGCAGGGATTGTCAGATCAAACAAACAAGCCCCATCCAACTATAGATGCTCCTCAGCTAACTTTGGGATTACATCCAGATAAACTTACTGTAAGTTAAAAATATCATAAGCCAAAATGTGTTTAATATACCTAACCTACTGAACATCATAGCTTAGCCTAAGCCCACCTTAAATGTGCTCAGAACACTTACATTAGCATATAGTTGGGCAAAATCTAACACAAAGTCTACTTTATAATAAAGTGCTGGATAGCTCATGTAACTTATTGAATATTGTACATTACATCAAAGTTGAGATGCTTTTGCACCATTGTGAAATTGAAAAATTGTAAATGGAACCAAATTAAGTCAGGGAACATCTGCATTATGCTGCTTACAAGACACAAGTTTAAAATATAAAGATACAAGGCCAGGCGCGGTGGCTCATGCCTGTAATCCCAGCACTTTGGGAGGCCGAGGCTGGTGGATCACCTAAGATCAAGAGTTCAAGACCATCCTGGCTAACATGGTGAAACCCCGTCTCTACTAAAAGTACAAAATATTAGCCGGGCATGGTGGCAGGCACGTGGAATCCTAGCTACTTGGGAGACTGAGGCAGGAGAATCGCTTGAACCCGGAAGATGGAGGTTGCAGTGAGACAAGATCACCCCATTGCACTCCAGCCTGGGTGACGAGTGAAACTCCGTCTCAGGAAAAAAAAAAATGTCTCTCTCTCTCTCTCTATATATATACACACATATATACATATAGACACAAGTTAAAAGTAAAGGAATGGCAAAAGATTCATCAGAACAAAGTGGCTATATTAATATCTGACAAAGTAGACTGCAGAGCAAAGAATATTTCTAGGATTAAAGAACATTTCATCATAATAAAGGGGTAAATTCATATAGTGAACATAAAAATTACATTTATACAACCAATGACAGAGCTTTAAAATATGTGAAACTTGATAGTACTGCAGGAGGAATAGATAAATCCTTAATTATAGTTGGAGAGTTCAGTACAATTCTCACAATAATTGAAAGAACAAGTAGAGAGAAAATCTACAAGGATATAGAAAACTTCATTATTGTTAACTAACATGACCTAGTTGATATTTATAGAAAACGCCACTCAATATCAGAAGAATGTATATGTTTTTCCAACTGCACTTGAAACATTAACTGAAATGGATTCTAGGCCATAAGACAGATCTCAATAAACTTAAAAAGATTCAAGTAATATAAAATATTTTCTGTGACCACAGTTGAATTAAATTAGAATATAATAACAAGGATATGTGGAAAATCCTCAAATATCTGGAAACTAAATAACACACATTTCAGTAATCCAAGGGTCAAAGAAGAAAGTGAGATTGAAATTAGAAAGTATTTTTGTACTCATCAGCTTGGAATGCGATAACCAAATACCATAGACTGGGCAGCTTAAATAACAGCAATTTATTCCTCACAGTCGGGAGGCTAGAAAGTTCAAGATCCAGTGGATCTCATTCCCTGGTGAGGGCTGTCTTCCAGGCTTGCAGATGGCCGCTCTCTCACTGTGTCCTCATGTGGCAGGGAGGCGGGGAGAAGAGGCAGAGATGAAGCTCTCTGGTGTCTCTTCTTATACAGGCATTAATCCCAGTGTGAGGGCTCCACCCTCATGACCTCATCTAAGCCCTATCACCTCCAAAAGACTCCATCTCCTAATACCACCCCATTGAGGGGGCGAGGTAGGGCTTTGGCCACAGTACTTTCGGGGAAACACAATTCAGTCCCGAGCAATTTTGTGTTGAATTATAGTGAAAACAGAACATATCAGAATTTGTGGGATTCCTCTATAGCAGAAGTCAGTAGACTTCTTAAAAGGCCATATATAGTTAATTTTATAGACGTGTGGGCTGTATGGTCTCCATTGCAATTACTCAGCTGCACCACTATATAGCAAGAAAGCAGCCATAGACAACACATAAATGAATGGATATGGCTATATTCCAGCTCCACGTGTGCTAGTCCCTACTCTAAAGCAGTATTTAGAAGGAAATTTATAACACTAAACACCTGTATTTGAAAAGATGTGTCTCAAATCCATAACCTCAGCTTTATCCTATGGAATCAGAAAGAGAAATTAAACTAAAAGTAAGCAGAAGAAAAAAATATATACAGACTAGAAAAATAGGGAACATCAACGAAAGCAAAAGCTGGTTCTTTGACAAGATCAATAATATTGATAAACATCTCGCCAAGCTGATGAGGAAAATGAGACAGAAGATTCAAGTTACTAATATCAAGAATAAGAGTTGTTATATTACAACAGAGCATACAGACATTAATACTATTCTTAGAGAAGATCATGGACAACTCTATGTAAACTATTTGACAACTTAGATAAAATAAACAATTTTTTGGAAACACACACTCTTTAAAACTTCACTCAAGAAGAAGTAGGTAACCTGAGTAGCCCTGTATCTATAGAAGAATCAAATATGTAGTTAAAAACCTTCCCACAAAGAACAAAACAAACATAAACAAACAACTCAGGCTAAGATAGCTTCTTTGGTGAATTCTCCCAAATAGTTAAGGAAAAAATAATGTTATAATACCAATTCTATACAAAGCTTTACAGTAAATTGAAGAGGTGAGAATATTTCCCAATTAATTCTATGAGGCCTTGATATGTGAACTAGACAAAACCAGTATGAGAAAAGGCAACTATAGATAAATATTTCTTGTGAACATAGATTTAATATTTAAAAAATTAGTAAATCCAATTTAACAATATCTAAATAGGTAATACATCTTAACCAAGTAGAATTTATCCAGGAATGGAAGATTCTTATATTTGAAATATTAATCAATGTAATTTACTATACTAACAAACTAAATGAGAAAACCATATGATCATCTCAATAGATGCAGAAAAAACATTTGGCAAAATCCGATATCTATTACTGATAAAATCTCTCAAGAAACTAAGGATAAAAGAGAAATTCATCAACCCAATAAAGAACATCTGAGAATCTATAGCTAGCATCATACTTCATTGAGAATAACTGAATGATTTCCCTCTAACATCAGAAACAAGACAAGGATATCTGTTCTCACTATTTTTATTCAACATTTTATTGGAGGCTGTAGCTCACGTGATAATGCAAGAAAAGAAATACAAAGCATCAATATTGGTAAGGAAGAATTAAAAGTCTTTATTTGCGGATGACACAATCGTCCACGTAGAAGATTTGGTGCAGTCCACAAAAGAGCTCCTACAAATAAATAAATTTGACAAGGTTGCAGGATACGGAGTCCATATACAAAAATTAATGGTTTTCTATATTTAGCAATAAATAACTGAAAATTAAAATTTCACTTACAGTAGCACAAAACATATGCTGTATTCAGTATTGCATATGACCAAACATACGCAAGGCCTATATACTGAAAACTACAAAACTGCAGAGTAATTAAAGAAGATCTAAATAAATTAAGAGGTACACCTTGTTTATGGGCTGGAAAACTCAATATTGTTAAGCTATCCATTCTTTCCAAATTAATCTATAAATTCAAGCAATCCCCATCAAAACTATAGCAGGTTTTCTCTTTGGGTAGAAATTGACAAGCTGATTCTAAAATTTATACAGAAATTCAGAGTATCCAGAATGACAAAAAAAGAAAACAAAAACAAATGGAAAGGGCTAGTACTTCCTGACACCAAGATTTATTATAAAGTCTCAGTAACCAAGACAGTGGTTTTGGCATCAAGACAGACAAATAGATAAATGGAATAAAGTAGGGAGTGTAGATACAGGCCCACACATAAGTGAACTACTGATTTTTGACAAAGGTGCAAAGCCAAGTCAGCAGAGACAAGATAGCGTTTTCCACAAATTGTCCTGGAACAAATGTATATTCATATTCAGGAAAAATGAACTTTAGTCCACACCTCTCACTATATCCACAAATTAACTCAAACTGGATCATAGATGTAAGTGTAAAACCTAAAACCTTAATTTCTAGTGGAAAACCTAAGTTGTAGTAGAATAGGTAGAAAAATAGTTCAAGTGAAGATGTGGCTACTGTACTTCATTACACTCTTTAGAACTTGGCTTTCAACTTATTTTTTTTTCTTCTTTTTAAGACAATATTTAATGAATGCTGCAACAGTTTAACTCTCCTGACTAGCATCACATTAGTGTTAATGTAAAATCCTAGGCATGGTGTATTTCTTACACACAATCTGAATTAACTCTGCATCATTTTAAGCCTGCCCTTACAGTCCTAGATCGAAATATTCTGAACTAAACAATATGATATGACCCAAGACAGACACTGGCTGTGTTTCTACCAAGCCACGTAGAAAACTGAGGGCAAAGAGCAGTCTGTCAGACCATTGCTACAATCCTCCATGGCATATGACGAGCCTTTTTAAGATATCCAGGTTTTAAATACGATGGTAGGAAAGAAAGGTGAGGACCCTGGAGGTGAGTACACCCTATGGTCTTGCTGAGGCTCAGCCCAGGCTTGTCATACAATTTTCTGCCAAAGTGACATTCTCTGGGAAGATGGCCTTAGGACTGTCCTTATTTTACTGAAGACAGCATTCCTTGTCTTCTACTTAATGACTTTCTCTGAATTTGGGAATTAAACTGTAATGGAGTCTCACCCTATTGCCCAGGCTGGAGTGCAGTAGCGTGATCTTGGCTCACTGCAACCTCCGCCTCCTGGGTTCAAGCAATTCTCCTGCCTCAGCCTCCTGAGTAGCTGGGATTACAGGTGCATACCACCACGCCTGGCTAATTTTTATATTTTTAGTAGAGATGGGGTTTCACTGTGTTGCCCAAGCTGGTCTTGGAATTACTGACCTCAGGTGATCCATCTGCCTCGGCCTCCCAAAGTGCTGAGATTATAGGCATGAGCCGCCATGCCCGGCCTTGATTTTAATTTATTTCACAGTAGTTTGGAGATAAGGAAATACTTCTCTGTATGGAGACACAGATGCACTCATAGTTTCAGGGACAGTGTCTTCAGTAGAGATAAATTTATAAAGCCTCATTATCAATAGTGACAGCACAGCCATACATTTGCCTCACATGATGTGCATATTTATTTTGCATTGTTTACTTGTTCATCAAGGAACTCAAATAGGAAGAAAACAGATTATGAAATAAAACTTAAGTTTGAAATTAATTTTAAAATTATTCCTGAAGAGGAAGTCCTAGTCAGAGTAATCAGACAAGAGAAAGAAATAAAGAGTACCCAAATTGGAAAAGAGGAAGTCAAACTATGTCTGTTTGCCACTGATATGATCTTATACCTAGAAAAGTCTAGACTCCTCCAAGACTCCTAGATTTGATAAATGAATTCAGTAAAATCTCAGGTTACAAAATCAATGTACACAAATCAGTAGCACTGCTATATACCAACAATGACCAAGCCAAGAATCAAATCAAGAACTCAATCCCTTTCACAATAGCTACCAAAAAAATAAAATACCTAGGGATATACTTAACCAAGGAGTTGAAAGATGTCTAAAAGGAGAGCTACAAAACACTGCTGAAAGAAATCATAGATGACACAAACAAATGGAAATGCATCCCATACTTATGGATTGGAAGAGTCAGTATCACAAAATGACCATATTGCCCAAAGTAACTTACAGATTCAATGCAATTCCTATCAAAATGCCAATATCATTTTTCACAGAATTAGAAAAACCAATCTTGAAATTCATATGGAACCAAAAAAGAGCCTGAATAGCCGCCAAAGCAATCCTAAATAAAAATAACAAATCTAGAGACATCACATTACTCAACTTCAAATTATACTAAAAGGCTATAGTAACCAAAACAGCATGGTACTAGTATAAAAGTAGACACATAGAGCAATGGAACAGAATTGAGAACCCAGACATAAAGCCAAATACTTACAACCAACTGATCTTCAACAAAGTATACAAAAACATAAACTGGGTAAAAGACACTCTCTTCAGTAAATGATGCTGGGAAAACTGGCTAGCCACATGTAGAAGAATGAAACTGGATCCCTATCTCTCACGATATACAATATAACTGAAGATGGATTAAAGACTTAAATCTAAGACTTGAAACCATAAAAATTCTAGAAGAAAACCTATGAAAAACTCCTTTGGACACTGACCCAGGCAAAGAATTTAGGACAAAGACCCCAAAAACAAATGCTGCAGAAACAAAAATAAATGGGATCTAATTAAACTGAAAAGCTAATGCAGACTGGGCATGGTGGCTCACGCCTGTAATCCCAGCACTTTGGGAGGCCAAGGTGGGAGGATCACTTCAGGTCAGGAGTTAGAGACCAGCCTGGCCAACACGGTGAAACCCCATCTCTACTAAAAATAAAATAAAAAAATAGCTGGGCGTGGTGGTGCATGCTTGTAATCCCAGCTACTCGGGAGGCTGAGGCAGGAGAATCACTTGAACCAGGGAGGCAGAGGTTGCAGTGAGCCGAGATTGCACCACTGCACTCCAGCTTGGGTGAGAAAGAGAGACTCTGTCACAAAAATAAAATAAAATAAAATAAAATAAAATAAAATAAAATAAAATAAAATAAAATAAAATAACCATCAAAGTAAACAGAAAACCTACAGAATGGGAGACAATGTTTGCAAACTATGAATCTGACAAAGGACTAATATCCAGAATCTATAAGAAACTCAAACAAATTAGCAAGAAAAAAAAAATAATCCCAATAAAAAGTAGGCAAATGACATGAGTAGACATTTTTGAAGAAGATATGCAACTGGCCAAGAAACATATGAAAAAATGCTGAACATCACTAATCATCAGGAAATACAAATTAAAAGAATGAGATATCACCTTATTACAGCCAGAATGGCCATTATGGCCATTATTAAAAAGTCAAAAAACAATAGATGTTGGCACAGATGTGGTAAAAAGGGAATGCTTATACACTGCTGGTTTGAATGTAAATTAATACAACCCTTATGGAAAATACTGTGGAGATTTCTCAATGAACTAAAAGTATATCTACCATTCAATCCAGCAATCCAGTCACTGGGTATCTACCCAAAGGAAAAGAAGTCATTATATCAAAAAGACACCGGCACACTTATGTTTATCACAGCACAATTCACAACTGCAGAGATATGGACTCAACCTAAATGCCTATCAACAGATAAGTGGATAAAGAAAATTTGAGAGAGAGAGAGATATGCGTGTATATACACCCACACACACCATAGAATACTACTCAGCCATAAAAAAGAATGAACTAATGTCTTTTGCAGCAACTTGGATGGAACTGGAGGCCATTATTCTAAGTGAAGTAACTCAGAAATGGAAAAGCAAATACCGCATGTTCTCACATATAAGTGGGAGCTAAGTTGTGAGTATGCAAAGGCATACACTGGTAACGAGAACATTGGAGACTAGGAAGAGGGGAGGTCAGGAGGGGTTGATGGATGAAAAACTACATATTATGTACAATGTCCACTACTCTGGTGATGGGTGCACTAAAATCCCAGACTTCACCAGTATATAATTTATCCATGTAACCGAAAACCACTTGCACCCCTAAAGCTAATGAAAAAAAAATTCACAAAGAAAATGAATACTTATGTAGTTTGGAGGAATAATAAACAAATCAGCACTAGAGTTTGGAACAGTAAAGAAGTCACATCTGAAAACTCGTCCACATTTTCCGAGCATTGGGCAGAAACGACAGGAAGTTGTGAGGAAAGTTCTTGCCACCTACCATTGCTGCACGAGGCTTAGGTCTCTCAGGTCTCTTGGGATAACTCTCTGTCGGTGGAATTTCCAGCACTGGACAGGTAGGTAGGGAGGACCTCCAGGACCCACCACATGGACAACCACTTATTCCCCAGCCACAAGCCTCCCTTGGGTAAGCATGAGTCGGCCTGGCTGTAGCATCCACGCGCACCAACCCACTGCACCTTCAGCTCCTAACAAGCTGACAGGATAAAGTTTTACTTTGCTGGTTACATTTGCTCCTTTATGCCTGTTCTACAGAGACTCACCATGGTGAGCAAAACTATTCAACTATCTTTAAAATAATACCTGAAAAGTCTCTTGAGGGAAGCGTGCCCCTATGCTTCTGAATAGCATCTTTGTAAGAAGACAGGTTTCCCTTCATGCCCCACGTTGTGTACTTGGATGCTTTTTATACTTTTCCCACTATACTGTGCGCTGGGCTTGCTGGGACATTCTTCCCGTTTTCCCACCATGCCATGCGTGCTGGGGCGTTCTTCACGTTTTCCCATCATGTCTTGCATGCTGGGAGGTTCTTTCCGTGTTCTCACCATGCCGGGCATGCTGGGGCGTTCTTCAGGCTTTCCTGCCATACTGTGCTTGCTGGGACATTATAATTATGTTTTCCCACCATGCCTTGCATGCTGGGGCATTTTTCACGTTTTCCCACCATGCCGTGCTTGCTGGGGAGTTCTTCAGGCTTTCCCTGCCGTACTGTGCATGCTGGGACGTTCTTTACGTTTTCCCATCATGCCGTGGGTGCTGCCACGTTCTTCCTGTTTTCCCACCATCCCATGTGTGCAGGGACGTTTTTCACGTTTTCCCACCATGCCATACGTACTGGGGTATTCTTCAGGCTTTCCCTGCCATACTGTGCATGCTGGGATGTTCTTTATGTTTTCCCAACATTCTGTGTGTGCTGGGATGTTTTTCACGTTTTCCCAGCATGCGTTCTTCAGGCTTTCCCTGCCGTACTGCGTATGCTGGGACATTCTTAATGTTTTCCCACCATGCCGTGTGTGCTGGGGCGTTCTTCAGGCTTTCCCTGCCATACTGTGCATGCTGGGACATTCTTCATGTTTTCCCATCATGCTGTGCGTGCTGGGACATTCTTTACATTTTCCCACCGTGCTGTGTGTGCTGGGACCTTCTTCATATTTTCCCACCATGCCGTGCCTGCTGGGGCGTTTTTCCTGCGTTCCTGCCATGCTGCATGTGCTGTGAAGTTCTTTGGCTTCTCCTCCACTACTGCTTTTCCCCCACTCCCTTGGGTGTTAATTGAGACAGTGTCTCTCTCTTGTGGGCCCTGCTCTGCCTCTCTGGCCCCCTCTGAATTTCCTTTATGGGGTTTTTTTTTTGGTTTGTTGGTTTCCACACACCTATTTAATATCTGTGGGCTCAGGGGTCTTCGTTTTTGACCTTTTTCTCCTCTCAGATCAGCACTGGCTAGCAAAGCTCATCCCCTCCGTGGCTTGCTCCGTTTTCAGCTTGCTGGGATCTGTGTCTCTGCCAGAGGCTCTTCCTTTAGACCCATGTGTGCCAGGACCCCTGCACCTATGCTTGATGGATCCCTTACAAGCAGCGAGACCCACACCCCCGTCTGGCCCACACGCATTCCTGCAGTGCTGGGTCCTCTCCTTACTGGCCATCTAGACAGGATTATATTTTCAAATTACACCATGCATATTTTACTAAAATATTCAATAGATTCAGCTAAACACTTCATAAGAAGCTTTTTTTTTTTTTTAAATTTTCACATGGAAGAATTCAAGAAATCATTTTGGCTTGAGCCCCTCCTTTGCAACCTAATGGACCATTTTGACTTGTCACAGAGCTAGCCTGAAGCGTCATTCCTAGAAAATGATATTGGTGGGCCAGAAGTCCCTCAGGCGTGTCCCCTTAAATGTATGTAGATTATGAATCTGGGAATGTTCTGATCTGATTGAGGGTTCCTCTTTTGTTTGGTTTACGTGCCTAATATTTGGCCATTTAATCCATCAAATGAGGACAGTGGGGAAAATTAAGAAGAAAATGACTGAGTGGAGCCTATAATAAAACAATACAAAGCAGAAGTGGCACCTTGAAGCAGAAAGAGCGCATTTAGGCGCTGAATTGATGTGAGTGTGCTGGTGGATAGTTTTGTTACTGGGAACACAGACGAGAGTCTAGGAAATTACAGAGGCATGTAAAAGCAGCAGGGTGTCCCAGATACCTGCGCCTAATAAGCTTAGTGCAAACATCTGCATCCCACTGCACACTGCATCTGCCTGTTTCCTAAAGTGATCAGTTTGGATTTTTCCCTTATCATTGCTCTTTTGATGAATCCACCCATCGCAAGTCTAGTAGCAACCAAATGCTTCACTCAGTGCTGTGTCATTTTGCTGTGGACGCACACCCAGGACCTCCTTACTTTTTTTTTTTTCTTTTATCTACTCATCACTTTTTTCTCCAATTGCCCCAACATTTCAAATGGGGCAAAACTTTATAGTTATTATGTTCTAGAGGGACCAAGAATTACTCAGGATATAGGTACTTCTGTCTTCTTGGGACATTTTCTCTAAAAAATATTAACAATTGCATTTCATGACCCAGCTAGTGTATAAATATATTAGTACTATAGTTTAAATCATTTTCTCTGACGCAACAGTTCCTTTTTTTTTTTTTTTGCCTCTGAGTTTAGAAGAATTTAAAACAGTTTCATAAGCCCCTAAAAGTATCGTGGATCTTTTTCAGATATCTGGGGTATGAATTATAGAGATAAACACAAAATTCAATGTAATACCCCCATTGAAGAACTATCGGGAAAGTGGTGAATTCTTCTATATGATCACCCAAAGCATTCCATGAGTCCCGCCTCTGTGTGGTTTCCCTGCCATCTGTCCAGGAATTAGCTTATATAGCTCCACCTGTCATTTGTAATGCTGTTTTCAAGGACAACCATTGGATGTGCCGGTAACTGCAAGGGATTAAGCATTTCAGATTATTGTATATTGGCAAGCTCTAAACTTTTACACAACTTCATTGATAATGGCCTCTAGTTGTGTTGTATCTTTAATAATGTTGAAAGTGATTTCACATATTTTCTAAAAGTGAGAGGAAAAATACATAAATTTTAATAAGGAACAATTAATATAGTTTAAATCACTCAAACCCAGACCTTTGGAAGGTGATTTTCCAAACTCCCAACGTGGGATCCTCACTAACGTTCTGTGTGACTTGCCACCCCTCTACCTATGTAAGAGGTTCCTAAGGGTCCCAAGGCAGAGCTGGACTGCCCGTGGTCCCTCCCACCCTGCCCCTGTCATTCCCCATGGTCGTGCATTGTCACTGTGCCTCTGACCCCCTTTGTGGCACCTGTGATTCATGGACACTACAGAAAAGACCTTGAGTTCTTGCCAGATGGCCAGCTTCATGGGGATAAGAGCCTCATCTGTCCTGCTGGGGGCTCAGGAGGTGCCTGCACAGATGTGCTGAAGGTGTAAAAGCACATGGTCTGTGAAAGAACAGAACCAACCAATGACGCTGCTGACTTACTCCAGGACGTCTGTGAAAGAACAGAACCAACCAATGACGCTGCTGACTTATTCCAGGACGTCAGCGAAAGAGCAGAACCAACCAATGACGCTGCTGACTTATTCCAGGACGCCAGTGAAAGAACAGAACCAACCAATGACGCTGCTGACTTATTCCAGGACGTCAGTGAAAGAACAGAACCAACCAATGACGCTGCTGACTTATTCCAGGACGTCAGTGAAAGAACAGAACCAACCAATGATGCTGCTGACTTATTCCAGGACGTTTGTGTGTGAAAGAACAGAACCAACCAATGACGCCGCTGACTTATTCCAGGACAAATCAACCTAGTGGGGATTTGCCCAACTCTAAAGATACCCTCAGTGGCCGGCCACGTGCAGAGCCCTAGGCAGGCAAAGGAAGCGTGCCGGGAAGGAGAGGTTCCTGCTTGAGTCCCTGCGGCTGGTCCCCATGCTCTAAGCGATCCCAGCCCTGATGGGCCCTGAGTGCCCTGCAAAGGGCTGTGCTCTCCAGCCACGAGGACACTTTCAAACCGATGGCAGGGACTTAAATGAAGTGTTTAAAAATTCAACTTACCTTTAAATGGGCAAATATTATCATATAGTTTAGTATTTTGTCCCATTCAGTCTTTTTTCACCCTATCTTGGGGAAGGCATCAATCTAGTGGTGAAGATGGACCAAGCCAAGGTTGAGTTAGATGTGGTAGCCTGTTTTTGTTTCTTCCTATGATGGCTTGTCATTTGTGTAAGAATTGGTTTTTGGTTTTCGACATGAAAGAAACAAACGTTAACAATTTTCAAAATCATGGTAAGGAATCCGTGGTCTTTCGTGGGCTTTGTGTTGGGCTCCAGGACCTCTGCCTAAGGTCCTGGAACTCCTGGTGAGCCCCTTCCCTCCTGGGCTCTGGCCCTCCCTGGACCCTGACTCAGGGAGCTGCTGCCTGTGCGGAGGAAAGGCCCGTCTTCCGTTTCTTTTTGTTTGTTTGTTTTGAGACGGAGTCTCGCTCTGTCGCCCAGGCTGGAGTGCAGTGGCATGATCTCGGCTCACTGCAAGTTCCGCCTCTCGGGTTCACGCCATTCTCCTGCCTCAGCCTCCCGAGTAGCTGGGACTACAGGCACCCGCCACCACGCCCAGTTAATTTTTTGTATTTTTTAGTAGAGACAGGTTTTCACTGTGTTAGCCAGGATGGTCTCCATCTCCGGACCTCGTGATCCACCCACCTCGGAAAGTGCTGGGATTACAGGCGTGAGCCACCATGCCTGGGCTGCCATTTCATTTCCCCTTGTTTATTTCCAGGGCCTGGACTTTGCCGGATTCACTGCACACATGTTCATTGGGATTTGCCTTGTTCTCCTGGTCTGCTTTCCGCTCCTCAGACTCCTTTACTGGAACAGAAAGCTTTATAACAAGGAACCCAGTGAGATTGTTGGTGAGTACAAGTGCAACCTCATGTAGGCTCAGATTTCATGACCATAATATTGTTTGTTTACCAGGAGAAGTTCTTATTAGGAAGTATCTGTTGATGGGTTGCTGGATGCTCAATACCAGTGACTCTCCACGTCCACCTTCTAGTATACACTGTTTTCAGGGCTGCTATCATGAGCTGTGCCTCTTTAGTTTTCTGTGAAGTGTACTGTGGTAAAATGTGGGAAGTAATGGCCACCATGTACAACTCACATGTCATAACCCCCTAAAGCCACGTGTATATGGTACAAATACACTAACATATAGACTGCAGTGCTCTAATAGTGTATCATAGCTTGAGTCTTAAATATGACTGGAAATAACAGCAACATAACCCAGCACAGGAGGTGATGGGCCCTGTCAATCAAGAGCACATGCTAGGCCAGGCACGGTGGCTCACGCCTGTAATCCCAGCACTTTGGGAGGCCAAGGTGGGCGGATCACCTGAATCAGGTCAGGAGTTCGACTCCAGCCTGGCCAACATGGTGAAACCCCGTCTCTACTAAAAATACAGAAATTAGCCGGGCATGGTGGCACAGGCCTGTAATCCCAGCTACTCAGGAGGCTGAGGCAGGAGAATTGCTTGAACCCAGGAGGTGGAGGTTGCAGTGAGCCAAGATCGTGCCACTGCACTCCAGCCTGGGCGACAGAGTGAAACTCTGTCTCAAAAACAAACAAACAAACAAACAAACAAACAAACAGCAGATGCTGAGCACCAGCCAGCAGGATGAGGGCTTAGGGCCATCTTATCGTTTTGCATTTTCATCACTAAAACACTTTAGTAGATGTTTTACTGAGATCATTACTGATTAGAATATATTAGGAACAATAGATTATTTGGGAAACAAGCAGCCTTTCCTTGACGAGCTCCAGAATATGGATGCTGTGCAGGTTGCCTGGGTAACAGGGGCATCAGGCGACCAGAGCTCAGCAGATGAAGGCGCTCTTCTTTGGGAATTTGTAGAGCTCACGGATTGCATGTTGATCTCTCTCAGCCTTTGTGATTCTGCTGGCCTGTGTTTTACAGGATCTCAGTTTGTCTTTGTTCTGGATAAGATACCCAGATTCCATTTCCACATGGGTGGCTGGAGGCCACGACATGGTCCTGCCATACTCCAGTTCCTCCGATGCTGACTGTCCAAGACAGATCTGTGTGACTTTCATGTTATTCAGAATTTGAGTATTTAAAAAATCTCATTAAGAAAACATTGTTTTGCATTCCTCCTCAGGATTCATCTGTCAAAACAAGCTTGTTCTTGGGAATATCTACTCATCTTACCTGGGGGCTGGACCTAGTTCAACCCATAACAACTAGTTAGAGGTGTTTAGAATGTTTTATAATCAACTAATATATGCAAAGTAAGATAAATTAATATATAGGTTTCTTTTTCTGATGAAAATGTTAGAACTAAGGGAGAGTGAAGGAGACTGTGATCGTGGTGGATAATTGTCCTGTCTCTTGGAGCTTGTGTGTGCACAGCTGTGTCTTAGTGGAGAGCTCAACCGTCATCCTGCCCAACTATGCCAGCCTCTCCCAACCTCCCTGGTGATCACAGTGACCTGGGACAATTGTTGTATATGCAGATTTTCAGCGTCATCCCCAGGAATTCTGTGTTGTTAGTAAGCTGTCCTGAAGAGTCTAATCTTGAGATGAATTTGGGATACACAGATTTAGACACACAGAAAATAATCTCTGTAATGAATTCCTCACCGTTCCTGAGTAAGGAACAGAGAAAAGCTTCGAGGGAAGTGGGGAGTGATGGTTGGAAGTGGACACACCTGGTGATGCAGGAACCCTATGGCCGGGCTAAGACCAGCAGTGCAAGGTGGGGTGATTGCTCTGTGCCACTGTGGGGCTTAGAGGGCTCCAAATTTGGAGTGGTGGGTAAAACTGCAGATTCCCAAGCCCCACTCAAGAGATCTGAGTTTAGCAGGCCTGTGGTGGTGTACAGAGCATTGTCAGAACAGGCTTGGTTATGTTGCAGTGAAAAAGTAACCCTGAAATCTCAGTGACTTCCAGAACTGTGTTTTCTTCCTTGTGTTGGCTTTGTACCCCCCGCCCCCTCCCCAATGGACTGGCAGGGGCCCTGATCATCATCTGTTCTTAGAGTCCTGAGCGGCTAGCCTTGAAGGCAAAGAGAATAGCATGGTCCCATTCTGCCATCCAGTGACACAGGCAGGCCCCACCCAGTCACAAGGGACCAGGACAGGCCAGCCTGCCAGGTGCTCAGAATGGGAGAGAGCATGACTTACATGGTGAAAAGAACAATAATCACCAGAGCCTATCCCTCTGATCACCAAATGTTCAACTCATGCTGCTTCTTGCTAATACTTTGTTTAGCATTTTGTTTTTGTGTACATTAGGGATCTTGATTGTAGTTTCCTTTCTTGTAATGTCTTTTTTGTTGTCCTCATAGGAGGAATATGGAAATATTTCCTCATCTTCAATTTTTTGGAAGAATTTCTGTAGAATTGCTATTACTTTTTTCTTAAATGTTTATTTGGACATTTATAGGCCTGGATGTTTTTGTGGAAAGGTTTTTAACTACAAATTCAAATCCCTTAATATACATATAGGGATGGCTATTCAAGTTATCTGTTTCTCCTTGAGTGTTGACTGGTAGTTGGTGTCTTTCAAGGAATTTGTCCATTTAATCTAAGTTGTTGAATGTATTGTTATAAAATTGTTCATAATATTCTTTCATTATCCTTTTAAGGGCTATCAAATTTTTGATAATGTCATATCTCTCATTCCTGATGTTGGTAGTTTGATAGTTTGTGTCTTCTCTCTCTCTTTGGTTGGTTTATCAATTTTATTGATCTCAAAGAACCAGCTTTTGATTATATAGATTTTTCTCTACAATTTTTTTCTCTTTTAATAATGTCTATTGTGCTCTTTATTTATTTTTTTTCTGCTTACTTTCAGGCTTGCTTATTTTTTCACTGGTTTCTTAAAGTGGAGGCTAAGGTTATTGATTTTATGTGCATCTTATTTTCTAATATAGGCCTTTAGTGCTCTAAATTTCCTTCTAAGTATTACTTTAGTGGCCTCTCACTAATTTATTATTTTTATTTCATTTTCATTCAGTTCAAATTATCTTATAATGCATCTTTTTATTTTTTCTTTGATCCTTGGATAATTTAGATGGTTTATATACCTTCCAAGTATTTGGGAAAGTTTTTGCAGTTACCTAATTTAGTTCCACTGTAGTAAGAGAATATATTTCATAAATCTTGAATCCTTTAACATTTATTGAGGCTTGTATGGCTATAGAATGTGGTCTACCTTTGTAAACATTCTGTGTGCACTAGAAATGAAAACGTATTCTGCTCTTGTTAGGAGGGATGTTCAGTGATGTCAATTATATAGCTTAGGTCAGATTGGCTGATAATGTTATTCAAGTATTCTATATTCTTGCTGATTTTCTATCTACTTGTTTAATTATTGAGAGATGGATACAGACGTGTCTAAGGTTGATTATAGATTTGTTTATTTCTCTTTGTAATTCTATTATTTTGCTTTATGCATTTTAAAAGTTTACTATTAGGGCACATAAATATTTAGGATTGTTCTTTCATCTTGATGATTTAACACCTTGCTATAAAAACAATCTTTGCGATCCATGATAATATTCTTTGCTCTGAAATATACTTTGTTGTTAATATAACAATTTCATTTTTCTCTTGACTAGTGTTAGTGTGGTGTATCTTTTTCCATCTTTTTACTTTTAACTTATTTATATCTTTAAAGTACAGTTCTTGTAAGCAGCATATATTAGCATCCTGATTTTTTATCTACTCTGATAGTCTGTCTCTTAAACCATTTATATTTAATGTGCTTAGTGATGCGATTGAATTTAAGTGTAACATCATATTATTGTTTTATATTTGTGCTTCATTATTACCCTTTTCTTCATTTATGCCTTCTTTTGAATTAATTGAGTATTTAAATACATTCTATATTTTCTCCTCTGTTGGTTGTTACTTTTTTTGGCTTTAATTCTGTTTTGTGATTTTAGTGACTATTATACCACTAACTTTGAGCGATATTATACTACCTAACATACAGTAGAAGAACTTAACACTAGTATAGTTCCATTTCTCTCTTTCTGGCCTAGGCTTCTTCTCCTGAGATTCCCAGCTCTGAGCTCACTACTCTAGGCTTCCCTGGAAGCCATCACCTCCTGTGTCAGAGCACATCCCACACGGCACTTTCTTTGCCTGTTTGAAACATGTATGTGGCCACTCTAAGTAATACCATCAGAAGTTGGTTGAGAAGCTCAGAAAGATAGAGGCTGATAGAGAGGTAAGACATGGGATATCTGATGATGTCTCCTAGTAAGAGGCTAGGGTGGCAAAGACAAAGAGTTGAAACTTATATGGCAGAATCAGAGCTCACAATGGTGCTGGGCATTTGGGGTTTTGAGTCTTCTCTGAAGATCTTTGACATCTTTAGCTTTATTCTACAGGCCACGGGGAACTACTGGATATTTGAAAGAAGGAATTTATCTGTCTATCTTCTATTTATCTATCTGTAATCTATCATCTAATCTAGGAAATGATAGATCTAGGAAGATGATAGCTAGATAAATATCAGTCATCTTCCTATCATCTGGGAAATAGATTTATTTTGTTTTATTATTTTAATTAATTAATTTAAAAATGTTTAAATTATTTTTATTTTTATTTATTTTATTTTATTTCTCAATTACACTTTAAGTTCTGGGATATATGTGCAGAATGTGCAGGTTTGTTACATAGGTATACACATGCCATGGTGGTTTGCTGCACCCATGAACCTGTCATCTGCACTAGGTATTTCTCCTAATGCTATCCCTCCCCTAGCCCCCAACCCTCCGACAGCCCCCGGTGTGTGATGATCCCCTCCCTGTGTCCATGTGTTCTCATTGTTCAACTCCCACTTATGAGTGAGAACATTCAGTGTTTGGTTTTCTGTTCCTGTGTTAGTTTGCTGAGAATGATGGTTTCCAGCTTAATCCATGTCCCTGCAAAGGACATGAACTCATCCTTTTTATGGCTGCATAGTATTCCATGGTGTATATGTGCCACATTTTCTTTATCCAGTCTGTCATTGATGGGCATTTGGGTTGGTTCCAAGTCTTTGCTATTGTGAACAGTGCTGCAATAAGCATACGTGTGCATGTGTCTTTATAGTAGAATGATTTATAATCCTTTGGTTATATACCCAGTAATGGGATTGCTGGGTCAAATGGTATTTCTGGTTCTAGATCCTTGAGGAACCGCCACACTGTCTTCCACAATGGCTGAACTAGTTTACAGTTCCACCAACAGTGTAAAAGCATTCCTATTTCTCCATATCCTCTCCAGCATTTGTTGTTTCCTGACTTTTTAATGATCATCATTCTAACTGGAGTGAGATGGTATCTCATCGTGGTTTTGATTTGCGTTTCTCTAATGACCAGTGGTAATGAGCTTTTTTTCATATGTTTGTTGGTCGCATAAATGTCTTCTTTTGAGAAGTGTCTGCTCATATCCTTTGCCCACTTTTTGATGGGGTTGTTTTTTTCTTGTAAATTTGTTTAAGTTCTTTGTAGGTTCTGCATATTAGCCCTTTGTCAGATGGATAGATTACAAAAATTTTCTGCCATTCTATAGGTTGCCTGTTCACTCTGATGGTAGTTTCTTTTGCTGTGCAGAAGCTCTTTAGTTTAATTAGATCCCATTTGTCAATTTTGGCTTTTGTTACCATTTTTTTTTTTTTTTTTTTGAGATGGAGCCTTGCTCTGTCATGCCCAGGCTGGAGTGGAGTGAAGCAATCTTGGCTCACTGCAACCTCCACCTCCTGGGTTCAAGCAATTCTCCTACCTTAGTCTTCCAAGCAGCTGAGATTACTGGTGCCTGCCACCATGCCCAGCTAATTTTTTGTATTTTTAGTAGAGTCAGAGTTTCACCATATTGGCCAGGCTGGCCTCGAACTCCCGACCTCAGGTGATCTGCTCGCCTCAGCCTCCCAAAGTGCTAGGATTACAGGCGGGAGATAGATACATAGATACATAGATAGATAGATAGATAGATAGATAGAGCAAATGGTGTTTTATGATTAAGCAGGGGCAGGTTTATAGCAAGTGACTGTAGTTAAAGGTTACTAAGGAACAATAAGAATTAAGAAATGTGAGAGGGTGAGGCCTGGACAAGAAGGTAACCTAGGACAGGAAGAAGCAGACAAGGCAAGAGCTGTGCCAGCATATCCTGGGTGGCTCTTGAGGCTCACACTACCCTAGCGTATGTTTATTTATGATATATCTTATATCTCTTTCCAGTTTTGGAAGGCCATCTTGTAACTTACCAATGAAATTTTATCCTTTAGCATCAAACACAGATCTGACACCTGTGACACAATAATGTTAATGTGGAAATATAAAAGAGAATGACATTGACAAGACCAGGATGACATTTCAGTCTTGTGTACCTGGAAGAGCAATTGCATTATATAAAAACTAAGAAGGTAAGGGTAGGAGAGAAACTTTATGGGAGGAAGATAAAGTGTTTAGCTATGAGTTTGCAGCACAGGGTTCAGAGGGAAATATTGGGTAGCCAGCTGGGTCTATGGTCTTGGACCTCAGCAGAGTAGACAGGGTGGGGAAATGACAGAGGAGGTGCAGAGGAAGCCTGGGAACTGATACATGGACAGGTTTTGGTAAACTGAGTTCTGGGTGAACCCTTCTGGGCAAAATCCCTCCCGACTAAATTCCTTCATAATTTGTATATTACATTCCACAACTAGGAATACAAAAGTGTACTACCTGAGTATTAATGCGTGGGTTGATCTGAGTGGAGCAGCACTTCCTTTTTGGTTTTATGGGTTAGAAGGCAGGTAGGTGCTGGGTGTGCATGAAGGTGGCTGAGGCTCCACTGGAGAGTAAGCACCTGCAGTAGTCGCACAGAGACTGGGAGGTCAGCTCCACCAGCATAGCCTTGGTTCCCAGGCTTTGCTTCTCCAAACATAAAGGCATGGAGAGACTTCCAGCCCGCACCCAGGGGCTGGCACCAGAGATGAACCACGCAGAGGTGTGAGCACTTTAAAGCTGATCAGCTGCTTCAGAAAGTGGCCCTTCACCGTGATGCCTTTAGAGAATGGCTGGAAAGTCTCTGGTACTTTATGGACGGGCTTTTAGCAAGATTTAGAGCACTGGATGAAATACTGGCTCTGTCTGAACTTACATTGGAGACCTTCCACAGATGGTGTTTTTGTGTTCAGTGTTTCAGAGAGTGAGTTCATTAGTTTTTTCCTTCACTTCCTCTTCCCCTTTCTTTTTATGTTATCATAGCCTCATAGGTGGTTTAACGAAGTGTGAGACTTTTCAAGAGGAAATTTTGGATCTGTTTCTCTGAAGAGGCCTTTGAATTATACCCAAGTTCCTTTTATTTTAGTAAGCTACAAAGCATCCATATGTACTGAATGAAAACATATTATGTATCTTAGTTCTAAAGGTTTTCATCTTGGTAGGGCTGAAGCTTTAGAGAAAGCCATGTGCTAACTGAAATAGTTCTGGTGCTCCCAGGCTCTGCGCATTCTCTCTGAGTCATGACATGCTTCGTTTCCAGACTGCCTCCCTCTGCCTAACTCATCTTTGTTGTTGCAGTAGGTCTGCCACGCAGTGGGTGATGAGCACTCACGTACTGAACAGAAGGGGCTTAAAAGGTGGCGTTTTCCCATTCCACTGAACCCACGATGTTCATGCTGCTTCCCAGGTCTTCGGGTGATCACCATGCCTTGAATCTGCCCCGAGCTGCTCTTCCAGTGCCCCAGCGCCTGCTTGAAAGGCTTTGTCTTTTCATCCTATCTTTAATTCTTGCTATAGGCAGTGTGGAGTATTGCACGTAAGGGATGGTTCATGAAAATATTGTGCTTTCTTATATTCTTTTAATGGATATTTTGAGAAACATATGTAATGTTTTTAACAGTAAAATAGAGGTTAAATGTAGGTTTTCATGAAATATTTGAATATCTTAAGAGGCAATGAATTGACACATCATTTCCTCTCTACTCTTCTCTATCAGAAGGTGTCTGAATTCAGTGATGGGTGAAAATTCTGCTCATTCTATAGATTTCAGCATCTCATCAAGTCATCTACCTCTCTCTTTCGCCTGTGTCAGAGACAGCTCAGTGGCGCCTGGTTGGAGGGCGCCTCCCTGTCTTCTGCTGCTTACCAAATGCCCTGTTGGAGAGCGCTGAGCACCTTCTCCTGAGAATTACACTTGTGTTTTCAATTTTCACTAGATCTGCTCCTGAAACCCCTCAAAGATTGGGCAATGTCTAGATTTTGGCTGGAAGCAGATCCGAAATATTTCCTGCAAGAAGGGGAAATGTTGTTGGGTGCTAGCTTTGATGTGTTGGTTCAAGAAAGGAATTTATTCTTCACTGAAAGTGTTGAAATTGCATTACTTCGCTTTCGTGATAATTTTTTTTTTATTACACTTTAAGTTCTAGGGTACATGTGCACAACGTGCAGGTTTGTTACGTAGGTATACATGTGCCATGTTAGTGTGCTGTACCCATTAACTCGTCATTTATATTAGGTATATCTCCTAATGCTATCCCTGCCCCCTACCCCCACCCCACAACAGGCCCTGGTGTGTGATGTTCCCCTTGCTATGTCCAAGTGTTCTCATTGTTCAATTCCCACCTATGAGTGAGAACATGTGGTGTTTGGTTTTTTGTCCTTGCAATTTGTGATAATTTTTAAATGTCGGCTTTGTCGTCTGGGCTCCATTGCAATAGCTCAGGTGCTGAGAAGCTCTGGGTGACCCTGGGCTACCTGCACGTCTCGAGTGTGTGTCTGCTCTGTCAGGCATCGACTGTGTGGGGAACAGAGGAGGGTGTTGCTGATATCTGAGGTCATGGGAGACCCAAGCTTCGCCTTCCTTTCTCTGCAGAACTGAAGCACGAGATTCACGTCTGGCGCCTGACTGCTCAGCGCATCAGCCCGGCCAGCCGCGAGGAGACAGCTGTGCGCCGCCTGCTGCTGGGGAAGGTGCTGGCACTGGAGCACCTGCTCGCCCGGAGGCTGCACACCTTCCACAGGTACCGGGCGGGGTCCTGCTCAGACTGTGCTTGGTGTGCAGCAGAACATTCCATGGGCCTACAAAATAGCGACATTAGCTGTATACTAATACGTGATATTTAGGTGACGCACACTGTGCTAAGCCTCTTATAGTACATTTTATCTAACCCTCACTGAGCTCTGCAGGGGGTACACAGCCGAGTTTAAGGACCAAAGAAACAACACAAAACCAGAGGCTCAGAGAATTTGAGCGGCGTGCCCAGGGTTGTGCAGCTCGGAAGGAGTGGCACTGGGGATGGGGCTCTCACTGTCAACCGCTGGGCTGTCCCATCTCTCTACATTGTAATTGTTGCACGACAAAAACCAAAAACCATTAATGCAAAGACTAATTTGACAAAATATTCTGCCAGCAGTTGATTTTCAGGCACCTGCAAGAATATGAAAGCCCCACTCAATTTGTTTCCTGGCATTCGTTGTTAATTGAAGCTGAGATTTAAAGGGTAACCATGAATTGGTGGTTTTTCTCCTTGCTATGACATGTTGCTGAGTTCCAAGCAGTCTTTGTTCTGGAAGCTCAGACAGAAGAAGCAGGAGCCTGGTGGCCCCCCAAGGGATGCTGAAGCTGAAGCGTCCCCACAGCTGAGCTGAGAGGGGGTGGAGATGTCCATCTAGGCAAGGGGAAATGTGAACCCTTATGAACAAAATCTAGAATGGTCTTGCCTGTTGCCATTCGCTGTGCACTGAGGGGTCACCCTGCATGGGTGTCTCAAGGTCTGGTCTGTTAGTGGGAGGATTCACAGGCAGTCACATGGAGTCCCACACAATCCCGGGATGAAGTGCCGGCTCAGTGCCATTGGCTTCATCCCCGGTCCGGGACCCATCTCGCCCAGTAATGCTGGAGCAGCAGGACCAGTGTCCTCAGGCCACAGGGAGGCCCTGAGTTACAGGCTGGGGAAAGAATGACCAACTTTGGCAGCAAGCACAGATCTTAAAGGAGACGCTTCATAAACTAAAGATGGAATAAATTGTGCTGGTGTTGGGTGTTAAAGACACACTCAGTGCATCTCAGGTTACAAACATGAGGAAACATGTGGGCTCCGAGGCTCACCACGTTCCCATCAGCTCCTCTGGTGTTAGTCACACATGAGGAAACAGACCTGGGGAGGGCGTGGCTTCCCAAGGCCACACAGTTGCTGAGAAGCAGATTACCATGAGGGTGTCCTAAAGCAAGGTCGAGCTCTGCAGGTTTTATTTTTTTGAGACGGAGTTTCGCTCTTGTTCCCCAGGCTGGAGTG
The DNA here is from genome assembly GCF_000001405.40 of Homo sapiens. Lineage (NCBI taxonomy): Eukaryota > Metazoa > Chordata > Mammalia > Primates > Hominidae > Homo > Homo sapiens. Next base: position 27,956,312 of record NC_000015.10, on the reverse strand, counting down.
CAGTGGCATGATCTCGGCTCACTGCAACCTCTGCCTCCTGGGTTCAAGTGATTCTCCTGCCTCAGCCTCCCGAGTAGCTGGGATTACAGGCATGTACCAACCCTCCTGGCTAATTTTGTATTTTTAGTAGAGACGGGGTTTCTCCGTGTTGGTCAGGCTGATCTCGAACTCCCAACCTCAGGTGATCCGCCTGCCTCAGCCTCCCAAAGTACTGGGATTATAGATGTGAGTCACCACGCCCGTCCTGCAAGTCTTATTTTTACATTTTCTTTTTAAAAATTGTCCTCAGAATCATTCGACTGTGTCTGCTGTGATTTCTTACGACCCAGACTGCCTGTGTGGTCAGCCTCTTTTGATACTAAAACTGCATTCTTCATTGTGCAGCCCCTTTTCCCTAATTGGTTTGGGAGGAAGTCAGCCAGGAGGGGTGGGCTGAGTCAGAAACATGAAAAAGAAGAGGCAAGTGGGAGCCACTGAAGGGGCTGAAACAGGCGGGAGGAGACCACCCCGGCAGGAGCAGCATGGACAGAAAAGACTTCAAAGCTGATCTTCCCCAACTGCTGGCCTCAAGTGATCCTTCCCCCTCGGCCCCCCAAAGTCCTAGGATTTCAGGCGTGGAAGTGATCATCGATTGATAAAAAACAACATTAAAGCAAGTGACATTTCTTTTACCACGTTTTTCTTTAGTTGGTTGTAATAGTTGTATAGGTTCAGTGCCCTCATTTTGGAAACAAAGAGATTCAGGACCGTAGAAGTGTGCATAAAGAGGAAAATAAAGAGACTGACGGTCGCTGCCCTCCTCCACGCACTGCTGCGGGGTTTTCGTGAAGCTTCCCCTGCGCAAGCTGTCACATGTACCTCCTCACACACACTCCTTTCATCATTCAGGTCATTATATGTATTTTTTTGGGAAAATAGAGAGTGAGCACCTTTTCCAGCCAACAAATGAAGCCCCACCGGCCCCCCATGACTAGTCCTGCCAGCCAGGCTCCAAGTCACAGACCGCGTCCAGGCACGAAGCGCTGGGGACTGCTGCTCCGCGATCTCACCACGCAGCGTGACCAGGGAAGTAATGAGTCTCTTCTTTTCTCTTTTAGACAGATCTCACAGGAGGACAAAAATTGGGAGACCAATATCCAAGAACTCCAAAAAAAGGTACCCAGCTTTCTTTCCTCAGGGATTTCTGATTCACTTCTCCAAGAAGAGAGTGAGTGATGCCTTTTCCTTCCCTCACGTGACTGAATGCCGTTTCTCTTTTTATTTCTGTGGTTATACACAAGACGTTGAGGTTTATGTGTGTGAGTGGATGGGGAAAAATGTTTTCTGGATACAGCAGGCTGATTTTGTGAGGATGTGGAAAGCAAACATCTTTATAGAGCCTTTCCCTGTCCCTGCACGTTGCAGGGCCCGCCCTCTGAGCGGGTGTCCCTGACCACCAGCCCGCTCCTGGCCCTGAAGGGCAGGCCCAAGGTTCACACTTTGCGGAGGGGAGACCGGCAAGGCATGCTGCATGAAGTGGAGCAGCTTTAGGGGCAGACATAGGATGCGTGAGTGTGCTGCCGATGGCTGTGACTTCCTGGGGCAGAGCTTGTTTTCTTTTGTTTTGTTTTTTTTGGCTCATTCTTCCATGGGGGTGGACTTTCTCAGCCCATTTATGAACACAGAGGACCCCTTCCCAGTCGAGAGAGCTCTGCTCAAGATCTGCTAGGAGTCATTTGCATCTCAGTGACATTTCAGATCCATGCAGTTTGTTTTCTAGGGAGAGATTGAATACCCACTCTAATTTTGATGGGCACACTCTCCATGCGAGTCAGGTGTTTCCTCAAAGGGCTTCAGAACACCTCACATCTATCGTGCTTATTTTCCATAAAGATGTTGGATGCAATCTGATGAGGTGCCTCAGTGCCTTCACACTCTGTCCCATGTGGATGGCCAGGGTTAGAAAAGAAAGGTATAGCTGTGATACTCTTGCAGGCCCCAAGTTCATACAGATTATGCCTGCCTTGCTAGACTGTGGTGTTTTAGTCATGAGTTGGAGAACTGTGTGCCTCTCTGTACACCTGGACGAGGACTACAGTGAGATGAAATGGAGAGGTAAGGCTTGGCAACATCCCTGTATCACATCTAAGAATTCTTACAGAAATGACCCTAGGTGTGTGTGTGTGTGTGTGTGTGTGTGTGTGTGTGTGTGTGTGTATGCCATGGAATACTACTCAGCCATAGAAAGGAATGAAATAATGGCATTCACAGCAACCTGGATGGACTTGGTGACCAGTGAAGTAACTCAGGAATGGAAAATCAAACATTGTATGTTCTCACTTATAAGTGGGAGCCAACCTATGAGGACACAAAGGCATAAGAATGATATAATGGACTTTGGGGACTTGAGGGGAAGGGTGGGAGTGGGGCGAGGGATAAAAGACTACACATTGGGTACTGTGTACACTGTTCAGGCTATGGGAGCACCAAAAATCTCAGAAATCACCACTAAAGAACTTACCCATATAACCAAACATCACCTGTCTTCCTGAAACCTATTGAAATAAGAAAAAGAAAAAAAAAAGAAAACAGAAAAAAAGAAATGACCTCAGGTATCCAGAAGGAGCAAATTTGAATGATACCCCCAAAAAACCTCCACTTCCATGAGCTGCAGGATGCTGGAATGCTCTTTGACCTGCCTACTCCTCCACCTCCAATCTTTGCACTGGCTGTGGCAATAGCCACTTTCTGTGGTTGCTGCGACCTCAGGGAAGGTTTGCAGTGCCTCCCCTCATGCCTGGTGAGAATCCGCATCACTCTCCTCTGAGCATTTCAAATCTTTTTCCTGCCATGCTCCTTTGGCCCTAATTCTTCAGCACAGAATCATGTAGGAAAATCGGCCTTCCCCAGAGAGGCGACAGGGAAGATGAGAAGGGGCTGGCCCAGCCATGAGCCTTCACGGTGGGCAGGGAGGGGCAGATGCTCACCAGTGGCCCCACTGCACATAGAGGAGGGGCTGTGTCAGCTGTTGTGACACAGAGGGCCTTGCATGTGTTTTTGATGGCAGCAGCTTTACCTTTGTGACCAGAGGAAGCAAGAGAGAGAATCTCTTTGTAGCTCTAGCTCTACCTCTGTGTGTCTATATCTATATATCTATATGTCTATATCTGTCCAAATCCAGATAGCTATAGATCACTATGATGGTAGATATCGAGATCCACCTGCATCCATGAAGCTACAGACATTGACATTCATCATCATTGCTGTCTCCATCTAATCCACCTAGACAGATTAGACAGATGGGTAGACAGGTGTGCTGGTGGGACCAGACTCAAGAAAGGATCTGATGCTTGCCAGGCGTGGTGGCTCACACCTGTAATCCTAGCACTTTGGGAGGCAGAGGTGGACGCATTGCTTGAGCCCAGGAGTTCAACACCAGCCTGGGCAACATGGTGAAACCCTATCTCTACTAAAAATACAAAAACTAGCTGGGCATGGTGGTGCACACCTGTAGTCCCAGCTACTGGGGAGGGAGGCTGAGGTAGGAGGATCACGTGACCCTGGGAGGCGGAGGTTGCGTTGAGCTGAGACTGTGCCACTGCACTCCAGCCTGGGTGATAGAGTGAGACTGTCTCAAAAAATGAAAATGAAAATAAAAATAAAAATAAATAAATAAATAAATGAAAGAAAGAAAGAAAGAGAAAGGACCTGGTGCAGTTATCCTTTCACACAGTGGGCCGGCATTCACACGGGGACCTTGTTAACAGGGCAGGCCTACCAGGTGCCCATCTGTGCGTGCTTCCCTGCCCTGGCCCCACGCAGCCATGGCCTGTGGAGCACAGTACCCTTGGGGCCTCATAGGGAGAGCCCCGTCTCGTGCCGTCTCCTAGGTACTCCTAGGTTGATGGAGGCCTTGCGGAGGATGAGGTGCCTCGGGGCCTGCCCTCCCCCTATGACCAGGTGGATTCTCGCGGGTGTCATTCCAGCGCTAAGAGTGCACCCCCTGCATTCCAGGGGCCTCATGCATGTCGTGTAAAGAACATGGCCAGAGCCTTATCTGGGAGTCACAGTTCCGTGAGAAGGCTCAGCCTCATGGCCCCACCCGCATGCTTGGCGTGGTAGAGAAAGGAACAGTGAAGACAGCATAGGCCCCTGTAGAAACGCCCCGTCATCCTCTGATACCTGCCGGCCAGGTGTTTCATAACAGGGCTGTGCTACTCTTGACATCTGTGTTTATCTTTCATAAAGATTTTGAATGCAGTAATCCTGAATCTGTACGGGTTTCCTTGTAACACAGTACTTTGCCATTTTCTTTCAAGTTCGAGAGGTTACATTTTTCATCCTCGTGAAATCTGTCGTGATTCCAGTTGCGTAGGTTATGACACGCTGCAGGAGTCAGAAGGTTGTGCAGAGTAAATGAGCTGTGGTTTCTCTCTTACAGCATAGGATATCTGACGGGATTCTGCTCGCCAAATGCCTGACAGTGTTGGGATTTGTTATCTTCATGTTTTTCCTCAATTCGTTTGTCCCTGGCATTCATCTTGATCTTGGTGAGTCTAATTTAGCTTTGGTTCATAGGCTTTGTCACATTCTGGATGGGAAGGTTTCAGAGCCTGTTCCCAGACACTGACTTTGCCCACAGGCAGCCGGGCTGGTGGAAGGCCAGAGAGGGCTGAGATGGAGGGTGGGCAGCCTGCCCTGGGAAGAAGGGCGCCTTTCCTTTTGGTTTCCTGGGCAGGAGGGAGGGAGAGAGAGATGCATCTCTGGCCCCTTAGACTCTGTGCCATGGGTCCTCAGCCCCTCCAGGGATGACCATGAGGAGGAATATAGAGTGGGCACTGTCCTGTCTATTGTAGTTAATAACCACATCTTTACATGGTTCCCAGAAGAGATGGAGCCACATGGGCAAGGCCAGCGCTGCCATCTGTGCCGCCTACCATGCCAGTTAGGTGACAGTCTGTTCGGGAGAGCCCTGGCGAATGGCCGGTGCTCTGCAGGGCCCACTTGCCTTGTCTGAGGGTGCATCTGGCGCATGAAACTGTTCTCCCACCGTCCACCATTGGTTTCTCTTCTCCCACGTTCACCACACCCATGGCTCTCAGACCTCTCCACTTTCTCTAGCCTGTGCTGTGGCCAGGACCTATCCCCACCTGAGATGTGGCTCTCTCAGGGGGAGCTCACCACAGAGCTTGTCAACCCCTGGCCTCCTCCACCCTCCATAAACGTTCTCCACTCTCCCAGGCGTTTCTTATCAATTTCACAGTTATCTCCATTGGTATCCTTATTGAAAACAAAACAAAACCCACCCCACATGAAAGTGTAGGTTTATAAGAAGCATAAATTTGAGGTGGTGTCACAGTCTTTTCTTTTACCAAAGCTTTACCCATAGTTTTCCTTCAAAAGTGAGCTCTGCTAAGATGGTTAAAATACCCAACTTTTATCTTATTTTGTATAAAACCTTGGTTCACTGTGAAATTTGAGGAGTGCAGCTGCCGTAGAAAGTGAAGCCTCTTAATTTTGTAAAATAGATGGATAATGCCTCAAGCTTCAGCGATTCGCACCACATCATTGCTTCCGGGGTTCCTGGAAACCATCAGACATTCATGGGCTAGAAGTTGGTCTTCCTTTTCTCTTATGTAAAAAAGCCGCATTTCTAGATTCTCACACAACACATGATGTATGTGCTTTTGACTGGAGTTCCAGCTTTGTGTTATGTATTTGCAGCCCCTCCATTTCTTTCTCTTGATAATCTCAAATCCAACTTGCCAGGTGGCCTGGGCTTGGTTCAAGCTGGCAGGTATTATTTATCCACACCTGAGAGCTGATCTGCTTGGAATCCTGATGAGGTAATGATCCAAAGCTGGAGTGGTAACGATTTTGTGAATTTCAATTGTATTTGGTGGATTACATCTAGAAATTGCTGCAGTGTAATTATTTTTAATTACGCCTCAGGCCTAATGTAATTTTAACATTAGAAACCTTAATGACTACAAGAATGTTACGTGGTCACCACTGGTAATTAAACAAATTTAAAAAACTAGTGTTTTGTGGGCAGAGAGGTTCCATTAGGTGTTCACAGATAATTTTGCTCCTGATTTTATTTGAGAGTCTACTTTAGAGGAACATAGCAGGCATTTTAAAAACTAAAAAGATATAAGAGCTTGCATTCAATTTTATTAACATTTGGCAACAGTCTTTGTATTAAAAACAATACTTTAATACTTAAAGTCACATCTTTAACTATATGGACTTAAAAAATCTTGGTTACTATGAAACTTTTAGCCTGCAAGTCTACGTTTTTTTTACAAAATGTCTCATCTCCTTTTGTGTGGTTGTTACATCTGTGAATGATGGACATGTTTATTTTCTGCTTTTAAATCCTGTTTTGTTTTTAGTTAGGGCTTGTGTTCAGGTGATTTTATCTGGGGATCCAGATACTGCATATTTATCAAGATAGGTTAGGTTGACTAGGAGAAAAGTTTGATTGGCATATATTTTAATGGAATACAGTTTCCTTAGAGTTATAAGAACTTTTCTGATAGAACAAGGGCAAAATGGATACAAGATCTTCCCGGGTCTTCAGCCAGTAGCAATGTGATCATTTATCTTTGGTGAAGTTCTGTTTTCTTTTTAATTTTTTTAAATGTAACAGTGTTTTTTTAAATTTTTTTGAGACAGAGTCTCACTCTGTTGCTCAGGCTGGAGTGCAGTGGCACAATCTCAACTCAGTGCAGCCTCTGCCTCCTGGGCTCAAGCAATTCTCCTGCCTCAGCCTCCTAAGTAGTTGGCATTACAGGAATGCGCCACCACACCCGGCTAATTTTTGTATTTTTAGTAGAGCTGGAGTTTCACTATGTTGGCCAGGCTGGTCTCAAACTGCTGACCTCAGGTGATCCTCCCGCCTCAGCCTCCCAAAGTGCGGGGATTACAGGCACGAGCTACTATGCCCGGCCAGAAGTTCTGTTTTCAATGTGTCCTGCTGTGTAAGTTGAGCCTCGTTCAATGTGATGTCATATGATATGAAATGATGTCGTATCACACGATGTACATCATGTAACGTGACATCATCTAATACAGCGCACACACTGTACACTACGTGACATTATAACAATGTAATTTCATATAACATAGGGTGCTGTCATATAAAAATGTGCATTGTGAAACAAAATGTGACATCAGATAACATTCCTTCATTTAGGAATCCTAACCTAGACATAGCATTGACTCTTTCTCTTTATTTTTTTTTTATTATCATAGAGCAAAACTGACTTTTCCTTTGAATGTAGCGTTCTTTGGATTTTAACACATAGGTAGGTTTGTGTAACTGCCACTGCAGTCAGAGCACAGGCCAGCTCCGTTACAGAACTTTCTCAGCTGTCCTTTTGTAGCCACCCTCCCCCGGTCCTGGCAAGGACTGATCTTGTCTCCATCACTATGGTTTTGTGTTTTTGGGGCTGTCATATACATGGAATCAGATCGTATGCCACCTTTCGAGACTGGCTTGTCTCACACAGTGTAATGCCTTTATGGTTCACCCAAGTTGCTGTGTGCATCAATGGTTCATGTTTGGCCGGGCACAGTGGCTCATGCCCGTAATCCTAGCACTTTGGAAGGCCGAGGAGGGTGGATTGCTTGAGCCCAGGAGTTCGAGACCGGCCTGGGCAACATGGCAAAATCCCGTCTCTACAAAAAATACAAAAATTAGCTGGGTGTGGTGGTGCACGCCTGTAGTCTCAGCTACTTGGGAGGCTGAGGCAGGAGGATTGCTTGAGCCTGGGAGGTGGAGGTTGTAGTGAGCTGAGATTGCACCACTGGGCTCAGCCTCGATGACAGAGCCAGACTATTTCAGAAAAACAAAAAACAGAAAACAAAAAAACCCCAAAAAACAAAAAAACTACTCCAGACACTTCTGAGCACATGGTTTTCTGTGAACTTAGGGTTTTATTCTCTGGGTTGATTTCCTTCTCTTGAGTGGCACTGCTGTGTCATATGGTGGGTGTAGATTTTATTTTAAAAGCAGCTGCTGCCCTGTTTTCTAGCAAGGCCAACCCCGTTGCGTTCCCACAGCATGTATGGGAGTTCCAGCTGTTTCACACCCTTGCTGGCACGTGGCACAATGAGAATCCCCCTGGAGTTCCGCAGCACCTTATGCAAACCTTAAATATATTCTTATGATTTCTTTCCTCGTCTGTCCTCTGTCCTCCCCCTTCCCAGCTAGACTCAAGGACATGGTCTGTGTGTCTGCATTTCCCCTCCCTGGTGCCTGCTGCTAATGCCTGGTTCATTAGTAGAAGCAAGGTGTAGGTTCTCAGGATGCACGAACAAAGTTCTCATTGCTGCTCACAGATTCCAACTTAACTATTGTGGGGAATTTCCTATGTGGCTGACCCAGCCTGGGGCACAGCCTGAGGCAAAGGCTCACATGTGTGTTCTTCATCCGGGAGCTTCAACCCAGAGAAGAGGAGTGAGGGATGGGGGCCGGGCAGTGAGGAGAGTGAGCGCAGGCACCACTGCCCCAGCGTGCTGGCCTTCGTGACGGGCCACTGGGGCTCCATCCTGCAAGGCTGCCTGAGTGGAGGTACCAAATGCACCTCAGGGCTGTCTGTGGGGTTGAGTAGAGCAAGAAGGAATGTTTACTGGCTGGTGCGCATGGCCCATTGGTCATAGCTCCTTCCCGTGGGATGCCAGAGTGCATGTGTCCAGCTGCATGTGCCGAGGCCATGCGACCGCACCCGCAGGGCGGCCCAGGCAGAGAAGGCATCAGGGGCATGGGCTCCAGGGCAGACCTTCCAGGTGCATCTGTGTGAGGGTTGTCGGGCCACACGGAGCTGGCTGTGGTGACAGAGAGGAGAGCCCTGAGGGACCCAGGGGTGTGCAAGAGGTGGCACAATGGCAAAGAAGGGTGAGCAAGGGCCAGGGTCACAGTTCACACCCATCCGGTAAAGAGGTGGCTCCCAATGTGCAGGGACCATCACCTCACAGCACAGCAAGACCAAGCCCAGCCTGGGCGCTGGCTCTGCAGAGGTCTGCAGTGCCTGCATGAGACCCTTAGTGCCAGATGGGTTTCACAGGGGCCAAGGGAGAGCTTTCCCCTTGGGCCTCTTGAGTTTTGCTGAAAAACCAACTCACAGAAGGCAGAGTAATAGGAGAAAAGGCAAACACATTCATTTAACATGTGTACACAGGAGCCTTCAGAATGAAGACCCAAAGATACAGGAGAAATTGTTCATGTTAAAGCTTAGGTTCAGCCAAGTGTGGACAGCCATGTAGAAATGGGATTGGAGAAAAAGTGTATGATTGGGTACTGATAGACTGAGTGGGAAACCCAGCAGGGCCTGTCTGTCCAGGGTCCTCCTGGCCTCTCTGAGCGGCACTCCTTCCTTCTGAGTGTGGGGCAGGCCCCTTTCTGGAATGGGAGTTGTAGGACCCACAGTCAAACAAGGCAGGCCAGACAGTTTCTTCATGGCCAGTTTTCACACAGAAAGGCAGAGGGAAAATGAGAATAACACTTTAGATTTTATGGCTGGCTTTGCAGAAAAGGATTCTGGTTTCAATGACCTGCCTTGGGAAAGATTCTAGTGTCTTTGGCAGTCTCAGGGGAGAATGGGACTGAGAGATGGGCAGGCAGGAGGACGGCAGAGAAAACTTTTCCTTCTGATAAAACAAAAACTTCAGCCGAATTAAATGTAAAGGAGTTTGATTGAATGATGAACGATTCGCAAATTGGGCAGCCCCCAGAATCACAGCAGATTCACAGAGACTCCAGGGGTGCCTCATGGTCAGAACAAACTTATAGACAAAAAAGGTAAAGTGACGTACGGGAATCGGAAGTGAGGTACAGAAACAGTGACATTGGTTACAGCTCGGCGTTTGCCTTATTTGAACACAGTTTGAACATACAGCAGCCTATGAGTGGTTGAAGTATGGCTGCGGGGATTGGCTGACACTCAGCCATTGTTAGAGGTGCATACTATTAAGTTAGGTTTTCGCTTTGTCTGACTATTAAGCTAGGTTACAGTTCATCCACAAGGACTCAAATAGAGAAGTACAGAGTCCTTCTCAGGCCATCGTTAGCTTGCTTTAACACTTCTGAGGCCTTCATTTTGGGGTATTGCTTTCTGAGCCCCAGAAGTTTCAAAATTCAGATTTTTTTATGTGTTTTAGAAAGATAATTCAGTGAGCATACTGAATTTTGGATATAATGTAACACACCCTGAGAGGTTCAGGGCCAGCACCCTGTCATCCGAGCATGATTTCTGCAGTGAAACATGAATATTTACACAAAGTGGGACAAATAAAGACTGCAAACAACCTCATTCCTATTCAAGTCAGGGTTTTTTGAATTTTTTTACATCAAAATATATAGAAAAAGTTTGCTTTTCTGAAATTAGGGTTTCAAGATTGTGGATAACTGATTATGAACCTGTGAAAAGAATCAGCGAGGCAGGCTTGAAAATGTTATCTTTGGCCTTAAAATTCAGAGCCTTGATGAGCTGTTTCCTAGGCCTCCTCCTTTGATAATTAGTTCAGAATGTACCCCAGATTCTCTCATGATGTGTTTGATTAGATTTCAGTTCTGGAAAATTTTCCGTCATTATTTCCCTGATTATGGTTTTGAAATTGCTGGTCTTCTCCCTGTCCCTTGGTGTCCCTCTGGTTGAGCAATTTTATTGTTGTCTTTGTGAAAGTATTTTTAGCTACAAATAAAGCAATCTATTGGATCTGTCTTAAGCAAAATGGAGGATTATTAGAATAATAACAGGCTGACAGGCTCCAAGGACACTGGGGCCTCTTGGGGGCAGGCTCAGGAAGGAGGAAGGGTCCGGATGGAGGGCGCCCACCCACCCCGGCATCTGCAGTGCTCTGCCCTCAGCTCCTTGCTTCTCCGTGACCAGTTAGTGCATCTTTTTTCTGCTCATGGCAGAATAGTGCTTGCCTGATCAGTTTCCCAGTTTATAGGACCTCGATTTCAGCCACACACAGAGAAATGGCTATTTTGAACCCCCAATTTCCAGGCGAAGAGGAGTCTGCTTGGCCTTGTTGGTTTCTTTCATCTCCTAGCACAGGAAATTCTGAGCAGGTGGACGGGAACAAGTGGTGAGATGTGGCCTGGAGTGGCTGAGGCATACTTCTTAGAGGAGGTCACTATGAGCTGGACAGACATTCCCAAGGCTTCCTAATATATGTTCTATGCACTCTAGTTTCTAGTAAGATTCATTTCAGCTAAGCCATTCACATATCCATCCTCTCACTTATTCATGCATTTGTACAACACATGCAGGCAGTGGCCTAGGGGTTGATTGGGGCTAGTGTGGTGAACATAAAAACCATATCGCTGCTCTCCTAGGTCGTCTTCTCTAGAGGGGAGATGGATCTATATTTACTCTACCAGGGACTCATGTAACTGTCCAGCGGGTTCCTCTTGCCCACTGCTGAGGTAGACCAGATTTATGGAGGCAGAGTTGTTGCAGTAGGGAAGGAGTTTTACCCATGTAGGACCTGGCTAAATGGAAGACGGGAGTTGTATTATTACTGAAATCTGCCTCTCTGATTTGGAGGCTAGGGCTTTTCAAGGACAATTTTGGGGAAGAATGGCGGGGAGGGTGGTTAGGCAATGGGTGCTTGCTGCCAATTGGTTGAGGGTGTAAATCATAGGGGTGTGGGAAATGGTTCTCCTGCATGCAGAGTCATTTCTGAGTAAGCCACAGGAGCAGCTGGCCAGTCCAGGTGGAGCCATCAGTCTCAAACATGCAAAAACCCTGAAAACGTATCTCAAAAGGCCAGTCTTAGGCTCTCCAATAGCGATGTTATCTGCAGGAGTAACTGGGGAAGTTGCATATCTTGTGACCTCCAGAATAATGGCTGGCAATCTTCTATGTCTACACTTTAGCAGAATTCAGTCTCTCCTATCCTCCTAGCCTGGTGTTCTTTGATTAGCTTTACAAATGCAATTGAGTTTTGGGGAAGGGCTGTTATCATTTAAGCTATAAACTAAACGTCTGCCAAAGTTAGCTTGCCTTAAGCCCAAGAATAATTGAGGGCAGCTTGAAGGCTAGAGGCAAGAAGGGGATTGGATAGATCAGATCTCCCTCACTGTCATAATTTTCTCACTGATGCAATTTTTGCAAAGGTGGTTTCAGTCACATTAGGGCCAGCAAGGACTACACAGCTAATTTAGACACCAAGACCTTCAGAGCTCTGATGTGGAGACAAGCCAAGGGTACCAAATGGTAAAGCCAAAAACGATAATTTCCATAGTCAAGGTGTCGATGAAAAGAGTGAAACTCTGTAAATTATTTGAAGAGATCTATTCTGAGGCAAAAATGAGTGAACACGGCCCATGACACCACTCCAGGAGATCCTGAGAACATGTACCCAAGGTGGTTGAGTTACAGCTTGATTTTATACATGTTAGGAGGACAGAAGTTACAGGAAGATATTCACCAATACATGTAAGTTGTGTATTGGTTCAGTCCGGCAAGGTGCGACAACTCGAAGCAGGGGGCAGGATAAGGGCTTCCAGGTCATAGGTGGATTCAAAGACTTTCTGATTGGCAATTGGTTGAAAGAGTTATTATCTAAAGTCCCAGAATCAATAGAAAGAAGAGCCTGGGTTAAGATATGGGGTTGCAGAGACCAAGGTTTTTTTTTTTTTTTTTTTTAAATTATACTTTAAGTTTTAGGGCACATGTGCACATTGTGCAGGTTAGTTACATATGTATACGTGTGCCGAGACCAAGGTTTTTATCATGCAGATGAAGCCTCCAGGTAGCAGGTTTCAGAGCTCTTATCAGACCTAAAAAATTACCAGAGTCTTAGGGAAAGGTTTTGGAAAGGGAAGGGGATTCTCTACAGAATATAGATTTTCCCCACAAAAGACAACTTTGCAAGGCCATCTCCAAATGTGTCAAAGAAGCGTATTTTGGGGTAAAATACTTTGATTTCTTTCAGGGCCTGCTGTCTGTCATGTGATGTTATACTAGAGTCAGGATGGAATTTGGTATCTTATTGCTACATCTATTCTATCGGTCTGAAGATCCCTGTTTTAATGTGAATGCTGGTGAGTTGTGTCTGAATTCCAAAGGGAGTGGGGTACAGTGAGGCACGGCTGACCCCCTTCATGCCCTGAACTAGTTTTTCAGATTTCTTTGAAATGTCCTTGGCTGAGAGGGGGTCCGTCAGTTGGTTGAGGGGCTTAGAGATTTGTTTTTGGTTTACAAAGTTACAGATGAAAGGCCTAATGAAATCCCCAAAAGAAATGAGGAGCTCTTACTGGAAAGGCTTTGGCATATTAGAAAATAGCCCTGATATATGTAAACTATTTAAGGCAGTTATTACATACAGTTTGTGTTAACCTGATAATAAAAATATTTACATCCCTGGATGGCTCTATTCTAATTTTCATCAAATATTCATCTTAGATGAATGTAAATATCCAAGAGATTATTTCAGAATGATGATAAATATAATATAATGCAATATAATATAACATAATGTAAAGTAATATAATATGGATCTTGGATTTATAAGTCAATTAGAATAATTAGCTGCTTTCCTTACTATCCTCACCGTGGGTAGAATTACCAAATTTCATCATAACACTGAAGAAATGAAATCATGGGGGAGAGAGAATGACTCAGTTTTTTAAAAATGGAGATATAGAATTCACACAACATAAAATTTATCTTGCAAAATTATATCATTCAGTGTATTTTAGTATATTCACAAAGTTGTACAACCATTGTCAGTATCCAATTCCAGAACACTTTCCTCATTCCCCAAATAATCCTATACCCATTAGTAGTCACTCACACACTGCTTCCCCCCTTTCCCCAACCCCCAGACCCTGGAAACCACTAATCCTACTTTCTGTTCCTGGATTTGCCTATTCTGGACATCTCATTTAATGGAATCATTTAACATGTGGTCTTTTGTGTCCAGCTTCTTTCACTTAGCATAACATTTTCAAGGTGCATCCGTGTTGCATCATGGATTAGTGCTTCATTTCATTTGGCTGTATGATATTCATATATATGTTTTCTATTAAACTATGTATATTATATATGTATATCATATATATTATGTATATCGTATGTATATCATATATAATATCATATATTATATATAGTAATATATAATATGTATCACAATTTATTTATCCATTTATTAGCTGTTTGACCTAGGAGTGGAATTGCAAGGTCATATGCAACTCTCTGTTGAACTTTTAGAAACCCTGCCTAACTGCTTTTCCAGAGCAGATGCACCTTTACATTCCTGGTGGTAATGCATGAGCGTTCTGATTTCTCCACACTTTCACCAGCACTTGTTATTGTGTGTGTCCTTGATTATGCTCATCATACCAGGCGTGAAGTGGTACTTCATTACAGCTTTGATTTGCATTTCCTAGTGATGAATGACATTGAGCATCTTTTCATGTGCTTATTGGCCATTTATGAAATGCTCTTTTACTAAATAACATGTGAACTTGTTTTTTCCATCTGTTTGGAAATTTCAGCTGTGATTTACATTAACAACAGCCTTCTTTTGCTATGAAGATTTGTTCCTAACTCTGGAGCATTTTTGCCCATTTGAATCTCCCTTCCTGAGCATCATGCACACATATGAGGATGAGGAAGGCCAGTGTCTCTCCTCTAGTTGCTTAAAACCGCAGCCTTGCCAGGAGCCTAGTGAAGCATTTCATAGGGTTGGTCATGATTCTCCACATGCGGGGATTCATCGTTGGTTGCGGTCTCCTTTTATTAGCTCCAAAATGTTTTCAATAATGCAGCCAATATCCTCCATTGAGTACCCACAGGTTAATGAATTTGGGGGTAGAGCAAATCCATTTAATGACTGTTTCTCACTTCATTTTTCATTCCAAATGGCTTGGATCACATAGGTCTGCATATAACAGTAAGACTGCGAGATTTTTAAAAGGTTGGATAATTTTGACGGAGTACCACATTAGCTTTTAAACTGTGGATTTTCAGAAATGTTAGTGGTCTCTATTTGAATAAAAGTATCTGTGAGTTATGGGTGGGAGAGTAAGGTGTTAGATATGCATTCATCAAGAGATTGTTAACATTCTCACATCGAATGATTACTACTTACAATTTTTTCATTGGTCATTACCCTTAAGATTCTACATTGTCTCAATATATATTAACATTTTTCTATGTAAATTATATTTTCCCCTTAGCATTAATAAGAAAGACAGTCTTTATATTCACTATAGAAAACCAAGTCTGGAGAAATCACAGCTACAGAATTATTAGAAATATTGGGACCAAGAGATTCTTCCTTTCAGGGCTCAGGATATCCCTAACTTTGCAGTCACAATGCTAAGAAGAGTTAGGTTGTGTCAACATTTTCACTTGCTTGTCTGAAGCTACACTGTGGTCACATTTAAATTCCTCAACATTAATAATCTGAAGAAGAATTTAAATAAATTATGAGAGAATAGTGCTGTGGCCATTCACTTCTCAAACTTTTAATAATAAAAAGCAGTTTTTCGGTGATGTTTATGATGTGCATTTGTGGAAATTAGGTATTCCATTGCTAGTGAATGACACAGTTAATTGGAACAAAACTGAACAACTGCAAACATGACTGACCTAATTTTTCTTTCAACGTTTGCAAACAGACCAGATGACATATAGCCTATCCATTTGATATTTTCTTGTGCCGGATGTATCAGGATAGGATAGGCTTTGCTGAGTGAAACACTGGCCCTGCTGTCTTGGAAGCTTGACACAACCACACTTTTTCTTGGTGACATCTTTAGTGCTGGTCAGTAGGGTCCCTGCTGGACAGAGACACTGGCGTTTTGTGATGCCACCATAGAAACAGCAGCTTTCAGGATCATCTTGGCAAGGAAGAGACAGGGGATAGAACTGACAGCTGCCTGTAAATGCCAGGCTAGGAATGTGTGTCTCATTTGCTCATGGCCCAATGGCCGGGTTGGTCTTGTGGCTTCACCTAACTACAGGGCTGGAAACCTTTCTGGGGGTCCAGTAGGGAGAAGAGTGACAGGTGTGGGGAGCTCTGACAAGCTACTAGTGAACCGATACACAAAACACCTCCTACACGATTTGTTAAGGGTTTTACATGATATGATGTTTTATCTGGTACTTTAGAATATTACATAGTGGCCCACCAGTGGGGGTGACTAAAATCTGCTTGGATGCTGGTGAGCATGGAATGTATCAATCAGAAATGCATTCTATTTGGATTTTGAGGAGCCTGAGAAGAAAGGGGGTTCAGTCCCAACGGCAAAGCTGTGTGATGTCCAAGAAGAGCTGGGTGTGTTTCTCAGGGTCAGGCTGCTCTGTGGCCCGCCTCTCCAGGCTCCATCCACATGGAATGCAGCTCACTGCAGTTGTGCAGTCAGTGACCTGGGTGGTTCCCGAGGACCACAGGAAAACCTGCAATGAGGAGTAAACGTTACTTGCTACAAGAAGATCCAAGTTGTGTGGCATTCTGAGAATTTGCATTCCGTGTTTAATGCAGATACTTTAGCTGCTTGTTCATTCACTTGTTGATTCGTTATTTTTGAGTGTGTTTTTACCCACTCCTCACTGTGAGAGGCACCAGGGATACCTGTGAATGAGGCACGATTCCTGACCGTGTCTAATGCACCTGCAGCACTGACCTGCCTCTGTGATAACGAACCTGATTCTTTAACAAAGCCCAAATGCACAAGTGCAAAATGAGAATTCTTAACTGCATTTAGCATTATTTCTTTATGCTTAGTTATTCTTGTGTAAGGATTACTCATTTTAATGAATAAATGAGCATATGAAAAGGTGCTCAACCTCGTAAGTCATCAGTAAAATGCAGAATTTAACCACAATGAGATGACATCATTTTAAGCACTCACAATTTTAATTCTACTCCTTCATGATATCTAGGGAGCATAATATTCATATTTTACATATCACTGCATTTAATAGGCCCCGAGGGTACCAGAAATTGAGTACAAATGTTAGCAGAGTCTTGTTTGGAGTGGTGAATAATACTCATCATAAACATGGCCAACATTTCAATTAATTTTTTAAAAGTAGAGGTTAGAAAATCATTTGATATTGAGACCTAAAATAGTGAAAATAAAAGTAAGTTAAGAAAACAGCTATGATGCCTTCCTTTCTTGCTGACATTTTTATGAGTTTGTCATAGATGTTCTAGTTCACATGAGTTTTAACAGTCAAGAATATGAAGCTCCTCAGAGCCTGTTTGATTTTCAACATGTTTCAAAGATGCTTGAGACCACAGAAGAGCTCCAATGTTCAGTTAAGCTCTGGTTGGTTCCCCCATGGCCTCAGCAAGCGTATGGATTTAGCTGAGAGACCCCTATGGTACCTTGGTGTGTGAGGCTAGCATAGCCGTCACAGGTCCATCACGGCAGTTGTATGTGAGCTGTCTTCTCCATGAGCCTGTGCAGTCCTCGGGGCAGAGCTCAGTCCAGTCCGCCACTCCCAAGGCCACAGAGACCATACTTGAGTGTGCTCAGGGCATGTGCATCGATGCAGCTGTCTCTCAGTCCATCCCGGGAGCTCAGCCTGCCACTGTCTTTCTCTGACAATGTGAGTGCTTTAGAATGTGAATGAGCTGGCATTCAGGGGACAGCCTGGGTAACTGGTACTTGTGTTTATCAAGGACAAAAATCCTGCCTCTGTGTCTGTGTCTGTGTGTTCTCATTAGAGGTCTTCATATTTGGTGAAACTTACCAGCCTCTAAGCACAGTAACCCTTGAGTGTCCTGAAAGTTTTAGTTACTGCCTTCTAATGGCATATTTGTAGGGCTGTACCATTCCCTGACCCTGCCATCACAATTTTCTCCCTTCCATTTTTGGAAGTGGGGTGGAATGCATACATTGAAACACTTTTGCTGATGAAAAGCTGGAATCAGCCCACTTGGTCTAGTGAGCAATGAGCCTGGAGTCTTGCCTCTGCAAGTTGTGGGCAGAAGGGCTAGAATGCCGCCTGGTGAGACAGGGTGGATGCTTAGCTACCTCCTGACCCTCATCAGATCTTAGGTGGCACGTAAGCTGAGGCAGGTGTGTATCTTCTTCCCCTCCTGCACAGCTACATGCACTTCCCTCCCCAACGTGCCCATTTGGTTTAAGAGGACCTAATCTATGTAAGGTTCAGTGGCCTCTGTAAAATAGGGATCCTGCTGAGTGTCTTCATCACATCATATTATGTCATCAAACATCTCCATGTGACTCAACTCCTTTTTTTGTTATGTAGCTTTATTGCAGCAATAACTTACCAACATACCTTACAGTCTATTCATGCATAACATGCAATCACTAGGGTAAGCTGGCCCATCATTTTCTTATTTATATTTGTGACTCAGCTTTTTAAATTGGATATGAAAAGTGCTAATGGTAAAAGATTAGGTTGATAACTTTGACTATCTTAAAATTAGGAACTTATGTCTCAAAGTGTACTACTAAATGAGTGAACAAGAAGCCACAGAGTGAAAAAAGTGTGTGCAAAAGCATCCATTGTCACATTTGGAAATTATATCTAAAATATAAAAAGAACATCTATAGAGCAATAAGAAAAGACAGAACCCCCCAATAGAAAAATGGACGGAATCTTAAGTAGACACTTCACAGAAGAAGATATTGAAATTACTGAAAGTATTAGTAAGCATATGAGAAGGTGTTCAACCTTGTAAGTCATGAGTAAAATGCAAAATTTAACCACAACGAGATGCCATTATATGCACACCTAAATGGTTAGAAAAAAAGACTGACAGTACTGAGTGCTGAAAGATTGTGGAGCAGTAGGAAGTGTCATGCATTGCTGATAAGATTGTAAATTTGTACAATGACTTTTGAAAATGATTTGACAGCATCTACTAAAGTTTAGAACAATGTATATCTTCTGCTTAGTAATTTTGTTCACAGTGGTATGCCCAACAAAAATATGTACATTTGCACACCAAAAGACTCTCTGAAAATGCTCATAGCAGCCTATTTATAATAGCCCCAAACTGGAAACAACTCAAATATCAACCCCTAGAACGGACAAATGGTGGGAGAGTCATATAGTGGAATACTATACAGAAATAAAAAATGAACGTATTACATGACTGGATCTCACAAATGTGTTGGCCAAAAGAAAAATCTGACAGAAAAGAGTATATGCTATATGATTCCATTTATGAAGAACTCAGAAACAGGCACATTTACTCTCTGGTTGTGAAGGGCAGAGCCTGACTGGCATCCTCGGTCATGAAACCTTTTGATGTGGTCTGCACAATTCAGCCTCTGGGGCAGAGAATGTGGGGGGACGGTGAAGAGAGAGGGAGGGGAAAGTCAGCAGCGTCCCCTCCCCCGCCACTGGCCTGTCTGTATTGGTGGAAATCTTTATTTGAGGCAAAATGCTCAGAAATAGAATAATCTTTATTCTTTCCAACCTCAACTCTTTTAAATGACTCACTTGATGTAATTGAGGCATTTCCTAAGCCAGATTGGAAACCACGCAGAAGCTTCCAGGTGTTGAATGGAAGCCATTAGCTTCACTCCGAGCTTTGGTGTTGCAGCTACAGCGGGTATCTTGGGCAGTCACAGCCACTTTCTGGGTCTAGGAGGGAGAGGGCAGATCTGGAGCTCAATCTTCCTGGTTCTAAGCCTGTGTCCTGCAGCACACAGCAGGTGCCCATAAGAGCCACTGAGTGTTGGAGCTAGGCTTTAAAATTGCTGTGAGGATTGAATCAGGTAATACACACAGGCCTGAAGAGCAGTGCCTGGTGCACGATTGCATGAGATATGAACAAACAGTTCAGGCTGATGGCCAAGCAGTGCAGGAAGACACGAAGATTATAAAAAATGGTCTTTCTTTTGCTGGATTTTAAAGGGAAACTAGAAAGAATGGGAGTTTTCTCTTGAGAGAAAGCCTGTGCAGTCTACATGATAATTGAGTAAGTAGTTAGGTGCTCCCTCCTTCTGCTGCCATAGCAACTGCCTGATGCATGGTGCTATAATAGACCTTAACCCCCTGGTCACTCGGCTCCTTCTGACTTTCTAAGCCAGCTCATCCCATGTGCCCTGTCCTACTCACCCACCCAACTGTGGAGTGGGTGCTCCCCACAAGGAAGCACTGGGTTTGCACCCTGGAGGTTGAGTGCTTGGGTAAGTGAGAGAGCTAGAATTACCCAAGGAACAACCACAGTGTAGCTGTGCAACAGAAAGTCCTTGATTATTTGTGATCTTACTTGGTCTATTTCAGGCAGTTGATGGCCAGTACTCATGTAGTACTTCATGAAAGGGTGGCAGGCAGGGTGGTTTGTACTGTATATGGTATGCACAGTCCATCTGTGGGTTTTCCTGTTTGGAAGGATGAATATGAGATGAGTAACTGTTGAGATACTCTCTGGAGATGCATCCTGTGTGCCTCAAGGTACATAGGTTAGTTCATCTTAATTGATCAGGACAGTACTGCCTTTGGTCAAAGTCAGTTACACAATGTCCAGGGCAAGGAACTGTACAGTATATCTTTTATAAAAGATGACAAGGTTTCAAATAGAACAAAATTAAGTTACATTTCTCAGTATATTCATCCAATCACACTGTGACAAGAGATTTGAAATAAATAAACCAGATCTGTTCATAATTAGCAAAATCATTCCATCAGAAGCCTGAGCATATCAGAGGAATATAACGTGGCAGCATGGAAGGAAATTCTTGCAGACTGGGGATTGAATCCTGGCTTCACCCCAGCAAGCTGTGCAGCCTGGAGAAAACCAGTCCATCTTCGGGAGCCTCAGTTTCCCCCTGGGCTGGGGTGCTGAGAGATGCCCAGCAAATGCCTGTGCGGAGGAGGCTGCTGGGGGACTGGTGAAAGCCCTTTCCTACTTTCCTTTGAATCATGTTGCCCAGGGCTTTAGGAATGAGGGAAAAGAGGCTCCTTTAGCTATTTGTTCGGCATAGAAACTTGACTCTGTTGGAGACACAAATGAAAGTACAGAGCCACTTATCTCAGATTTTTTGAGTTGAGAAATGGCAAAGCTCTTGGTGAGAGATTAATGCCCACTCGAGGAAAGCGTTTGATAGAAGCTCCACAGGATAAAGACAGGTCACGTAAATGGTACTTTTTATCTGTATTCATCTCCACTCAACTGCATTTTTAATTTTTAGGAAAAGAGTCTCAATGACACATTGTTAGAATTTGTAATAGAATGTGAAGCTGGAAACTGGGATGTTTCCGTCAGTGGCTTTTGCTTCCAGTACACTGTGGAAGAACCACTGCCTCACCCTTTGTCAGTGTCCCTGAGGAGCCGGTGCTGAGCAGAGCAGCCTGGAGCATTGCTCACAGGGACCGGGGCTGCAGTGGAAAGTGTGGTCTGGACTCAGAGCAGGACCAGGCAATACCAAGCAGACGAGCTTATGCACCGGCAGCCTGATTAGTGCCGCTGGCTCTGCAGGCAGTGCGATTAAAAGTAAGAGGGAATTGAGGTTTTGCAGGGACAAGGTCTTCATTCGATTGTAGGCTATTGCAGGGAATTTTTCTAACAAGACAAATCTCCGTGACTATGGAAACTTTCTGAAGTTGGATGGATGAGTGCTATAGCAGGAGTTTTGGCTGGAGGAAAGCTCAGGCCTCCACAATTGATAAGAGAAAGCAGAACTATAAAAAGAGCCCTAAAGGACCTTCCAGCTTTTTGTCATGACTGAAATTTCTCTCAGAATCATGGAAAAGAACTTGTGTTCTTACTGACTTTTAGAGAGAGCTTCTTATTGCTATATAGCAGAGAAAACAAGGGATGCCATTTCTGGGGTCAAAAAGCTTTACCCAGGAGAAGTGAAATTGGAGCAATTATTTCTTACTGAGAATTTAAAGAAAAGATGTGGTGATCTGTGTTAGAGGAGCGGTGAAGGAATCACCATCAGATGTGATGATCAGATAAGCAAGTGTCTGTTTGTCTTCTGAACTGTGTGGTACGTGCCCTGGAGAATTCAAAGAAAAGTAACATTCTGGTTAGGAGACAAAGCTAACATAAGTAGAAATTAGGCCACTGCAGCCTCTTTGCTGAGAAATCTCATTGACTTCTCCCTGTCTAAGACTGGGGTCCCAACATTTTTGCATGATATAAAACATGGTCTGCCCTTCACATGCTAAATGACAATGTCCTTCCCAACCCCATCTTCCTTTTTAAAATGTTGCTGTTGTAGTAAGAAAAATAATATATCATATGCTTAAAAAAATATATGGTTAAAATGGCAAGGCTTGTGTGATATATATGTATATCACATAAAATTGTGTATGCATATAAAGTATGTGATATGTATATGTATATAGATATGTATATATCCATATGTGATATATACATATATGTGTTATGTATATATCAAATACATATGTGATATGTATATAACACATACAACTTGTCATTTTAACTATTTTTAATTGTACAACTCAGTGGCATTAATTACATCACTGTCAGGCCTCTGAGCACAAGGCTGCACCAGATAGCCTGAGGCAACTGAAAAGTACAAAAGAAGTGAAACAGCCAGCTCTTGTCTTAATTGATTGACCAACCTTACAACATTCCGCTATGACTTGTTCCTGCGCTGTCCCAACTGATGGATCCATCGACCTCATGACATTCTTCTTCTGGACAATGAGTCTTATGTTCTCTCCAGCATGCACGTTGTGACTCCCGCCCTGGCCTGCAAGAGAAAAACCCCCTTTAACTGTAACTTTCCACTGCTTACCCCAGTCCTATAAAACTGCCCCATCCCTAACTCCCTTCGCTGACTCTCTTTTCGAACTCAGCTCGCCTGCACCCAGGTGATTAAAAAGCTTTATTGCTCACACAAAGCCTGTTTGGTGGTCTCTTCATACGGACACGCGTGACAATCACCATTACCGTTATCTCCAAAACATTTCATTAACCCCAAGAAGAAACCCTATAATCATTAAGCAATGACTCCATTTCACCTCCCACCCTGCCCACCCCTGGTAATCTCTTAATCTACCTTCTGTCTGTTTAATGTAATCACATTTGTTTATTTCTGCTTTTTTTCACTTTTGCTGTCATAGCCTAGAAATCACTGCCAAGTCCAATATACTGAATATTTTCCTCCATGTTTTCTTTTAGGAGTTTTATAGTTTTAGACTTTATGTTTAGGTCTCTAATCGATTTTGAATTAGTTTCTGTATATGGTGTAAGATAAGGGTCCAACTTTATTCTTTTGCATGCAGATATCCAGTTTCCTCAACACCATTTGTTAAACAGACTGCGATTGAGTAGTCTTGGCATTCTCATCAAAGATCATTTGACCATAAGCATACGTGTTTATTTCGGGGCTCTATATTCTATTCCATTAGCCTGTTTTTTTTTTCTATGCCTTGTGATTTATTTTTGGTTGAACACTGAACATTTGAATATTATATTGTGGTAAATCTGGAAATCAGTTTCACTCCCTTCCCCGGGGTTATTATTATTATTTTTTATAATCGAAGGCTGTAGTAGTCTTGTTTGTTTTGTGACATTTCCAAACTATTTTTGAAAAGACTGTATTCCTTGTCATGTATGGTCACTGGAATCTCTGTTCCTTAGTGATTGCTTACTGTGTTCGGCTAGTGTTTTGACACAGATTGATTTGAATTCCAGGAGCTAAAAGCAAACAAACCACCACAACAAAAATACCTCTTCCTGTTTTATAGATTGGCTCTGTGCTAGAACCCTCCTTCAAAACTTAGCCAGGCTTGCACTGAGACTAGGCATCAGCACAAGCTGAAAGTTTTGGGAATTCTCCAGTCTTTTCTGAGCATGGGCCTTTCCCTAGGCATGCAGGTGGCTTTCCTTATCTCTGCCTGCCCCCACCGCCCCCTAGCTCTGCCCTGCCCCGCCCCATGTTTGTTTTTGAATATCTCAGTTTCACAAAGAAACTCTCCCCAGATTTTGCTCCTATTCCTCAGGTGGCGCATTACATGCTTGTCTTTTCCCCAGGCATCTGTGGTTTGGCTTGCAGTGATTTTGAACAATGCCTGCCATTTTCCTGGCCTAAGTTCTGCCTTAGGTGAAACAGATGAATGCCTTGCTTCAGTGCCTCAGCTACCCTCCAGCCAGGTTAGAACAGACATTCACAATAGTTTGTGAATAATGCTGCTCTTCTCTACCTGAACCAGGGAGCAGGGTTCACCTCCTTTGTGGAACCTTCTCTCAGTCCCCATATATTGTTATTTTTTTCTGGGTGCTCTCCAGTGGTTCACATCTACCTATAGTATTGCATTAAGTATAACGTTATTTACATACATGTGTTCTCCACTGGACGGCGAGGCCCTTGGAATTCAAAGTGGTGCCTTGCTTACATTCCCATCTGTATCCCTTAAGCTCAGAGGCAGGTACAGAGCAGGTTTCCAAAAGTGGCATACAGAACAATTTGGATTTAGGGGACATTCAGTGAGGACCAGATGAACAGGAGTGTTTCCTGATATTGTGAGACAGTGGTCTTGCAAAAGTAGACAAGTGGGTATACTTTGGAAAGCAGGAGGAACCGTAGGAGACAAAAGGGTAGTTTGGATACCTCTTCAAATTCTATACATCGTATTCAATAACTGTCATTGTTTTCCAGAAAATAATCTATATTTAAGCCCTTGAAGGTAGAGTAAGAGTAATAGAAATAATTTGAGAAAATAAGAACAGATCATTTTTGTTTTTTTTTTTAAATGCAAGGTACAGGCTGGGCGTGGTGGCTCACGCCTGTAATCCTAGCACTTTGGGAGGCTGAGGCTGGTGGATCACCTGAGGTCAGGAGTTTGAGACCAGCCTGGCCAACATGGTGAAACCCCGTCTCTGCTAAAAATACAAAAAATTAGCCAGGTGTGGTGGCAGGCACCTGTAATCCCAGCTACTCAGGAGGCTGAGGCAGGAGAATCACTTGAACCTGGGAGGCAAAGGTTGCAGTGAGCCAAGATTGTGCCACTGCACTCCAGCCTGGGCGACAAGAGCAAAACTCCATCTCAAAAAAATTAAAAAGAAAAATAAATAAATAAATAGATAAAATAAAATGCAAGGTATAGAATTGTCAAGAACTGTTTAAAAGGATACGTTATCCATCCAGGTAATTCTTATTTAAGAGATTTTTTTTTCCCCTCAAATACGTAAACAATTGAGATCTTAGTACTTTTTTTGTTTTGTTTTGTTTTTAAACTGAATAGTATTCTGTTTCTCCTAGTTGCAAGCCGGCCTGATCCACTCTGGTCTTGGAGAACTCCTTTATCTTTTGGTGGACCCTAACTGTAGTCTCTAACTCTTGAAAGTGGGAGATGGCTAGCTCTGTAGTGCTTATAATGAAAGTCACACACATAACTATCAATCAGATCCATATTTAGTTGTGAGCAGGCATATGTCAGTTTGTGCAACGTGTTTGGCTAATTTGATGATGCCCCAGTTCTTTGAACTTTTAGTGTTCTAAGCACATCTTGTCTACAGTGTTTACTGGAGACAGCAAAAAATATTCTAAGAAAATTCAGTGAACCTTAGAGTTGGAATCAGAGTGTTTAGAGATGAAGTGTCAGACCCCTGCCCTGATGAAGAGCCTGGCTCAGTCACCACACTGAGGAGCTCCTTGAGCCTCTTGATACTCGCTTACTCCTGACCTCCCAGCACCTCCATCCTCAGGCAGTCTCTGACCTGTTTTCTGTCACTGTAGATTAAGAGTTGGCAAGCTTTTCCATAAAAGAGTAGATAGAAAATACTTGAGGCTTTTTAGCCAGACACTCTCTCTCACAAATACTAAATGACTGGGTTGTGGTAAAGCAGTCATAGAAAGTATGTAAATGGGTGGCTGTGGATGTATTTCAATAAGATTATATTTATAGAAACAAGCAGGGGGTCAGATTTGACCCATGGACTATAGCTTGTCAAACCCTGCTATTTAAATTTTCTAGAACTTTATATTAAAAATGGTATATATGTATATTTGGTCTGGCTTCTTTCATTCAGCATAATTATTATGAGATTCATCCATGTGGTAGCATACATCAATAATTCATTCCTGTTATTACTGAGTAGTATTCCATGGTTTGAGTATTACACCATCTTTTTGTACACACATTCACCTGTTGATGGATATTTGAATTGTTTCCAGTTCTTGACCATCAAAACTAAGACTACAGCAAACATCGTGTTCAATTCTTTGTGTTACCTTATGCTTTAATTTCTCTTGGGTAAATACTTGAAAGTGGAATGGTGGGTTCATATTGGTAGGTGTATGGATCATGTTTTTAAAAACTGCCACGCTGTTTTCCGGAATGGTTGAACCATTTTACACTCCCACCAGCAGTGCTTGAAAGTTCCTGTTCCTTCATCTCCTTGTCAACATTTACTTTAGTCAGTGTTTTTGATTTTACACATTCTAAGGTAGATAGTGAAATGTCATTGTGGTTTTACTCCACGTTTCCCTAATGGCTAGTGATATTTGACCATCTTTTCATGTAATCATTTGTCAATCTTATGTCTTCTTTGTTGAAGTGTCTGTTTAAAATATTTCCCATTTGAATTGTGTTGTTTACTTGTTGAATTTGAGAATTAAAAATTTATATATATATATTCTAGATATTAGTCTTTTATCAGATAGATGATTTGGAAATATTTTCTCCCAGTTTGTGGCATTTCTCTACTTTAACTTAACAGTGCCCTTTGAAAAACAGGAATTCATAATTTTGATAAAGTCCAATTAATATGATTTTTTTCTTTTCATATATTATGTTTTTACTGTTATGTCTAAGAAAACCTTTAACTCAGGGTCAGAGATTTTTTCCTATATTTTCTTCCAGAAGTTTTATAGTTGTGTTTTACATTCAGACCTATAATCCATTTGTATTAAATTTCGTATATGATTAGTGAGCAGATCAAAGTAAAAGTTCTTTTGCATGTGGATATCCAACTGTTCCAGCACCATATGTGGAAAAGACTTCTCCTTCTGTATTAAACCACCATTGAATCTTTGCAAAAAAATCAATTGACCATAAATATATGGGTATATTTTTGGATTCTCCATTGATCAATTTATTTTGATGCAATATCACATTGTTTTTATTGTTGTTGCTTTATAATAAATCTTGAGGTGAGATAAAGTATATTCTCAAACCTTGTTCTTTTTTATTTTTTTATAAAAGTTGCATTGGTTATTCTAGTCCTTTGCATTCTTATGTGAATTTTAGAATCAGTTTGTTAATTTCTACACAAAAGAGTGCTGGGATTTATACAAAACATTCTTAGGAAAAATGAAAGAAGACATAAATAATTGGAGCTATATATTGTGTTTATAGATCAGAAGCCCCTATATTGTTAAAATGTTAATTTTCCCCAAATTAATTCGTACATACCTCTCTGCTTCAAAGGAGTCCACCCTGTAGTCCCTGATATTAATGGCCATATATGTTATATTACATAGCCAAGGAACTTTGCAGGTGGATTTAGGTTATAAACCTCCATAAAGGGAGATTTTTCTGGATTATCCAGGTAGATCCAATGTAATCATAAGGGCCCTTAAAAATAAAGTGAAAGATAGAAGAGCCAGTTAGAGAGCTGTGACAGAAGAAGAGGCAGGAGAGATTTGAAGTGTGAGAGGGACATTGCTGACTTTGAAGATGGAGGAATGGAGGCATGAGGCTGGGAATGTGGGTGCCTCTGGAAGCTCAGCACAGCTTTTGGGTGACAGCCAGTAAGGAAACAGGGGCCTCAGTCTTACAGCTGCAGGGAACTGGATTATGTCAACACCTGAATGAGCAGAGAAACAAATCCTCCCCTAGAGCCTCCAGACAGGAACGCAGCCCTGCCAACACTGTGGCTGTGACTTCATGAGACTCTAAGCAGACATCCTGCTGTGAACCAGCATCCTCTGACCTATGAAAATCATGATATAATTGAAAACTAGTACACCTTTTTATATCTATAGCATCTATAGTCATGCCACTGATCTTCTTCTTGATACTGGAAATTTTGTTTTCTCACTTGCTCTATTCAGATTGGCTAAAAGTTGACTGATCTTACTGAGCTTTTGAAAGAAGCCAGTTTTGGTATCATTGCTTTTCTCTAACATTTTTTCCATTTTCTATTTCATTGATTTCTACTCCAGTCTTTATTATTTCTTTTCTTCTACTTATTTTGGGTTTCATTTGCTCTAACCAGTAAGGAAAAATATAACCAGAACAATTAAACAAAAACTTTATGAAAGAAGATATATGGATGTCAAGTAAGTAAAAGATGCTCAGTGTTGGCTGGGCATGGTGGCTCATGCCTGTAATTCCAGCGCTTTGGGAAGTCAAGGTGGGTGGATCACTTGAGGTCAGGAGTTCGTGACCAGCCTGGCCAACATGGTGAAACCCCATCTCTACTGAAAATACAAAAATTAGCTGGGCATGGTGGTGCACACTTGTAATCCCAGCTACTCGGGAGGCTGAGGCAGGAACATCACTTGAATCTGAGAGATGGAGGTTGCAGTGAGCTGAGATTGCACCACTGCACTCCAGCCTGGGCCACAGAGTAAGACTCCATCTCAAAAAAAAAAAAAAAAAAAAAAAAAGATGCTCAAAGTCATTAGTCATGAGAAAAATGCAATTGGAAACCACAGTAAGATCCCACTACACAACCATTGGAATGTCTAAAATCAGAAAGGCTGATCAAATGTTGGTGAAGATGTGGAAGAACTGGAATTCTCATCCACTGCTGGTGGGATTGTAAAATGATAAAATTATTTTGGAAAATAGTTTTGCAGTTTCCTAAAGCATAAATGTTGCATATAACATTGCATAGTATTAAGCTATCATATATCCAACCATCTCATTCCTAGGTATTTAGCCAAGAGAACTGAAAGCATGTGTACATACAAAAACTTGTATATGAATGTTCATAGCATGTTTATTTGAAATAGCCAGACACTGGAAACAATCCATGTGTCCATCAATAGGTGAATGGTATGTACATTGTAATATAGCCACACACTAGCATACTACTACACATTAAAAAAGATGAACTACTGACTCACACACCAACAGCGAAGGATCTTTTTTTTGTTTTTGAGATGGAGTTTGGCTCTCATTGCCCAGGCTGGAGTGCAATGGCGTGATCTCGGCTCACCACAACCTCTGCCTCCCAGGTTCAAGCAATTCTCCTGCCTCAGCCTCCCAAGTAGCTGGGATTACAGGCATGTGCTACCACATCCAGCTAATTTTGTATTTTTAGTAGAGACGGGGTTTCTCCATGTTGGTCAGGATGGTCTCGAACTCCTGACCTCAGGTGATCTGCCTGCCTGGGCCTGCCAAAGTGCTGGGATTACAGGCGTGAGCCATCGGGCCCGGCCAACAGTGAAGGATCTTAACATGATTATGCTGAATATTAATTTTTTTGTCTGGATGATCTGTCTATTGAGAAACAGTCAGACAAAAAATACAACAGGTGGGGCATGGTGGCTTATGCCTGTAATCCCAGCAGTTTGGGAGTCTGAGGTGGGCGGATCACTTGAGGGCAAGAGTGTGAGACCAGCCTGGTCAACATAGTGAAACCTCATCTCTACTAAAAATAGAAAAAGTTAACTGGGTGTGGTGGTGCATGACTGTAATCCCAGCTACTTGGGAAGCTGAGGCTCCCCAGCTTGAGCCTGGGAGGTGGAGGTTGCAGTGAGCTGAACTGCAGCCCAGCCTGGGTGACAGAGCAAAACTGTGTCTCAAAAAGGCCCCCAAAACAACAACAACAAAAAACTATGGTGCAATTTACAGAAAACCTGCATTTATAGAAAATTTAAGCCAATCTATAGTGAAAGAAAAGAGATGAATGGTTTACTGGGAGTGTGGGGGTTGACAAGAGGAGCTAGAGGAGGTACAAGAACATAGGCATGAATAAACTTGTGGGTCAATGGGCATGTTCATTATCTTGATTACAGTGTTGGTTTCATGAGTATACACATAACCAAATAGAAATTATATGCATTTTACATATATGCGGTTTGTAGTATGACAATTATTCTTGATAAAGAAAAAGGCAACCAGAGGTTAAAGAAATGAATCGGTGTGTTAACAGTGGAACTATATCTCTATGTCTATTTACTTATTTTCAGGATGGATTGCTATTCTGGGTGCCATCTGGTTGCTAATTTTAGCTGATATTCATGATTTTGAGATAATTCTACACAGAGTGGAATGGGCAACCCTTCTGTTTTTTGCAGCGCTCTTTGTTCTGATGGAGGTAAGATTTTAGAACTTTTGCCATATGGCATTTTACCTGATTTTTGTATTTCATGTTTTATTTGGTGAATGAAGAAAGCCTACATCTATTAATCTTTCCTTATATTCTCTAAGTGGAAAACAATGAAGGTTGTAATTGGACTATTTTAAGTTAACCAGCTTTACCTTAGCCACTGAGAGATTTCTGACAGCACTGCGTATTTGTTTTTTTTCTTGAATTATCTTTGTGGTTTGTAAACTCATTCTAATTTCATTTTCTATAAAATATAATTTACTATAAGTTGAGTTTGGAGCTAAATTACTTATAACAGCAAGTTTAGGAGGTAGTGTGACCTTGATGATCTGTTTCATTTTGTGTGATATTTGAGTAACATTTCCGTTATCACGGAAAAGACTACATCAGTAATATGTATTGTTTCCATTACAATTGTTGTTACAAAATTACTCACAAAATCTTGAGACTTCATTTATAAATTTGTGTCCTCCTCAAACAGAAAGGTTTACTAACACAGAAAGATACTACTCCTCAAACCATGCCCCCAGCACCACTTCTTTGCATTTCTTCAATTTAACATGTAACGTGCTTTCATTTTCATTAAGCTAGAAATATTTTCTAATTTTCCATATAATTTCTTTTTTTGACTTATGGGTTATTTCAAAGTATGTTTTGAAGGCTCCAAATATTTGTGGATTGCCCATGTTTCTTTATGTTTTTGACTTTTAATTTAATTCAGTTGTGGTCACAGGACATACATTGCACAATTGCAGTCCTTTTAATTTTATTAAGACTTGTTTTACGGTCTAGCATTTGATCTGTCTTGGAGAATATTCTACTTGTGATGTGTATTCTGCTGCTGTTTTGTGGAGCATTCTATCAGTGTTAGATTTGTCTTGCTTGTTAACAGTTCTGTTTGTCTCTTGCACATTATTAGTGATATTCTGTGAAACTGTTCTATCAGTTATTGAGAGTGGGGTATTGCAGTCTTCAACTATTTTGTTGGATTGGGTATTTTTCCTTTCAAGTATGTCAGCTTTTGCTTCATGTATCTTGAGGATCGGTTGTTAAGTGTATATACTTTTATAATTATTACATCATCCAAATGAATTGAACTTTATCATTACTAAATGTCTCTTTTTCTCTGGTAATGTTTTTGTCTTAGGGTCTATTTGCCTGATACTGGTATAGCCACTTCAGCCCACTTTTGTTTACTGTTTGCATGACTTATCATTTTAAAAATGATAAAATCTAGCCTGACAATTTCTACATTTTAATTGAAATATTCAATCCACCCCCATTTAATACTTATTCATACGCTTGGCTTCACGTCTGCTACTTTGCTATTTTCACTATATCTCATATCTTTTTTCCTCTCTTTATCTTTTACTGCTTTCTTACTGTGTTAAATTACATTTTATTGTATACTAATTCTCTTCTTTGTTTCTATTTTTAAAACTGTGTTTTTGAGTTATTTTATTATTGATTGCTCTAAGGGTTAAACTGTACATCTTAGTTTAATATGATCTGTGCTGGATTAATACTAACTTATCTCGTGGAAAATACAGACATTGTGTTCCAGTAGAGCTCCATTTGTCCTCCCTTGTTTGTGCTTTGATGGTCACGTATGTTGTACTTCTACGTTATATGCCTAACATATATAATAGTTTTATCATTTCAATTATTTTGTGCAATGTATTTTATATTAAGAGAAAAAAGAAAAATGATAAAAAAAAGACATACAATTGACCCTTGAACAACATGGATTTGAACTGCATGGGTCTACTTATATGGAGATCTTTTTCAATAAATGTATGGGAATTTTTTTTGGAGATTTGTGATAATTTGAAAAAACACAGATGAACTGCATAGCTTAGAAATATTGAAAAAAATTAAGTCAAAGTTAGGTATGTCACATAGACCAATGGAACAGAACAGAGAGCCCAGAAATAAGGCTGTACACCTATGACCATCTGATCTTCGACAAAGCTGACCAAAACAAGCAGTGGGGCAGGCAGTCTCTACTCAATAAATGGTGCTGGGAGAACTGGCTACCCACATGCAGAAGATTGAAATCGGACCCCTTCCTTATACCATATACAAAAATCAACTCAAGTTGGATTAAAGACTTAAACGTAAACCCCAAACTATAAAACCCTGGAAGACAATCTAGGCAATACCATTCTGCACATAGGCACGGGAAAAGATTTTATGACAAAGGTGCCAAAAGCAATTGCAACAAAAACAAAAATTGACAAATGGGATCTATTAAACTAAAGAGCTTCTGCACAGCAAAAGGAACTATCAACAGAGTAAACAATCTACAGAATGGGAAAAAAATTTAGCAAATTATGCATCTCTGACAAAGGTCTAATAGGAACCAAAGTCTATAAGGAACTTAAACAAATTTACAAGAAAAAGAAACCAAACAGCTGCACTAAAAAGTGAGCAAAGGACATGAATGCTTTCAAAAGAAGACATACACGCAGCCAATAAGTGTATGATAAAAGCTCAATATCACCTATCATTAGAAAAATGTATATCAAAACTACAATGCAATGCCATCTCACACCAGTCATATAGCTATTATTAAAGAGTCAACAAATAACACATGCTAATGAAGTTGCAGAGAAAAGAGATCACTTATACACTGCTGGCAGGAGTGTAAATTAGTTCAACCATTGTAGAAAGCAGTGTGGTGATTCCTTAAAGAGCTAAAGAGCTAAAAAACTGAATTGCCATTTGACTCAGGAAATCCCATTACTGGGTATATATAAAAAAAGAATATAAATTCTTGTACTGTAAAGACATATGCACATGTGTGTTCATTGCAGCATTATTCACCATAGCAAAGATATGGAATTGATCTAAATGTCCTTCAGTGGTAGACTGGATAAAGAAAAGTGGATAAAGTGGTAGACTGGATAAAGTAAAGTATATGTATAAACATATACACCATGGAACACTATGCAGCCATTAAAAAGAATGAGGTAATATCTTTTGCAGAAACATGGATGGAGCCAGAGGCCATTACCTTTAGCAAACTAACACAGGAACAGAAAACCAAATACCACATGTTTTCACTTATAAGTGGGAGCTGAATGATGAGAACACATGGACACAAAGAGGGGAACAACACACACTGGGGCCTACTGGAGGATGAAAGGTGGGAGGAGGGAGAGGATCAGGAAAAATAAGTAATGGGTGCTAGGCTTAATACCTGGGTGACAAAATAATCTGTACAACAAACTCCTGTGACATGAGTCTACCTATATAATAAACCTGCACATGTACCCCTGGACTTAAAAGTTAAAAAAATTGTCCTTTGAACCAGTTATTAAAAAAAAAATGATGGTGGGTTGTGAGTGGCCAGGGGCCAAAATAAGCACATGGGAGAAACAAACACAGAAACACACACACACACACACACACACACACACACACACACACACCCCAAACAAAAAACCACAAAAGCTATGTCATGAATGCATAAAATTTTTGTAGATACTAGTCTATCTTATTTACTCCTATAAAATATACACAAATCTATTATAAAAAGTTAAAATGTATCAAAGCTTACACAAACACAGACAGTACATGGTACCATTCACAGCCAAGGGAAATGTAAACAAATGTAAAGATGCAGGATTCAATCATAACTGTGTAAAGTTAACTGTGGTACATACTGTGCTACTGTAATAATTTCACAGCCACCTCCTGTTGCCATTGCAGTGAGTGAGGATCTACTTAAGATGCTATATGGTGCTGATCATCTCCATGAGTGGTTAATCCCTTCAGTAAATTGCCTATTGCAGTAAAAAGTGATCTCTCAATTCCCATGTATTTCTTGGTTTACTGCAATGCTTAAACCGTGGATGACACATGGGACCCATAGCAAGTGCCATTAGTGATGCTGGAAGTGCTCTAAAGAAGCAGAGAAAGGTCGTAACATTACAGGAGAAAGTTGGATTGCTTGATATGTACCATAGATTGCGGTCTGCAGCTGCAGTTGCCTACTATTTCTGACAGATGATTCACCTTGTAAACAGACGATGTAAACTTATGGTATCGATAAACACAGTACAGTACTGTAAATGTAGTTTTTGTTTCTTATGATTGTCTTAATAACATTTTCTTTTCTGTAGCTTACTTTATTGTAAGAATACAGTGTATAAGACATATAACATACAAAATACATGTTTCAGGAGTTTGAGACCAGCCTGGGTAACATAGTGAGACTTCATCTCTATAAAAATATTAAAAAATTAGCTGGCATGGTGGTGCATGCCTGTAGTCCCAGCTACTCAGGAGGCTGATGTGGGAGGAGCACTATGCTCCTGGGAGGTTGAGACTGCAGTGAGCCACGATTGTGCCACTGCACACCAGCCTGGATGACAGAGCAAGACCATGTATCAAAACAAAAGAAAATGAAATATGTGTTAATTGACTGTTTATGTTATTGGTAAGGCTCCCAGTCAATAGTAGGCTGTTAGTAGTTAAGATCTGGGGGAGTCAAAATTTATACACGGATTTTCGACTTTGTAGGGGGCTGGTGCCCCTAAAACCCACAATGTTTGAGGGTCAGTTTGTGTGTGTGTGTGTGTGTTTGTGTGTATCTTTCCTACAATTCTTTACTTCTTTGTATGGATTTAAGTTGCCACATGATGTCAGCCTGAAGAATTTCCTTTAGTAGATCTTGTAAAGCAAATCTTTTGGAAACAAATTCTCTCTTTGTTTATGTGTGAATGCCTTTATTTTGTCTTTTTAAAATACAGTTTTGTTTCACTTATATAGAATCCCTGATAGTTTTTTTTTCTTTCACCAGTCCAAATCTGTCATTCTGACTTCGGGTCTCCATTGCTTCTTATGAGAAATTAGCTGTTAATCATTGTTTCCCCTATATGCGCATTGAGTCATTTTTCTGTTACTGCTTTTGAGGCTTTACTTTGTCTTTCAATAGTGTGACTATTATGCATCTAGGTGTGGATCTTTTTGTGTTTCTCCTACTTACGTGTATGTTTTTTGAAAGTTTTAACTTTTAAGATCTTTAGATTAATTTTGAAATTAATTTTGGGTATTTGGATAGTTTTTGGTTACTATTTTTCACATATATTATTCTCTCTTTTTTTAAAAAAAATTATTCTCTTCCTTTTCTGGGATTCCTATTACAGACATGTTGGTTTGCTTGATTGCGTCCCATAGGTTTTGACACTTTATTCATTTTTCTTCATTCTTTTTTCTTCTATGTTCTTCAGATTGAGTAATTTCTATTGATCTATTTTAATTTTTGATGAGTAATTTTTATGTCATCTCAATTTTATGTCATCTCAAATATTATATTGAGTCCCTCATGTAAGTGAATTTTTTATTTCACTTGTATTGTTCAATTCCAGAATTTCTATTCTGTTGTCTTAAAAATAATTTTTATTTCCTTGTGATATTCTCTACTTAATGCATCATTGTTATCATTTTTCAATTTTTAAAGCATGATTCTTTAATTCTCTAAACATATTTAAAATTCTGCTTTGAAGTCTTTCCTAACTTCAGCATCCAGGCTCCCCTCACAGATAGTTTCTATTGGCAGTTTTTACCCCAGAGCAGGGGTCACACTTTCCTTTATTTTTTGCATATCTTATAATTTTTGTAAAAAATTAGAAATTTTAGATAATGTATTTTAGCAACTGTAGATGCTGATTTATCTCCCTGAATTTGTTATTGATTTCATTTATATGAAATCATAATAAAATGTCCTTCTTTGACCCTAAAAACAATTTTTGTCTTAAGGTCAGTTTTGTCTGATGTTAGCATAGTTACTCCAGCTCTTTTTTTGTTGTTGTTGTTACTATTTGTGTGGTCTACCTTTTTCCATCTTTTTCCTTTCAATCTATTTGGGTCTTTTAATCTAATGTGACAGCAGTAAGCTCTTGTAGACAGCATACAGTTGAATCACATTTAAAAAATCTATTTAGCCCATATCTGCCCTTTAATTGGTATGTCTATTCCATTTACAGTTTATGTAAATGCTAAGAAGGTAGTATTTATATCTGACATTTTTCTATTTGTTTTTTTCCTTATCTTTGTCTCTTTCCCTGGCCTCTCTGTTAAGGCATCTGTCTTTGCTGATATCACATACAACCTTCAGGCTTCACTAATTCCCAGTTGATTGCTCTATTTAAGTCTTAAGTTTTTAAGAATAGTTTTAGGTTCACAGCAAAATTGAGGGGAAAGTAAAGAGATTTTCCATATACTCCAACCCCCACACATGCATAGCTTCCCCCATTATCAACTTCCTCCATCACAGTGGTACAGTTGTTATGATTTATGAACCTAAATTGATGCATTATAGTCATCCAGAGTCCATAGTTTATATTAGTGCTCATTCTTGGTTCTTGGTGTTGTACATTCTGTGGGTTTGGACAAGGTATAATGACATGTATCCATCATTATGGTATCATACAGAGTAGTTCCACTGCCCTAAAATTCCTCTGTGCTCCACTTGTTCATCCCTTCTTCTCCCCCAGCCCCTGGAAATCACTGATCTTATTCCTGTCTCCATAGTTTTGAATTTTCCAGAATGTCTTATAATTGGAAGAGCACAGTATGTGGTCTTTTCACATTGGCCTCTTTCATTTAGTAATATGCATTTAACTTTCCTTCTTGTCTTTTCATGGCTTAACAGCTCATTTCTTTTTAGCTCTGAATACCATTCCATTGTCTGGATGTACCACACTTTATTTGTCCACCCACCATGACTTAAGGACATCTTGCCTGCTTCCAAGTTTTGGCAATTTTAAATAAAGCTGCTACGAACGTCTATGTGCAACTTTTTGTGTGGACCTAAGTCTTCAAATCGTTTGGGTAAATATGAAGGATTATGGCCAGAGGATAATTGCACCACCTAGAGCACTCCCAAGTTGCTGA
This sequence comes from Homo sapiens, assembly GCF_000001405.40. Taxonomy (NCBI): domain Eukaryota; kingdom Metazoa; phylum Chordata; class Mammalia; order Primates; family Hominidae; genus Homo; species Homo sapiens. Next base: position 27,919,211 of record NC_000015.10, on the reverse strand, counting down.
AGTCCTCAGCATATATTCCAGGAGCTTATGGGATCGATCAGGACTATTCTTGTGTGTCTTTACTACCCAATACCTAGCACCTCCTCATATAATTGTGGGTATGAGAGTAATCATGATTCTTTGAGGAGAACTATATGATGTTTATTGTCTTGGCTATTTTATTTATACATCATGTTGGATTTCTTTAAATTTTTTCTGTATATCTTCTTTATAGCTTATTTCACTCTCCCTAATTGCTTCTTAATATTTTTCTCTTTTATCTGTACTAACCTAGGCAATTAGGGGAACCAAACTGAAAATATTGATTCAGTTACCTTGACACTGGGAAAGTCTCTTTTGTCTGTCTTCTCATTCTATTCGTTGTTATGCTGCAGTATCCCAATGATAAGTATCAGGCAGTTTCATCATGTGAGCACTAAAATGGGACAATTTATCCAGCTGCTTCCTTTAGGACCTGTATCCAATAGTGCAGGTACATGTAGCATTGGTTTTATTCATATTGATAAGTCAGAATACAATTTTGTAAAATTTCATTCTGTTGATTAAAAAAAGTTCTGGAAACTATAGGGATATAATATGTTTTCAACTAGAACAAAACAAAGAATTTTCATTTGTGACTGAAACTAATGTCAACAAAACCAACCCAACAAAGTTGCTGCTTTGTTGATGTGGACGTTAATTGAAAGAGGCACTTTTTGTGCAGAAACCAACAGGAAGGATTTCTGACTACAACTACGGGATGCATTCTTGCCTCAGTTTCCAACCTTCATGTTTTTATTTGGGTCCTCAGCAGAATATATTAATCTATCATAATTACTTATATCTTCTTGAAACTCAAGAGGTGCTGGACACAGTGGCTCTCGCCTGTAATCCCAGCACTTTGGGAGGCCGAGGCAGGTGGATCATGAGGCCAGGACTTAGAGACCAGCCTGGCCAACATGGTGAAACCCTGTCTCTACTAAAAATACAATAATTAGCCAATCCCAGATACTCGGGAGGCTGAGACAGGAGAATCACTTGAATCCAGGAGGTGGAGGTTTCAGTGAGTCGAGATCATGCCACTGCATTCCAGCCTAGGTGACAGAGTGAGACTCTGTCTCAAAAAAAAAAAAAAAAAAAAAATCAAGAGGGAGCTGAGCTTATTATTATTGCATTAACTTTGCTTGTCCTGTAACATTGTATGAATTGTGGTTTTGCAAGATGTTCAATAATTCTCCAACTTAAGTAGTCTAAAATATGGGGAGTTGAGGAACAATGGAATCTTCATGAGGTGTAACCTTAAGGAAGCCAGTTCAGATGCTTGCCTTCCCCAGGCTTCCCTGAGGGGCAGCCTAACACTCTTTCTGAAAAGTGTTAGACTTTTCGGCCCAAAAGGGACAATCAACTGGGCAAGATACTCTGACCGTCCTTTTTGAAGTAGGAAAAGCCCTATTAGGAGCCATTTTAAGGCCTGGATGCTTTCAACTCTGTTATTTTATCCTCAGATGTTCCTGTTCATTTTGCTCCCACTCATCCTTATGTAACAGGTCCTCACCTTGCTTCCCCCCTCTATGAGCAGTCTGACCATCATCATCAAGCTTACAGACCTCATTGCAGCTGGATGCAGCCTCTGGCATAATGGGGAGATGGATGGGTTGGAAGCTTTCTCATGTGCCATGAATATCACAGGACCATGAGAGCACTCCAGTGGGGATGCTCAGAGATCTGCGCACCAGTCCAGGAAGGACTCTTCCAATTCAGGCGAACAGGTTATAGTTCACATGATGTTTATGAGCACAGGCTTTCACATCAGATGGATCCATGTTCAAAGCTCAGCTTTGCTACTTCCTAGTTCTAAAATTTTAGACAAATTACTTAATACCTCTGAGCCTCAATTTTCTTATCTTTAGAATAGTCTATTAATATTAATCACGCTGCTTGTGAGAACCAAGAAGATCATATAGAAGTACTGAGCTCCATGTTGAGCTCCTAGTTGGCATTCAAAAAGTGCTATAGCCTATTATTATTATTATCATTTTTAGTAATAATTTGATTCAAAAGCTTAATTCAACCTATTCATGTTCAAACTATTCACTGTTAGCCCAGAAGAGAGTAAGGTTTGTATACAGAGGTCCTAGGCAAACTCTCTGGGCCCCACAGATCTCACACACCCAGCTCCCCTACCCCAAGCAGCCATTCCCTTCAGAGTGGCCTGCCTTCATCTTCACGCCCTGGGCTTTCATCTCTCGTTTTGCATCTGCTATCTTACACCTACCTAAGACCTCTTCCACATTTTGAGGGCTTCCTGGCCCTTTTCCTGCCATTTTGGACCTGAGTTCTCCAGCGTACGTTTTGGGTCAAATCCTTCTTCTGTCATGTTGCAGTGGCTCTGAAACAGGCCCCACTCTGAAGCACATACAGTAGGTCAGGTGTGTTCTATTTTTTGGAAAACAGTTGGAGACATTTGGGTCTATTGATTTATGTTGCACTGACTTTTGTTACTGAGGTCAGATTGTCTTCTAGAAAATTTGGTCAAACCATAGAGTAGTTGGTACAATGAAAACTGTAGGCATCTTGTCCCCTGAAATTCAAGATCAATTTTGAGTATTTCTAAATTTGGATAATGGAGCATGTTTCTGCAGATTTAGAAGGGCTTCAAAGTTAGTTAATGAATAACCTGTGTTAAGGAGTGTTATTTTACTTGTCCTTTTGTTTTATAGGGATTTGAAATGCTAAGTGTCCTTTAAATTCATGTTTAAAAATTTCTGGATGATTCTTGGATATAGGGAGTACATAACATCAATATAAACATGTTTACCCTTAGAAGAAGAAATTTTAGAATGAAACTGTTAGGCAGGAAATGTCTTTTTTTTCTTTCCAATTTGCATTTTGGGTTCGGGGGTACATGTGCAGGTTTGTTACAGGGGTAAACTGCATGTCATGGGGGCTTGGCTTACAGATTATTTCATCACTCAGGTAATAAGCGTAGGACCTGATACATAGTTTTTTGATCTTTACCCTCCTCCCACCTTCCACCCTCAAGTAGACTCCAGTGTCTATGGTTCCCTTCTTTGTGTCCATGTGTACTCAATGTTTAGCTCCTACTTATAATAATGAAAACATGCAGTATTTGGTTTTCTGTTCCTGCATTAGTTTGCTAAGGACAATGGTTTCCAGCTGCATCCATGTTGCTGCAAAGGACATGATTTCATTCTTTTTTATGGCTGCATAGTATTCCATGATATGTGTCACATTTTCTTTATTCAGTCCACTGTTGATGGGCATTTAGATTGATTCCATGTCTTTGCTATTGTGAATAGTGCTGTGATGAACATATGCATGCATGTGTCTTTGTGGTAGAATGATTTATATTCCTTTGGGTACATATACAGTAATGAGATTGGTGGGCTGAATGGTATTCTTTGAGGATCTCCAAACTGCTCTCCACATTGGCTGAACTGACTTATACTCTAATCAGCAGAATCAGCAGTGTATAAGCATTCTCTTTTCTCTGCAACCTCACCAACATCTGTTATTTTTCACTTTTTAATACTAACCATTCTGACTGGCATGAGATGCCATCTCATTTCGGTTTTGATTTGCAACATGATTAGCCATGTTGAGCATTTGTTCATATGCTTGTTGGCCATGTGTATGTCTTCTTTTGAGAAATAGCTATTCATGTCCTTTGCCCATATTTTAACAGGGTTGTTTTTTGCTTGTAAATTTGTTTAAGTCTCTTATAGATTCTGAATATTAGACCTTTGTCAGATACATAGTGTGCAAAAATTTTCTCCCATTCCATTGGTTGTCCGTTTACTGAGGTGATAGTTTCTTTTGTTATGTAGAAGCTCCTTAGTTTAATGAGGCCCCATTTGTCAACTTTTGTTTTAGTTGTAATTGCTTTTGGGGTCTTTGTCGTGAAATCTTTGCCAGGCTCTGTGTCCAAAATGGTACGTCCTAGGTTTTTGTCTAGGGTTTTTATGGTTTTAGGTTTTAAATTAAAATCTTTGATCCATCTTGAGTTGATTTTTGTATGTGATGGAAGGAAGGGGTCTGGTTTCAATCTTCTGCATATGACTAGCCAGTTATCTCAGCACCATTTATTGAACGGGGAGTCCTTTCCCCATTGCTTGTTTTTGTTGATTTTGTCAAAGATCTGATAGTTGTAGGTGTGTTATTTCTGGGTCCTCTATTCTGTTCCATTGGTCCATGTGTCTGTTTTTGTACCACTACCATGATGTTTTGGTTAACTGTAGTCATGTAGTATAGTTTGAAGCTGGGTAATGTGATGCCTCCAGCTTTGTTCTTTTTGCTTTAAACTTCCTTGGCTATTTGGGCTCTTTTTTTGGTTCCATATATATTTTGCAATAGTTTTTTTCTAATTCTCTGAAGAATATCATTGGTGTTTGATATGAATAGCATTGAATCTGTAGATTGCTTTGGGCATTATGGCCATTTTAATAATATTGATTCTTCTTATCCATGAGCATGGAAAGTTTTTCCATTTGTTTGTGTCATCACTGATTTATTTCAGCAGTGGTTTATAATTCTTGGTGTAGAGCTCTTTCACCTCCCTGGTTAGCTACATTTCTAGGTATTGTATTTTTTGTATAGCTGATGTAAATGGGATTGCATTCTTGATTTGGCTCTCAGCTTGAATGTTGTTGGTGTTTGAAAATGCTCCTGATTTTCAGCCATTGATTTTGTATCCTGAAATTTTGCTGGAGTTGTTTATCTGCTGAAGTAGCTTTTGGGCCAAGACTATGGGGTTTTCTAGGTATAAAACCATATTGTCTGTGAAAAGAGATAGTTTGACTTCCTCTCTTCCTATTTGGATGTCTTTTATTTCTTACTGTTGCCTGATTGCTCTGGCTAGGACTTCCAGTACTATGTTGAATAGGAGTGGTGAGAGAGGGCATCCTTATCTTGTTCCAGTTCTCAAAGGGAATGGTTCCAGCTTTTGCCCATTCAGTATGATGTTGGCTGTGGGTTTGTCATAGATAGCTCTTATTATTTTAAGGTATGCTCCTTTGATACCTAGGGATGTTGAATTTTATCAAAAGCCTGTTCTGCATCTATGGCGATGATCATGTGGTTTTTGTTTTTAATTATGTTTATGTGGTGAATCACATTTATTGATTTGCATATGTTGCACCAAACTTGCATCTAAGAGATAGAGCCTAATCATAGTGGATTAGCTTTTTGATGAGCTGCTGGATTCAATTTGCTAGTATTTTATTGAGGATTTTTGCATCTATGTTCATCAGGGATATTGGCCTGAAATTTTTTTCTTTCTTTCTTGCTTGCTTGCTTGCTTGCTTGCTTGCTTGCTTGCTTTCTTTCTTTCTTTCTTTCTTTCTTTCTTTCTTTCTTTCTTTCTTTCTTTCTTTCCTTTCTTTCTTTCTTTCTTTCTCTTTTTTTTTTTTGTTGTGTCTCTGCTAGGTTTGGTATCAGAAGAGGAGGGACTCTTCTCTAATTCACTCTTTGAGGCCATCTCATAGAATGGTACCAGCTCATCTTTAGAAAATGTCTTCATCTGACCTGATGGGCACATTAAATACAGTATGTGAAGATTTTCATGGCAGTTTTGGCCCCACTTTCTTTCAGGTTGTAGCAGTCTCTTCTTATAACAAGGATTTAGCAGCATAAGGGGAACCTCTCTTCAGTATTCCTATAGACAGAACCAACATATATGAGCTCACAATCTAAAATTGCAAAACACGTGGAGAAATAGTTTATCATGAATGAGAGCAAGCAAGACATTTTTGGATTATAATAATTTGAGAATGATGGATAACACTTTTAAGATGATGTATTTGATATATCTAATCTTTCCCTTCTTTCTTTTGAAATGCTTTTTTTTTTCAAAAACAAGGAAACAAGGAAATTTTCTTTTGAAAGAATTTTGGGCTTACATAAATATCGTAAAAAAGTATAGAGAGTCCACATTTACCCATCACCCAACTTCCCCTAAGTTAAAAATTATACAACCGTGATAAAACTATCGAAACCAGAAAATTAACATTAGTAGAATATTACTAAAACTACAAATACTATTCAGTTTCTTCAGTTTTTTCCTAATGACTTTTTTTCTGTCCAATATTCTATCCAGAATCCCACATTTCATTTAGTTATCATATGTCTTGAATTTCGTCTAAATTCTTTAGTCTATCTGGACCCTTTTGAAAAGTATTAGTTAGTTACCTTGTAGAGATTTCTCAGTTTGGGTTTGTCTCATGTTTTCTCATGACAGTTTTGAGGCTATGAAGTTTTGGCGAGATCACAGAGGTGATGTGCCTTGTCTAGTGCATCATATTGGGGTACAAACATTGGCATGTCCTATTACTGAAAGTGTTAACATCGATCACTTGGCTCATGTGGTGTCTGCCAGGTTTCTGTATTGTGAAGTGGAGCCCTGGCAAATTATCTTGTGGGGAAATACTTTGAGATTATACTAACATTGTGTTTTTCCTCAAACATTTTCTTACTGATTTTAGCATTTGTCAGTAGCTCTTTGCCTCTAATCATTATGACTGTAGAGTTTGCCTAATGATGATTTTGTATTATCCTTATTGCTTCTATTAATACATTTATTAACTGGAGCTTATCTATAAGGAAGAGCTATCCTTCTCCTTTATTTATTTACATTTGTAAAAGTTCATGGATGTTTATTTTATTCTATGTGTTGTAAGTCGGTACTATTGTTATTTATTTTGTTGCTCAGATTATTCCAGTTTTGACCACTGGGAGCAGCTTCGGTGTCCATTTGGCTCCTGTCGTCTTTAGACACATCCTCATCAATTTTCAATCAGTTTTTCATTTTCTCACATCATAAAATGTTCCTGAATCATTTTGCATTTTGCCTGCTCTTGCCCTGGAATCAACTGCCTCTCAAAAGATTTCTCATTCCTTGTATTGGGGAATGGTGTTTAGAAATCAAAATCTGGATGCTTGGTGTGTGTGTAGCAATTTAGATGTCGCTGAATCTAGGCCTCCGCAATCAGCATAGTTGGGCATATGTGTTTGTATACCAACACCCATATCCACACATCCATATCTGTATCTATATATTAATTTACTCGTCTATGTGTTTAAAACCTTCAGATCATATTGATTCCCTGAATTCCAATCCAGCACCATAAGATTTGCCTCTTGCTCTCACTGTCTACAATATATACTCACTTATTTGTTCAATTCCTAGCATACACCTAAAGTAGTTACAGAATTGCTAACTCATATATTTGTGAGAAATAGATTTACTAACTCAACTACAGTATTTGTGTAGACTTCTTTTTGTCTTTAGTCTTACAGTAGCCTGTCAAAATATGGTTTTCTGAAATTTCTTAAATTAATTCTTTTCTTCTCCATAGCCTTCAGTATGTTTATGTTATTTATTTGTAATGCACTTATTGGGGCTGGGATTGCTGTGATTTGGATACTTGTCCCTCCAAATCTCATGTTGAAATCTGATCTCTAGTGTTGAAGGTGGGGCCTCATGGAAGGTGTTTGGGTCATGGGGGGTGGATCCTCTAAGAATGGCTTGGTGCCATCCTCATGGTAATGAATGAGTTCTCACTCTATTACTTCGTGAGAGACCTGGTTGTTAAAAGAGCCTGGCACCTCCCCCTTCTCTCTTGTTTTCTCCCTCACTTCTGCTCCTGCCATGTGATCTCTGCACACCAGCTTTCCACTATGAGGGGAAGCAGCCGGAGGTCCTCGTCAGATGCAGATGCTGGTGCCATGCTTGTTCTACAGCCTGCAGAACTGTGAGCCAAATAAACCTCTTTTATTTTCTCTTTTCTTTTTTCTTTTCTTCTTGAGACAGGGTCTCATTCTATTGTGCTTGAAGTGCAGTGGCACAATCACTGCAGCCTCAACCTTTCCAGGCTCAAGGAATCCTCCTAACTACAGCCTCCCAAGTAGCTGGGACTACAGGCTTATACCACCACACCTGGCTAATTTTTGTATTTTTTGTAGAGACAGGATTTTGCCATGTTGCCCGCAGGCTGTTCTTTTCTTTAAATTACCCAGCCTCAAGTATTTCTTTATTGCATCATAAATGGACTAAGATGGGATATTTGAACCATTACCATGGTTCTAAGAATCAAAGCCATACAGAAATGTATATGAAAGGAAGTATCACTCTCTCCTCATGCTTACTATCCTGTTCTCCTTTGCTCATCTTTCTACCTTACCTAGATCTTTCCTGTAAGTAGCTGATGTACCTGTCTTGTATTTCTTTTCTTTTCTTTTTTTTCTTTCTTTCTTTTTTTTTAGATGGAGTCTCACTCTGTTGCCCAGGCTGGAGTGCAGTGGCATGATCTCGGCTCACTGCAACCTCTGCCTCCTGGGTTCAAGCGATTCTCCTGCCTCAGCCTCCTGAGTAGCTGGGACTACAGATGCCCTCCACCATGCCCAGCTAATTTTTGTATTTTTAGTAGATGCGGGGTTTCACTGCATTGGTTAGGCTGGTCTCGAACTCCTGACTTTGTGATCCACCTGCCTCGGCCTCCCAAAGTGCTGGGATTACAGGTGTGAGCCACCACACCCAGCCGTATGTTTTTTTTTTTTAACATAAATAAGCACATACAACTGTTTATTTTGTATCCCCTTCTTTATTACTTGAAGAATAACATAGTGTAGATAATCTTTCACATTTTGCTTTTTATAAGCTTAATGTTATGTCTTGGAAATCACTCCTAATCAGTTCACAGAAATCTTCCCAATTCTTTTTTATAACTATATAGTACCCCATTTTGTGAATGTGCCATCGTTTATTCAACCTTCCTTCTACATAGAGGCATTTAGGTTGTCTCCAGTCTTTTGTGATTACAAACAACACTACGGTGAATATTTTTGTATTGTTAGAGGTGTACCTTCAGGGTATATTTCTAGAAGTCAGATCACAGAGTCAAAGGTAAGTGCATGTTTTATTCTTCATTGCCAGATTTCCCTCTGCAAGAGTTGTGCTGGGTTATACTCCCACTGGCATTATGTGAGTGTGGCCATTTTCCTAGTCTGCCTGACAGAATGTCATAATTTTTCATTTTGTCAGTTTTATGAAAATAGTATCTCAGTGCTGTTTTCATTTGCATTTCTTTAATGATAAGTGAATTTGAACTTTTTTTTTTCATGTTTGAAGGCCATTTTTGAATCCTTTTTGGTTAATTGTGCATTCATGTCAGTGTCCTGTTTTTCGATTGCGTCTTTGTTTCACACTGTTCAAGGGTTCTTTATTTATTAGGGATATTAGCTCTTTGTGGTATAGACTGCAATTATTTACTCCTAGTTAGTTGTTTTGTGACTTTTTATAGTGTGTCTTTGTTTATTTTGGTCATGTAATTTTAAGACACTTTATGTAGACAGATTTACTAGTTATGTCTCTGGATTTTCAGTTTTATATAGAAAGGCTAAATAGAAAATCACCCATTACTTCTATGCTATCTTATTTTACATTTAAATCTCTAATACATTTGGGTTTTTTTCTTGCATATAGTGTGAAATATGGAATCTAATTTTATTTTATTTTTCCAAGTGACTACCTGGTTGTCCCAGTACCATTTATTAAACTGGACACTTGTACTCCAGTGATTTGAGATGTCAATTTTATCCTACATTAGCTTTTCATATGTCCTTGGTCCTATTTCTGAACTTCCTATTATATTACATGTCTATTTGTCTGTTAATGGACCAGCATCAAATTGTTTGAGGCTTTATAATATGTTTTAATGTCTGGTAGGGCTAGTTATGTCCCCTTTTTAGTTTTTCTTTTTCAGTGCTTTTTGGGATATTCTTAATATTTCTTTTTTCTTATGAACATTAGTATCAACTTGTCTAACTCAATTATGAAATAGCTTGCTGACATTTTTGATCAAGATTGCATTGAATTCATACATTAATGTGGCAATAGCTGTCATCTATATATTGTTAATTAATTTAATCTGAGAACAGGATGTGTCTTTGTATTTGATCAAGTCTACTTCTGTGTCTTTCAGGAATGTTTTAAAATTGTGTTGTATAATTTTTGCACATTTTTTGTTAAAGGTATTATAAAATATTTAATCTTTGTTGATATTATGCATGTGGTTTTCTTTGACAGTAAGTTCTCTACTGTTTATTTTTTTGTGTATATAGAGGCCATTGGTTTTTATAAGTTAATTTATCCTTAGTTGATATCCCTGTCTAATGTTAAATAGTAGCAGAAATAAAGGGTAAACACAGCAGGCCTATGAATGCCATGCTTAGAAAGGTCTACTTGCCAGGTTAGTCCTTGGCTGGCATCTGGGAACTCAAATTTCAGAAGTATTCCCACCATTATCTAACTAATAAGGACAGTTTACTGTGCCTAGACTGTTTATGCAAACAATTTGATTTATGCTAAACACCTGTTTTCTTTCTGGGAGTCTGGAATTTTGGTATATGTTAGGCAGAGGATGTTTATGTGTCAGACCCCAATAAAAACCTGAGTCTCTAATGGGCTTCTCTGGGCAGGAACATCACACACATGTTGCTACATTTTCATTGCTGGGGCACTCTGTGAGCCCCCACCATGGGAGGAAGAGCGAGAAGGAAGCCTCACATGGATCTGTACTCACGTGGACTCCACATTCGTCTTTTCCCCTTATGATCTGGCTGTGTGTCCTTACTTCATGGCTGTAATGAATGGTAGTCAGGTGTGCAACTGCATGCTGACTCGCAGAATTCCTCTAGAAAATCTCCAAGTGTCAGGATGGTCTTGGAGATTCTGACACACTGACATAGTGGAAATGCCTTTAGTATTTCTCTATTAAATATGATACTGGCTTTAGGATTAGATATATATACCTAATGTAATTTTTTATCACATTAACAAAGTATCCACCAATTCCTACTTTCTTGAGTGTTTTAAGCAAGAATGGGTGTTGAAATTTGACAAAGATTTTTTCCCCCTAGTATTTATGGAGATCATCATATTATTTTTCACTTAGATCTATTAATAGAGTGTATGGTACTAATGAATTTCCTAATATTGAACCAACCTTGAATTCTGGAATGAATTATCTTTTTTATGATTTATTATTTTCTTAATGTGGTGGTCTTTTTGCTAATATTTCATTTTCTATTTGGCATTGATATTTATTAGTAATTCATGATATTCATAAGTAATACTTTTCTGTAGTACTCTTTTTTTTTCTTAATGAGTCTTTACGTGGTTTAGGTATCATTGTCACACTTGCTTCATAAAGGGAGTTAGGAAAATTTACCTTCTTTTCAATAATCTGAAATAATTTATAGATAATTGTGACTATCTGGTTTTTGAGGGCTTGATACAATTCCCCTGTGAGACCATCTTGGCCTGGCTCTTTTTTGGGAGTGGGCTAGTTATTTCTTCAATAACTTTTTATTTCTTTGGAAATAGGTCTGTTTAAGCTTTCTAAATCAGATGGGGTCAATATTGGCAATCTGTATTTCTCTAGGGAACTATCCATTTCACCTAGGGTTTAAAATTTATTTTCACAGAAGTTTCCAAATTAGTCATTTATGATTTAAATTTTACTTCTGTTTCAATGATTATTTCCTTGTTGTTCTTTCTTATTTTGAATATTTGTGCTTTTTCCCCCTTTTCCCCTTAATCAAGTTAGATTGTGGTTTGTCCATCTTGTTAATTTTTTTCAAAACAACAACTGGGAGTTGGTTAATTAATATACTGTTTTTATATTCTCCATGTCATTAATTTCTGCTTTAACTTCATTATCTCCCTCCTTTATTTGGTGGACTTTGTTTTTTTCTAGTTTTTAGAATTGGATATTTAATCTTTTTTTCAGTGTTGTTATTAAATGTGTTTTGTGCAATGATTTTCCTCTGATTACTGCTTTAAATGCATCCCTTAAATTTTGATATGTAGTGTTTTCATCATTTTTTAAAAATTGTAATTTCTGTTTCTATTTCCCACAAGAATTGTTTCAATAGAACATTTTTAACTTTCCTGGCAGAAGGACCTTTCTGTTTTTTGTTTTTCTTAGTAATTTTCTAGCTTGGTTGCACTGGCAGCAAAGAGGTTTTTGTATTTCAAAATATTTCTACTTTACGGAAGTTATTAATTGCTATGTTTTGGATATTTGTCCCCTTCAAACCTTATGTTGAAATTTGATCGCAGTGTTGGAGGTGGGGCCTGATGGGAGGTGTTTGGGTCATGGTGGCGGATCCCTTCTGAATGGCATGGTGCCATCTTTGTGGTAATGAGTTCTCACTCTATTAGTCCTTGTGAGAGCTGGTTGTTAAAAGAGCCTGGCGCCTCCCACTCTCTTGCTTCCTCTTTTGCCATGTGATCTCAGCATGCCCTGGGTCCCCTTTACCTTCCCCAACAAGTGGGAGCAGCCTGAGGCCCTCACCAGAAGCTGAGTGGATGTTGGTGTCTGCCTCTACTTTCAGAGGCTACAGAACCATGAGCCAAATAAACTGTTCTTTGTAAGTTGGCTGGATTGGAATCCTTTGTTACACTTTTTTTTTTCATTGACTTATTTTTAAAAATATTGCTCCATTGTCGTTTTGTTTATATCTTGATTTTGGAAGACCTGATGTCAGTCTGATTGTTTTGCGTGCGGCCTTGATGATTTTTATCTTCTTCCTTGAAATCTTATAGTTTTACTAGAACATGTAACAGAGATTTTAGTTTTAAATATTAGCTTCATTCTACTATTTGTTTTTTTCCCTTAAGGACTCCAATAAACAAATATTATTCCTTCATTGCCCGGGTTCCATTTCCACTACTATCTCTGCCCTTTTAATTTATCTATTTACTTATTCATTTTTATTCTCTTACTTGCTTTGATATCTTTATTTAGTGACCCTTGTTATATTTTCATTTTTGTCTATTGTCTTTTGGGCATCTTTTAATTTATTTCTCATTTCTTTTGTAAAGTGATTTCTCTGAGTACATAATAGTTGTTGCATATTTATGGGGGACATGTGATATTTTGATACAATAATACAATATGTAATGATGAAATCAGGGTAATTAGGATATCCATAACCTCAAACATTTATTGTTACTTGTTTTGGGAACATTCCAAGTCCTTTCTTCCAGTTATTTTAAAATATACAATAAGTTATTGTTAATTATAGTGGCCCTATCATGCTATCAAACACTAGAACTTATTACTTCTAACTAACCCTATTTTTTGTACCCATTAAACAACCCCTTATTTCTGAGAAAACTTGGTTACCTCATCCTTGAGTTCAATCAACTTTTTATTTCTCCCTGTTATTTGCCCATTTCTGTTTTCAAATCTCTGATTTAAGGTGGGTTTGTATTTTTGATGCTTGCTTGAGGCGTGGGCATGGCGAATTCATTTTGAAGTGTGGGCTTGTAGTTTTCTTCTACATGCTTCATGGTTATTTTCAGAGGGGATTTTCCTCAGCTGATACATGTGACATTTCCGCTCCTGATAGCGTTTGCACTAGCTCTGTAGGTGTGACTTCATTTTTCTCTTGTTCATTTAATGCCGTTGGGCTTGTTTGTGTTTTGTAGGATTCCTGGCGCTCTTCTGCGGGCAGAGCACAGTCCTCCGACTCCTGCCTTGCGGAACCCCGCTTTTACCTCCTTTTCTTTTCCACTTGACCACTTGGTTGCCCAAAGGAGCTTTCCCTTCCTCTTTGCTCTTTCCTCCCCAAGGCTGCATGCCCCCAGATGGGCCCTTTCTGTGCTCCTGCTCCTCTCACAGCACCTCCCAGGGCCCAGTTCCCCCTGGCCCGTTCTGGTGGACCTTCTGATCACCTCAGCACCCCCTCTGTCTTCCCTCAGGGCTTTCTGTCCATTTGCTGTAAAGCTTTGTTGCTGGGACAGCAGTGAGAGAGAGAGCAGGCTGGGGGTTTGGTGGTATTTTCACTTTTCTCTTTTCAGTTCAGATATTTTACACTTTTGGGGTTCTCTACCTTCACATTATGTGGAAGGCATGGCTTTGTGTAGATTTTACTTTCTTTTCTTTCTTTTTCTGTCTTTTGGGAGGAAATTTTGGGATAGAAGCAGTTATACCACTGCCATTGTCCTCAGCTGTCCACATTGCCAATTTTTTTTTTTTTTTTTTGAGGTGGAGTCTCATTCTGTTGCCCAGGCTGGAGTGCAGTGGCGCGATCTTGGCTCATTGCAACCTCTGCCTCCTGGGTTCAAGCAATTCTCCTGCCTCAGCCTCCCGAGTAGTTGGGATTACAGGCACCCACCACCACGCCCGGCTAATTTTTGTATTTTTAGTAGAGACGAGGTTTTGCCATGTTGGCCAGTCTGGTCTCGAACTCCTGACCTCAGGTGATCCGCCTGCCTTGGCCTCCCAAAGTGCTGGGATTACAGGCATGAACCACCATGCCCAGCCCCGTGTTGCCGATTTCTAAAAGGGAACCACTGTATGTTAATCAACAAACTGTGCTGTGGTGGCCACAGGCCAGGTCCATGGAGATTTCAGAGGCCTACCCAGGCAAGCTTGAGGAGGTGGGGGGTGCTGGGAATATGAGGAGTTGTTGCCTAGGGTTCCTGGCCTTGTCCTTGTACTTTGCAACTTGGTGTTCCCCAGTTTGTGCTGGAGTATCCCCAGGAGTTGGGGAGGATAGACTGTTGGCAGTAGAAGGAACTTTATACACTTAACCAAGCCCCATGATCAGTGAGGGGCTGAGCTGCTGCTCCATGTGTCAGCTCGTGTCTCCAGCCCAGCCACTGAGCTGGCCCAGGTAGGACTGAGCTCCCTCTTCTTCTCTGGGGCTGCCATTCTCAGCCACCCCCGCACCTCCCTAGTAGAGTTCCCTGAAATTGCCCTGTGTCTGGGCCAAGGATACACCCCGCACTGTAGTGTGCAGTTCTTCCGTCCTCCAAAGCTCATCTGCGCATCTCTTCTGGTTCTCTTAGGCCCCAGCATGGTCGGGAGTCTTTCTCTGTCCCCCAGCGCTCCCAGCCAACAGCACTGCTCACTTCTGCCCCGTCCACCTGAATCTGCTGCAGTGGGCCCTGCTCTGGTCCTCCTGGGGCTGGGTCGGGTGGATTTTGGAGCGAGCGAGGGAGCTGAACAATGCACTGTGGGCTGGCTTCCCTTGTTGCTGCTCCGGCAGGACGGTATCTCCACAAAGGTTCAGAGGCGAAAGGAAATGAGAACGGGAGCTATGACTTGGATTCACAGGGAAGCTGAATAAAGGGAAAGGAGAGAGTTTAAACTTATCTGCAGGCATCATGTTAAATGTAATGTTTTCTTGACAAATAGCCAGCACACTGCACTATTTTTAAAAATCCCCTCATTAAAAGCTAAGACCAATTTCTTACATATGGAAGAGTTTCTATGCTACAGGTTATTCTAATGAGAAAAGAAGAAAAGTGACTTACAATACTATACAATACCATCACATGAAATATTCATGTAAAAATTCTTTTAGAACAAGAAGACACATTCTTATAGGTAAGAAATGCTATGCAGATATTAAAAATTAATTCCTGAGCACAAGAGTGAGCCAGGGTAATGCGAGTGCAGTTTGTCCAGAGTTTAAAAACCAGGACCTGGGGTTCCCAGGCCTTGAAGCCATCACTAAGGACCTAAGCCTCGCTCTCCACTCCCGCTAGGCCGCAGGGACCCGCTCCTGGGGGATGGAGGGCAGGAAGCAGGGGGCGAGGGGAGTTCCAAGCTCCTGGGGGAAGCCCGGGACTTTCCAGGGTTTTCTTCTCAGTAATAGAAAGTGCCTCCGGGGCAACAGAGCAAGACTCCATCTCAACAAAACAACAACAAAAACAAAACAAAAAGAAAGTGCCTCCTAGAGAGTAGGTGGGAGTTGGAAGTTCCTTCAGTCTTCATTTCCATCTCCCAAGCGACACTTTCTGAGGCAGGGTCCCCTGCACAGGCGTCCTGGAGCGGGAGGGGTGGCTGGCGGTGCCAGGAGAGGAGGGCAGCTGTGGGCCCGCGGAAGCACCGCCGTGGCGGGCTTGGGGTTTCGGAGCACAAGATAACAGCTGTGTGAGAAACACACACAGCTGGGTGAGGACAGACCGTCGGGACTTACGCGAAAGCCTGCTTTGAGGGTTCACGGCGCCGGCGACACAAAGGTGGAGTTTACTGCAGCCTGTCTCCAGCCTCACAGCAGCCCAGGGGAGAGGGGGCGCAGGAGCGCTGGGACCCCCGCAGATCTCGGGGCTTCTCTCAGGGTCACAGAGGGCTCCTCTCCTTCCCCTTGGCCTCCTTCCTTGCGGGGTGACTGCCCCTCGTGGCCTCCCTGACCCGGGTGCCCTGTGGGTGCTCCCGAGGGGATCGAGGTCGGGGTGGAGGATGTGAGCTCTGCAGGCCGCCCAGCCAGCGCCCACGTGCTCAGGTGTCAGCTAGGGACGCGCGTGTGCGTCAGCGTGATTTGGAGGAACGCACTGTGCCTGGAACACTCTGACTCTGTCCCTCTGCGCCTGCCCGCCTCCCCAAAGGCCAGGTCGGCTGCACGTAGTGTTTCCGCGTATGGTGCATCTCCCTGTGGCCATCCCGCCCCCAGCCTGCAGAGGAAGAGTTCCCAAAGCCTTTCCTAAATCTCCAAAGTCCCTCTGTTTCCCTGGTGGCACTTCACACTAGCTCTTTGTGTGAGGTGGGACTCGCCAGAGATGGACAGTCACTGCCAGGAGAGGCCCCTGCGTGTCCTGGGAACCTGGGATTCAGTGCGTGCTCAGAGACGTTTTAGGAGTGCAAGATTTACCATAGGCTTGGCGATGTCTTTTGTTTATTTTTAAGTTAACTGAAACAACCCAGGAACTGGATTTCTTCAAATTTACCAATTTATACTTTAATTTGGGAAAAGGAAAAGCACTCAAAAATAAATTTAATTAGTCAATCTATAATTATGATACGAATAAGTTCCACTTAAATATAATATTCCAAGCATAATAATTTGTTGAGTAAATCAAATCGTTGATACATCTTAGTGTTCCCAAAGTTAGGAAATCATCTAAGCTTCATAAAAAGAAAGCATTTCACGTATTTAAATTTTCCCCAGAAGTCCTTCTTTGCTAAAAATAGAAAAAAACAACAACAACAACAACTTTTTTTTCATGACTTCAAAATTTGCAGATATTCTGTGCCTGGAAGGAATCAGTGGGGTTTCTCATGCTTTCCACACCGTAGTTCAGGACTGCAGCCTGGAAACTGCATGATGATGGAATTTCCATCAGAGGGAATATTAGACATTATTTAATCAAATCCTTTCATTTTATGAATACATTTCAGAGGTCAGATGAGTTGAGTGCTCTCCCCCTCCGCCCCCTGCCAGGACCCTTCTGGTCACAGTGGCTCTGGGTGGGCAACCCTGTTCTCTCAGAAACCCCTGGCTCCTTGGGCACAACTCGCTGAAGTCTTGTGTCCCCAGCCTCACATGGCTGCCCTGGATACTCCAGGTGAGCAGGGCCCTATTGGGTTGAACAGTTGTGACCTGCTACGTCTGGGGACTTAGGTCTGGGGACTTACATGTGCATGTATTTCTGTATCATCATTTAAAAATCTGTGCAATGTTACATTGTAAGTGGATAGGCTATCATCAGCTTTTCCCCTTTTGTTGACATTTAGGTTATTGTCTATCTTTTTCCTCTTGAAACAGTCATGTAAGGAACATCTTTGAGCATTGGGTGGTGACTATTTTCCACCCTCCTTGCGAGGTAGGGTCTTTCTCAGGAAAGAAAGAGATTATGTGCTCAAAGGTCAGGTTTGGGGAAAGAATGGGTGTGCTGAACTCCTGAAGAAAAGAGGCCACGACCTCATGGGCCTGAGGGGCAAAGGGGAGATGGGAGCTCTAGTGGCCTGTGATCACCTGTGGCCTGGCCAGAGGAGCCAGGAGATTCAGTGACCTTGTTCCTCCCACCCATCAAGTCCTGCCAGTGTCTCCCATTGGCCAGACTTACCTGGATTCCAGAAGATGGGAGAGCTGCCAGCAGCAGGGCTGGGGAGAAGGCTGGGGAGAAGACCAGGGGCAGGACTAAAGGGCAATGAGGGATAGCCCCAGACAGTCCTCCACTTGTGCCTGTTAGGATTTTAAAAACATCGTTTGTCCAGTCCAAGAGAAAATCACTTGTCCTCAAAACAAGAGCTGTACAATATCCCATCAGCTACTGTGTGATATGGGGTGATGTTGGTTCAGTAACACCTGAAACTTAAAATGTTAGCTATCCCAATGCTCTTCCTATTATGACAATGGAGAATAAGTGGGGGAAGAGAAGCAACAAAATACCATAAAACAGAGCTGCTATAGCCCCGGCTTCCAGAGCTGATTCTGAAGTCTGAATTGTTAGTTAACTCACTTCTTTAATGCCACGTTCCCCTGACCTCTGCCACCACTTCAGATACGTGGTTTTTATCCACTGTTGAGGTGACCCAAACCATCATTCTCATAGGACCTGAGACCTTGGTGTTGTGTCTGTACTCGAGTGCCAAGGTGTGCATGAACTGGGACTACTGGAATGTAAGGAGGCACACCTGTGAATGCCCAGCTCCCGGCCAGTTCTTGCCAGCATGAGGAAGCAGCAACCTAGTTCCCTCTGAGAATTGAAAGCAGTTATCTTGGACAGTAGAGGGACTCTCCTTGTCTGCTTGATGGTCACAAGACATGTGGAGCTTCACATGGCCAGGGAGGATTCTCAGCTTCCAATGAAATGCTGACACCTGTTGTGATACCTTGGTTCTTGTCTTCTTGGTTTAAGAGAATTTAAACAAGAGACACATAGCAAAAGAAGTGCAGCATAGAGTATTGCAAAAGAAAAAGAATACTTTGAAAGTTAGGTGCAGAATAGGCAGTACACCCTGAGAGAGAGAGAAATTCAGGACGGGCCGCTCATAAGGATGAGACAACAAAGACCAGCACTAGGGAGGCTCCCAGTATGGGAGTCTTACATGATTATTTATAAGGAGGTGGGAGAGGTGTTGCTAGTAAGAATGTTCTGGGTGTTCCTCTGGGTGCATGTGCGCAGTAGCTGTACATGCTTGTTCATATATCATATGTCTCATTAGCATCTTAAATCTCCACCCAGGGGTATGTTTTTTGCTATTATAATGAGGGCAGGTAAAGTCAAATTGCACATGCTCTCTAGAGGGGAAAGTCCCTACTGAAGATAGCTTTGCTTGAATAGCTCAATTACAATGCAAATGCTGAGGCTTATTTTGTTGACTGCACGGTCACCATGGTTGCCGCATCCTGAGAACATAGTCACTGCCTTGACTGCCTATCCCACCTCAGGTAATAAAGGTAATGGTACCTTTATTAGTTGTGTTTCCTTGGATATTAGGACCCGCAAATCCACTGAGCTCAAGATAATTAAGACAGGGGGCAAAAATTGCTGAAGTGGGTCACTGGGTATAGTAATAAGGGAGGGAGTGCTCCTATCTCACTCCTTTGTTTCCCACACCAGTGCTTCCCAGTGGGCTGTGACAGAGATAGTGACATTCATTGGTAATTTGTTTAAGCACATACTGCATGCTGTAGGGTGGCACCCCAACTTTGCTGACTTTTGGATTGCAGCAAATAGTACCTCTGAAGCTTTAGCAGGCCACTGTTCTATCAAGTCAGCTGCTTCTGGGTAATGGAGCACATGGTACGACCAGTGAGTTCTGGTGTGATGCACTGCCTTCGCTGTAGAATAACCTCCTTGTCAAAGGAACTGAGTGAGAAACCAAGGACTGGAAAAGGAATTCTGTACATCAGTGAATGATGGGGCTGGTTGAAGCTTTACAAGAAAGAAAAGGAAATCCTTATTTGTAAAATGTTTCTAACATTTCTAACCTAATCATAGGATTTCTAACCTAATCATAAATTTCTAAAATAATCATAAGAGCCCTTGTGATTGGATTGCGCCCACCTCTATTGGTTAGAATAATTTCCCCTTCTCCGGGTCCTCAACTTAATCACATCAGCAAAGTCCCTATTATCATGTGTGTTCATCTCCTATTGCTGCACAAATTAACAGAAATTGAGTGGCTTAACCCGAATTTATTCTTTTACATTTTTGGAGGTCAGAAATCTAAACTCAGTCTATTAGAGAGGGCTGTGCTACTTCTGGAAGCTTCAGAAGAAAATAATATGGTTTTTCTTCTTTAGCCTTTTGATATGGTTAGATTACATTGATTAATTTTCAAATATTGAGCCAACCATGCATACCTGAAATAAATCCCCTGTGGTCATGGTGTATAATTATTTTCACGTATTCATGGATTCAGTTTGCTAACATTTTGTTGGGGATTTTTAACTTTATGAGATATATTGATCTATAGTTTCCTTTATGCTAGCTTTGTCTGATTTTGGCTTCACAAAATGAGTTGGAAAGTGTTCCTTCCTGTTTTATCTTCTGGAAAAGATTATATAGAATTGATGCTAGTTCTTTACATGTTCAGTAGAATTTTTATTTTGTTGTTTAAGATTTGCTAGGATAATTTTATTAAGAGATTAATATGTATTTTTAGCAAGGTAAAAAATACAAATAATAATAACAACCCTTCTGTTCATAAATATCCCTTCAGGTGAAAACACTGGAAGTCACAACAATGTAAAGAATGGGGCCCAAATAAAGCCCAAGTATTTTTTGCACACTTTTATTTATTTTACCTACCATATGATCCATAATTCAACCTTTTATTCAGTTACTGGCTTTATTAGTCTGTTCTCACGCTGCTGATAAAGACATACCTGAGACAGGGAAGAAAGAGATTTAATGGACTTACAGTTCTTTGTGTCTGGGGAGGCCTCACAATCATGGCAAAAGACGAGGAGAAGCAAGTCACATTTTACATGGATAGCAGCAGGCAAAGAGAGAGCTTGTGCAGGAAAACTCCTGTTTTTACAACCATCAGATATTCTGAAATTCATTCACTATCACGAGAACAGTGCAGGAGAGTCCCATCCCCATAATTTAATCACCTCCCACTGTGTTCCTCCCATGACTTGTGGGAATTGTGGGAGTTACAATTCAAGATGAGATTTGGGTGGGGACACAGCCAAACCATATCATTTCACCCTGGCCCCTCCCAAATCTAATGTCTTTACATTGCAAAACCAATCATGCCTTCAACAGTTCCCCAAAGTCTTAACTAATTTCAGCATTAACTCGAAAGTACACAGTCCAATGTCTCATCTGAGACAAGGCAAGTCCCTTCCGCCTATGAGCCTGCAAAATCAAAAGCAAGTTAGTTACTTCCTAGATATAATGGGGGTACAAGCATTTGGTAAATACAGCCATTCCAAATGGGAGAAATGGGCCAAAACCAAGGGGCTACAGGCCCCATGCAAGTCCAAAATCCAGCAGGATTTCTTAAAGCTCCAAAATGACCTCCTTTGACACCATGTCCCACATCCGGGTCATGCTGATGCAAGAGGTGGGTTCCCATGGTCTTGGGCAGCTCGGTCCCTGTGGCTCTGCAGGGTACAGCCTCCGTCCCCGCTGCCTTCACGGGCTGGTTGAGTGTTGAGTGTCTGCGGATTTTCCAGGCGCACGGTGCAAGCTGTCAGTGGATCTACCATTCTGGGATCTGGGAGCTTCTCACAGCTCCACTAGGTGGTGCCCCAGTAGGGACTCCTCAGTGTGGCACCTCTGACCCCACATTTTTCTGCTGCACTGTCCTAGCAGAGGTTCTTCATGAAGGCCCCGCCCCTGCAGCAAACTTCTCCTGGACATCCAGGTGTTCCCATACATTCTTTGAAATCTAGGTGGAGGGTTCCAAACCTCAATTCTTGACTTCCATGCACCTGCAGGCTCAACAGCACGTGAAAGCTGCCAAGGCTTGGGGCTTCCACTGTCTGAAGCAACAGCCCGAGCTCTGCCTTGGCTCCTTTTAGCCATGGCTGGACTGGTTGGAATGCAGGGCACCAAGTCCCTGGGCTGCACAGAGCAGGGAGGTGCTGGGCCCGACCCAGGAAACTATATAACCATGACTGGACTGGCTGGAATGCAGGGCACCAAGTCCCTGGGCTACACAGGGCAGGGAGGCACTGGGCCCGACCCAGGAAACTATATTTTTCTTTTAGGCCTCTGGGCCTGTGATGGGATGGGCTGCCAAGAAGATTTCTTTTTTTTTTTTTTTGAGACGGAGTCTTGCTCTGTCGCCCAGGCTAGGGTGTAGTGGCACCGTCTCGTCTCACTGCAAGCTCCCCCTCCCAGGTTCACTGCATTCTCCTGTCTCAGCCTCCCGAGTAGCTAGGACTACAGGCACCCACCACCACACCCGGCTAATTTTTTGTATTTTTAGTAGAGACAGGGTTTCACTGTGTTAGCCAGGATGATCTGGATCTCCTGACCTCGTAATCCGCCCACCTCGGCCCCCCAGAGTGCTGGGATTATAGGCGTGAGCCACTGCGCCTGGCCTGCCAAGAAGATTTCTGACATGCCCTGGAGACATTTTCCCCATTGTCTTGGGAATTAACATTCGGCTTCTCATTACTTATGCAAATTTCTGCAGCTGGCTTAAATTTCTCCTCAAAAAATGAGATTTTCTATTCTATTGCATTGTCAGGCTGCAAATTTTCCAAACTTTTATGCTCTGTTTTCTTTTTAAAGCTGAATACCTTTAACAGAACCCAAGTCACCTCTTGAATGCTTTGCTGCTTATAAAGTTCATTTTTTTTTTTTTTTTTTGCTGTCAATAAGTTTATGATCTTCATCTGAAAAATCCTCATGGAAAATTGTTTGGTTTAGCTCTCAGAAGCCCACTTCTGAGCTCTGAGGAAGCTTGCATTCTTTTGAGCTACTCAATCTTTCTTTTGAGCAAGGGACATTTTGGGACAGTTCCACTTCTTTTTAACTTTTTTCTTGGGCTTCTTCTCCTAGATGGGATTCTCTCATATAGCAGCATGAGCTTTCTTTTACATCTCCTCCATCATGTCTGGAGTTACACTGTTCTTCCTGTATTGAACGAACTGTTTCTGGTAAGCATCTTCATCTTCCTCCATTAAGTAGCACATGTAATCTGCAACATTCTGGCCCATGATGTGCTTCCGGTGTACTTCTGCATTAAATTCCTTGCTTTCAGAACCATAACCAGGGAATCATTTGGTACTGTGAGGGATAGACAAGCCTCTATCTACAGCTCTCTTCAGGGCACCAAAAACTTCATTGCCACTGGTAGTTCTGGCAAGGCCTGCATCCATATAGCAGGTAAAGGCACTTGGCTGACCATCAATGCTTTCCACATTGTATTCCTTGCCAGTCACCTCCACTTGGCCTTCATAGATCTTTTCCATGCCAAACCTATTGAGAAGCCTGCAGGCCAGTACAATACACCGCAGCGTAATTGGTCAGGCCAACCTTCAAACCATATTTTCGTAGTTCACATGCATATGCTGTGCGTACTATCATATCCCCTTCTGTACGGGCATAAGCAACCTGATAAATAATATCTCTGTGTGTTACACAAACTATCATCCTGTATTTGGGTGTGTTGTATTTATTTTTGTCCTGTATCACCAAGCATTTCCAAGCATAATACTCAGTTTCACCCTCTTGCCGTCTTCTAAATTTCGCTTGATATCTCTTAAAGTAGGCTTTATTCTTAACAACTTTACAAACCCCATCCTGCGGAACAGAGATCCCCATCCATGGATCAACAGAGACCTGCCCTGCTTAGAAATTTCTTCCTCCAGATACCCTAAGTCATCTCTCTCAAGTTCAAAGTTCCACAAATCTCTAGGGAAGGGGCAAAATGCCACCAGTCTCTTTGCTAAAACATAAGAAGAGTCACCTTTGCTCCAGTTCCCAGCAAGTTCCTCAGGTCCGTCTGGGACCACCTCAGCCTGGACTTTATTGTCCATATCGCTATCAGCATTTTGGTCAAAGCCATTCAACAAGTCTGTAGGAAGTCCCACACTTCCCCACATTCTTCTGTATTCTGAGCCCTCCAAACTGTTCCAACCTCTGCCTGTCACCCGGTTCCAAAGTTGCTTCCACATTTTCGGCTATCTTTTCAGCAATGCCCCATTCTGCTGGTACCAATTTACTGTATTAGTCTGTTCTCACACTGCTAATAAAGACACACCAGAGACTAGGTTCTGGGCCCAGTGATATGTCACAATCACCCTTTGTGGCAGGTTTCAGTCAAAAAAGGAGAGTCACAACAGCTGGGTGATGGATACACAGACAGGTCCTTATGCTTCCTATAGGCAGGACCCAGGAAGGAGAGTTACATTGCCTACAGAAGACCCAGGAATTTATTCCTTTCTCTAAGTCTAGCTACAAATGCCAGCATCTCTTCTGTTGGCTGGTTTGTGGTATGAGTGTCATCATCACAACTCTGAGCTGGGCTAAAGTATATGTCACAATCCAACCTTAAATATGCAAGGTCCAGGCAAAAGGTGAGAGTTACATCATCTAGGTGCTGAGTGCAGTGATGCATCACAATCCTTTTGTGGTAGGGTGCAGGCTGAAGAAGAGTCACATGACTTTTGGGTTGGGACCAGGCAGAAAAGTCAAGTCATTCAGGTTCCAGACAGAGGTGTACGTCACAATCACACATCATTTGGATGAAAGGCCCAGCCATATGTCACAATGCCACCTGTGGGCAGCACCAAGGCTGGAAAAGAGAGTCACATCTTCAAGGTGCAGAGTCAATATGTCACAATCTCATCTGTGGGCTGGGCTGAAGCAGGAGAGTCAAATCACTAAGATGCTTAGCAGATATATACAATCACACCTGGCTGTATGGCTACTGTCTCCTCACTCTTTTCTTTCCTTCGAAAAGGTCACCAGGTTTAGCTTAGAGACATCAAGACCCAGAGATCAGGTTTCTGTCCTTCTTTTAAAGCACATCTCTATACGAATTCTGCTAAGCAGGTTCCAGTATTTCCACTCGTCCAGAGAGAATTCTATGGCCACATTCCTGAATGTAAACAGTTTCATTTCCCAGCTTTCAGGATGTCCTGGCATCTTAGCTATGCGTCTCCCAGTACCTGCAGATCACAGGGCAACAGAGGCTGTGACAAAGTCACTGGGGGCTCCAGAGGTGGTGGACATGGAACAGTAGAGATAAATCCCAAGCTCTGGTGGGAGTGGGAGACAAAGGCCTGGTAGAATTTTCTAGTGAAACAGTATTGGGGAACCTGCCCCCAATATTTCAACGTAGGTTCTTTCTATTATCCATAAGTGTCAGCCAGCTGAGAAATAGAGACAGTACAAAGAGAGGAATTTTACAGGTGGGCTGCTGGGGGTGACATCACATATTGGTAGGACTGTGATGCCTGCCTGAGTCTCAGACCAGCAAGCTTTTATTAAGGGTTTCAAAAGGGGAGGGGGTGTAAGAACAGAGAGTAAGTACAAAGATCACATGCATCAAAGAGCAAAAAGCAGAACCACTAATAAGGGTCTAACAAAGATCACATGCTTCTGAGGGAACAGAACAAAGGGCAAAAGCAGAACCACTGATAAGGGTCCAACAAAGATCATAAAGCAAAGGGCAAAAGCAGAACCACTGATAAGGGTCTATGTTCAGCGGTGCACGTATTGTCTTGATAAACATCTTAAACAACAGAAAACAGGGTTCGAGAGCAGAGAACTGGTCTGACTACAAATTTACCAGGGTGGAGTTTTTCCCCACCCTAGTAAGTCCGAGGGTTCTGCAAGAGACCAGGGCATATCTCAGTCCTTATCTCAACTGCATAATACAGACATTCCCAGAGTGGCCGTTTATAGACCTCCCCCCAGGAATGCATTCCTTTCCCAGGGTATTAATATTAATATTCCTTGCTAGGAAAAGAATTTAGTGATATATTTCCTACTTGCACGTCCATTTATTGGCTCTCTGCAAGAAGAAAAATATGGCTCTTTTTGCCTGACCCCACAGGCAGTCAGACCTTAAGGTTGTCTTCCCTTGTTCCATAAAAATCGCTGTTATTCTGTACTTTTTCAGGGTGCCCTGATTTCATATTGTTCAAACACACGTGTTTTACAATCAATTTGTACAGTTAACACAATTATCACAGTGGTCCTGAGGTGACGTACATCCTCAGCTTATGAAGATAACAGGATTAAGAGATTAAAGTAAAGACAGGCATAAGAAATTATAAAAGTATTATTCAGGAACTGATAAATGTCCATATTAATATGAAATCTTCACAATTTATGTTCCTCTGCCACGGCTCCAGCCGGTCCCTCCATTTGGGGTCCCTGACTTCCTGCAATAAAACCAGGAGTCTGGAATCTTTTTTTAAAAGGAAACTTTCAAATTAATAATTCAACGTCTTTCATGGCTAAAGGGCTATTCAGATTATAGATTTTATCTGTGTTTTCATACTTTGTGTTTTTTGAGGAATTGGTTTGTTTCTTTTTAGTTGCCAAATTTGTGAGCGTAAAGTTGTTGATAATATTCCTTTATTATCATTTTAATGTCTGAAATATATGTAGTAAAATTTCCTATTTCATTCCTGATATTGGTGATTTGTGTCTCTCTCCTTTAATTTTTGGTCAGTCTTTTTAGAAGTTTGTCAATTTAACTGATTTTACCCAAAGAAACAGCCTTTTCTCCTTTGATTTTCATTAGTATTGTCCTATATTAACTCAATAGATTTCTTCTGTGATCTTTATTGTTTCTTTCCTTAAGCTTTCTTTTGATGCATTTTACTCTTTTTTGGCAAGTGTTTTTGAGGTAGGAACTTAGATTGTTGATATGAGATTTCCTTTCTTTTCCAATGTTAACATTTAGTGTTATAAAGTTTTGTCACAGTTATATTTCGGTTGCACCCTATATGTTTCTATGTGTTGCATTTTCATTAAAATTCAGTTCTATATATTTTAAAATTTACTTTGAGACCTCTTCATTGACCCATAGACTATTTAGAAGTATGTTGGTTAATTTCCATGCATTTAGAGATTTTTCTATTGTCTTTCTGTTAGTTTCTAACTTTATTCCATTATAGTTGAAGAACATACTCTGTATGAGTTTATTTTTTTACATTTGCGGAATTTTTTTTGTGACCCAGAATATGATACATCTTGGTAAATCTTTCATGGGAACTTGAAAAAAACTGTATTCTCCTGTTTTGGAGTGAAGTGTTTTATATATGTGTATTAAATCCCTTTGGTTCAGTGTTGTTCAGTTCTTCCATATTTTGAATTATTTTCTGTGTAGCATTTCTATTAGTTTCTGAGGGTGAGTTATTTATGTTCCCAATTATAAACATGAATTTGTTTTTTCTTTCAGCTCTAGCAGTTTTTCACTTCATGTATTTTGCTGCTCTGTTGTTTGGTGCATACATATTTAGGATTGTTGTATCTTCCTGGTGGATTGACCTATTTATCATTATTTAATAATTTTCTGTCCCTCTAGTAATTTTCTTTATTTTGAAGTCTACTTAGCTGGTATTAATATAGTCTCTTGCTTAGATTTTTTTTGTGTGTAACATATCTTTTTCCAGCATATAGTTGGGTTATTTTTTCAATCCTTTCTTCCGGTCTCTGTGTTTTGGTTGATATGTTTAGAAAATTTACATTTAAGGTAATTATTGATATGTTAATGCTTAAATATGCCATTTCAATTAAAGTTGCTCTTTCATATCCATAGCTTTTGCATCCATGGGTTCAACCAACTACAGGTAAAAAAAATTCCCATAAACTTCCAAAAAGCAAAACTTGAATTTTCTGTGCACTGACTACTATGTTGAATCCATGCAAGTGATGAGATGCATAGGCATTGTATTAGGTACTATAAGTAATCTAGGGATCATTTAAAGTATACAGAAGAATGTGCTTAGTTTATATGCAAATACTATGCCCCTTTAAATAAGGGACCTGAACATCTATGGAGTTTGGTATCCACAGAGGTCCTGGAACCAATTCCCCATGGATACTGAAGGATTACTGTATTTATTTTCTCTTTATTTCCTCTGTTTCCAGTACATACCCATGTTTCTTTTGTCTTGATTTTCTGTGTGTTACTTGAACATTTTTTACAGTTCTATTTTGATTCATTTATAGTATTTTTTAGTGTTTCTCTTTGTATAGTTTTGGAGTGGTTGCTCAGAGGACTACAGTATACATACATGACTTATTAGAATTACCACTTTGAGTGAAGTGTGACAATACCACTTCCATTAAGATTCCTTTATCTTTTCTTGAGTATCAGATGGCAACATAACTTTTGTTTAAATCATCAAATCGATCTATACAACTCATAGGGAAAGGAATAATCTATTGTGTGTACACATTTCTGCTTTTTCAGTTCCTTTTGCTTCCTGATGCTCCAAAATTTGTCTTTTTTTTTTTTTGAGATGGAGTCTCACTCTGTCTCCAGGCTGGAGTGCAGTGGTGCAATCTTGGCTCACTGCCACCTCTGCCTCCCAGGTTCAAGTGATTTTCCTGCCTCAGCTTCCAAATAGCTGGGACTACAGGTGCACACCACCATGCTCAGCTAATTTTTGTATTTTTAGTAGAGACAGGGTTTCACCATGTTGGCCAGGATGGTCTTGATCTCTTGACCTCGTGATCCACCTGCCTCGGCCTCCCAAAGTGCTGGGATTACAGGTGTGGGCCACCACACCCAGCCTGTCTTATTTTTTGTAATTTTCTTTATCTTTGAAGAACTTCTTTTAGCCAATCTTTAAGGGTAGGTCTGCTAGTAAAAAATTCTTTTTCTTTATCTGAGAGTGTATTTATTTCCTCTTTATTCCTCAAGGATAGTTTCACTGGATATAGAATGTATGGTTGACAGTGCTTTTCTTCAGTACTTGAAAAATGTTGTACCATTTCCTTCCCTCTCTCCTGGTGTCAGAGAAGAAATTTGCTGCCATTTGAATTTGTGTTTTCCTGTAGGTAACGCATAGTACTTTCTGGCTGCATTCAAGGTTTTTCTTTGTCTTTAGTCTTTGAAAGTTGATGATTTATTTTGATATGGATTTCTTTGGGTTCATCGTGTTATCCTGTTCCTAGGGTTTGTTCATCTTCTTGAATTTGTAGGTTTGTGTCTTTTGCCAAATTGGGAAAATTTCAGCCTTTATTCCTTACTGTACTTTTCTAACCTTGCTCTAATTCTTTTATCCTTCTAGTACTCCAGTGACATGAATATTAGATTTTAAAAATAGTTCTACAGTTCCCTGAGGCTCCATTCCACCTCTGCCCTTTTAAAAAAATATATTTTCTCCTTGCTGTTTAGATTGGGTGAATTCTATTGATTTGCCCTCAAATTCACTGATTCTTTTCTTTATTATCTCTACTATTGAGTGCATATCAAGAAGCTTTAAGAAATTCTGTTATTGGGCTTGCTCTTCCACTGCGTGAGGATGTAGCACTCATCAGACCCCAAATGCTGGTACCTGGATCTTGGACTTCCAGCCTTCAGAACTGTGCTATCTTCTCTCTTCTACCTTGGAGGAAACTGAAGCTCCAGAGATCTGGGTATCTTTCCAAGGCTTTGACTCTGGGAGGTGATGAGTCAGGGTTGGCTCTAAAGCCCAAGCTCTTTTCTTCACACCTTGAT
This sequence comes from Homo sapiens, assembly GCF_000001405.40. Classification (NCBI taxonomy): domain Eukaryota; kingdom Metazoa; phylum Chordata; class Mammalia; order Primates; family Hominidae; genus Homo; species Homo sapiens. Next base: position 27,889,815 of record NC_000015.10, on the reverse strand, counting down.
GCTGTCCAGCCTGTCCATGGACCAGTTAGAGCCAGTGACCAAACAGGTACATCAAAATGGCATCCCTCCTGGATGGCACATCCTCCCCAGACAGCCTGCCCATTCCCTGGCTCTGACAGGCTAGCAAATCCCTGATAACCTCGGAATGCCTCAAATTATGTCAATGAAGGGCAGTGAGGCTTTGATGTTGAACAAATGCCCCATGACGGATGGGCACTGGCTGATACACTTTCCCACGGTGACTCAGAAGTGTGAAGGAGAAAGGAGGGCTGAGGTGCCAGCTCCAGGCAGGCCAGGTACCCCAGATGTCAGCACCTGCCCGGCTGCCTCTGACATACCCTTAGACATACCTTTTGGCATGTGGAGCCCCAGGGGCCTTTCTTCATGTCCAGACAGGATGACTCATCTTAAGGGGTGTGGCAGGAACTGAGCATGTGTACCACCACCTGAGCTGCAGTTCTTGTTTCTGTAAGAGAAAATGCTCCCACATTATCCTACTACATGTGCTAGACCTCAAAGGTGAGAGAGAGCATGAGTTGAGGGATCTGAAATGAAAGCAGTTGTAGTGAAAAGCCCATGAAATATAGCGCTCAAGGGTAGCTAAGTCTTGCAGGCTGTAATTTATGCTGTTTCCTGCTTTGAGAATGTATCCCAACCTTTTGGTTACTAGAAAGCCTCAATTTGAATAGTAAAATACCTGAATTCTGGGTCCTCTAACTTCTCTTCATGTGTGGCTCAGTCTAACCTGTAGTTTAATACTCAGACATGACGCCTTCTAGGAAGCCTTCCTTGATGTCTCCAATTCTACATTAATTCCTCCACTATGAGCTTCCACAGTAACCTAATCTTACCCTGAGATGTCTATATCAAACTGCTTCCTCACATGAGGGAAGGCACCAGGTCTCGTTTACATTTTTGCTCTGTATCACTACAATACAAGAGAGAATGTGATAAAGGTTGTAACAGACCCGGAAAAACCACTCTGGGAGCTCTAAGAAGGGTAGTTCATGTAAATACACACACATATACATATAGTTCATGTAAATATATATATGTATACACACACACACGGCCTTCTTCAAGGAAGAGATTGCTCTTAGGATGTTTTCAGATTGAAGATGCTGTAAAATTTGTATTGATGATATAAAATTAAAAAAAAGAAATTCTGTTATTGTATATTTTAGATCTATCATTTCCATTTGGTTCTTTTTTCTATATCTTTTGTTTCTTCCCATAGTTTTTCATTTTTCACTTGTTCCAAGAGAAGTTGTTAACTGATTGTTGAGACATTTTTAGGAAGGCTGCTTTAAAATCCTTTTAAGATAATCCAGCATCCGATATATCTCAGTGTTGGCATCAGGTGTTTGTCCTTTCCCATTCAAGTTGTGATTTTCTCAGTTTCTGATATGACAGGTGACTTTTGATTGTATCCTGGATATTTTGTCTATTATTTTAGGAGACTCTGAGTCATAAATAACTGTTTTATTTCAGCAGGCAGTCAACCTGTTTAAGTTTAGCACACAGGTTATAGACTATTTACATAGCCTGTTGTTCAAATGAAGATTTAATTTTCAGAGATCTTGCAGTGCTACTTTGATCTGTTTGGTTTCTCCAGTGCTGCTGGGTGCTGCCTTGGGGGCTGGAAGGGATATCCCCAGGCTGGGCTGCCCAGATGTCTCTTCCTGTGGAGAGGAGTTTCAGGTCTGCAGAAGTGAAGAGGCTTCCATGGCTAAGTGTTTGTTAAGATGGCATCCCCCTTCCTGTGGGGGCCTCAGAACATTTCATGAGCCATGTGCTATTGATGAGCACATGGCTCTTGACCTGGGTGTCTCTTGGCCTGAGATCCCAGGTGTGAGGTGTAGTGGGGTCCCTCCTCAGGTTCTGTCCACTCACCACATATCTCTTTGTAGGGGATGGGGTGCCCCCCATGGTTACCTTTGCTGGCAGAGCTTTTATTAATCTTACTTGACAGGGGGACATGTTCCCCTGGTATTGTTTCATCCAAGGGAGGAACAAGCCCACCTAGCTGTCTTCTCTTGCTATGTTGGGAGTTGGTCTGGAAATGCTGATTTTGAGGGACAAAATGCACCCTGCAGCTGTGCTGTTCCCATTTTCCCGGGCTCCTGTATTAGTCCATTTTCATGCTGCTGATAAAGACATACCCTAGACTGGGCAATTTACAAAAAAAAAAAAAAAAAGAGGTTTAGTGGACTTACAGGTCTCCCAGTAGAATACCATAGCACATGGCTCTTGACCTGGGTGTCTCTTGGCCTGAGATCCCAGGTGTGAGGTGTAGTGGGGTCCCTCCTCAGGTTCTGTCCAGTCACTGGTATCTCTTTGTAGGGGATGGGGTGCCCCCCATGGTTACCTTTGCTGGCAGGGCTTTTATTAATCTTACTTGCCAGGGGGGCATGTTCCCCTGATATATTTTCATCCAAGGGAGGAACAAGCCCACCTAGCTGTCTTCTCTTGCTATATTGGGAGTTGGTCTGGAAATGCTGATTTTGAGGGATGAAATACTCCCTGCAGCTGTGCTGTTCCCATTTTCCTGGGCTCCTGTATTAGTCCATTTTCATGCTGCTAATAAAGACATACCCCAGACTGGGCAATTTACAAAGGAAAGAGGTTTAATGGACTTACAGGTCAACATGGCTGGGGAGGCCTCACGATCATGGCAGAAGGCAAGGAAGAGCAAGTCACATCTTACATGGATGGCGGCAGGCAGAGAGAGAGATCTTGTGCAGGGAAACTCCCGTTTTAAAACCATCAGGTCTCGTGAGACTTATTCACTGTCATGAGAACAGCTGGGAAAGAGCAGCCCCCCATGATTCAATTATCTCCCACCAGGTCCCTCCCACAACACATGAGAATTATGGGAGCTACCAGATGAGATTTGGGTGGGGACACAGAGGCAAACCATATCAGATCCCAAACAGTTTCCTCTCCTCTTACCACCTTTCCGAATTCTCCTTTAGTTGCCTCTTGCTTTATTCCCAGGGTTTATAGGTGTGCTTGGCAGGAGTAAGCAGGGAGTTTGGGGTCTATATCATTTTGTCTGGACTGGAAGTTCCTTGGAATTGCCCATTTGTTTATTTTTAATCTCTGTCATTTTGTTTTTAATTTGTTTCTAGTAGAGAACATATAATTGGACCTAACTTTAAAATATTTGCTGTTATGCCTTATATTCGCTATATTGTATTTCCTTGATACTTCCTCTTCCCATGTGCTGATGTTGTATATTGTTAAAGTTTCTTTGCATCTTGTTTTTCAGTGTTTTGAAGTTATAAATAATAGTTGCATTCTCTTAATTTTTGGCTTAAAAATATACTAAATCATATTTAAACCTGCCATTATAAATAGTAGGAATAAAACAAGAGTTGCCATGCATTTTAGGGTTCTGCTAGAGATTAAGGAACTTTATTGGCTTCTCAGCGGCCGTTTGGTTTGAGAACCTTGAATGAGACACTGCTTCCTCTTTTTCCTTGTGATGTTGAAAAGTTAGACCTGAAGGGCTGCTTGGATCTTTTGGTGCTTTTGATAGCAGCATGTTGTCCTTCTTTCACTTGGAATAAAATCCAGAGCCTCAACCATGACTTACAAAGCCACAAATGACCTGGCTGCAGCTGCCATTTACATATAATTTCCTGCCTCAGGGGGCTGGACCCCAGACACGGTGGCCTTCTTGCTAGGTGAATGTGCATTTGTACTTGTCACCTCTACGTGGGATGCTCTTCCCAAGCATGCTGGTGGTGGTTCACCTCTCTAGAGTCTCCTCAAATATCCATCCTCAGGGCAGCCTTCCCTGGCCCTGCGGAAGGAGTTCTTCCATCATTGCTGACTACTTTCCTGTGTTCCTTTTCTTCCAACAGATTATTACCTATGACACATTGTAATAATGCTCTAATATATATCTGTGGCAAATATATGAATATATAAACTTTTTCTCTGTCTCCCTTCACCAGAATATAAGCTCCAGGAGATCAGCAAATGTGTGTCTATCTTGGTCACTGTGGCATCCTGGGTGGTCCTGACAGTGCTGCCACATAGTAAGCACATCAAACAAATAAAGGAGTGAATGGAGACTAAGCAATATGGGATGCTGGCTCATGAGGACTGCACGTTTTTGAAATACGTGTACTTATATTTAGAAATCAAACCATATATCAAGTGGTGTAATAGTCATTCATCATAATTTTCACAGGTTCTGTGAGGAGAGTGGTTCTCACATGGATTCACCTAAGAAGGCTTCTTGTGAGGATATTTAATCAGATTTCTTAAGCTGAGAAGAAAGAGAAAAAGATAACTTTGTTATTTCTCAGCAGTGTTAGGAAGCTTTGGGGATTTCTTGGTTCCTAAGTGATGAATTCTCCATGCAGGCCTGTTCATGCCTGTGTGTTCATTTCCTCCTTTGGGTGTGAAGGGGGTTTGGAAAGCCTTCCCATGGGTCTGGATTTATTTGTGTCTCTGCCAGTGGGACATCTTTAGCCATGCCAAGACTCTGTCATTGAAAGTAAGAATAGTGCTGATAATAGGCAGGATAAAGGCTCTAATTTATAGGTTGCATATAATAATTTCATGTTAATAGTTGATAACTCTTGCCAAATCCTAAATCAGGCTTCCCTGCTGCCTTCCAAGTTCTTCCTGGCTAACTGTCATTTCTGGTGTATGTTATTTTTCAATATTAGTTACCTTTCCTCATAAACTATAGGGCTTATAACATAAGTCATGTAGCTTTTATATTCTTAACTGTCTTGAGAAATGTTAAGATCTGAGAAATGACATAATGTAAAAGAGTGAAAGAAAGTTCATTCACTGTAAAGCTTCATCATAGGAATGCTGGTGAAGGGCACGGTTGTCCTCATGTGCTCTACCCCACAGAGGCAGAGTGGCCACCGATCTGTGCAGTCTCTAAGTTCACCGACACAATAACTCATTCTTCTTGCCTTTGGGGAAATAAACAGCAGAAAGAGAAAATACTCCCTTAGCAGTAAAACTAAACAAATGAGAACACAGAAATGAAACTAAACAAAAAAATACGTATCACTATCAAAATCCCCCCAAAATAAATTTTATTTTCTTCCCTTTATTTAGTGCTTTTCAATAATGATTCAAGTCACTTCTAATATCTCTTTTTCATGGAATACAAAAATAGGATTAGTTTTTAAATTACAGATGATTTTAAATGGATCTCTGATTCCAATGTGAATGAACAACATAACAAGAAGTTTATTTTTAGAACGAGAGTGGTCACCTAGCTTTTCTGCCAGGCATATAAACATGAGGGTCATTTAACTTACTTTATCTTGTATCTGAGTCTTTAAGGAAGTGCTGCCTTGCAAACAGAATCATTAGTAAGTTTACTGGGAAGATGCATGCATAATTTTGGAGGAAAATTGACATACAGGCATTTTCATTTTTATTTTTACTTATTTATTTATTTTGAAACAGGGTCTCACCCTGTCACTGAGGCTGGAGTGCAGTGGTGCGATTTCGGTTCACTGCAACCTCTACTCCCCGGGCCCAAGTAGTCATCCCACCTCAGCCTCTGGAGCTGGGACTACAGGCTTGCGCCACCATGTCTGGTTAATTTTATTTTTTGTAGAGACAGGTTTCGCCACATTGACCAGGCTGGTCTTGAACTCCTGAGCTCAAGTGATCTGCCCACCTTGGCTTCCCAAAGTGCTGGGATTACAAGTGTGAGTCACCACGCCTGGCACATTTTTATTTTTAAATGTTTGCAGTAACGATGATTTATAATGAGTTTTTACTAATTTTGATAGTCTTTCTAACCTTGCTCTGACATTCTCCAAAGATAATAAGTCAAGTTCATTTAAAATAATTCAATTATAATATATTTGAAATGCTTGTGAAAATTGCTAAATATGTCAGCTGTTAAACATGTAAGAACTTTCAATATATTTTAGAGGTTCAAAAAAATCAGATTTTTCTTTTTGCTCAGGTCAGATTTTGATGAAGATGATTTTAAAATGAGACAGGACATCATGAGCAGAAGCATCAGCACAGAAACGCAGGCTGCAGGGCATCCAATAAAAGGAAGCCCAGAGATCCCAGGGACTGTCTACCTGACTTCTGAGATATATCAGCCTGCTTGTACCTCTGCCATGGTACACCTGATGGTCATGGAGACTGTTCAGGTTCTCAAATGCCGGCTGAAGGCAGGCAGCCCTGCGCCCTTTCCTCCTTATCCAGAGTTGTGTGATGCTCGTTGATCTCCCTCGCCCTGATGAGGGATCCGCAGGGGGCGTGAGGTCCCAGGACTCTAGGTGGTCAGTTGGGGAGGATTGGACACAGGAACAGTAGCCGACTTAATTTATTTTAAAATTTTAGATATTGGCAAGAAAAGAGTGTTTTAACCGGGTGTCATAATGAGAGAGAATGTTGAATTCCAATCTGCTAAGGGCGTGTAAACCTACTAAAGCTCACGCCTCCCTCTGATTACAATGAAAACTGGACAAAAATCAACTACATATGGACTCTGAAAAATATAAACAGGTAGATTGTGGAGAATGTTAAAACCTGGAGAAGGGACCCTCTCGGGGTGGTTTTCCTGTTTTCTTCTCTCCTGGATTTCTCCCTAGAGCCAGTCTTCATCATGTAGTGGCATGGTGGCATAGGTAGCTAGTAATCCTGTAGCAACCCCATCTTTTGGCCCAGAGGAGTCAGAGAGAGCAGCACCTGCAGGCCAGGGAGTGTGGGGGAAAACCAGAAGAGAGAGCCAAAGAAGCCCCCCAGTTCTGTTCATGAACTTGCACTAGCCTCAGCCTAATTTCAGAACAACACCATCTGGGGACAGACTCAAACCAGCCCAGCAAAGGCCCAGAGGACTGACTGATGACTGGCTGAGGTTAGAACCATCCATACAGGTATCTGACTAACTCTTGAATGGTGTATGTGCTAGACAGGCATGAAGCAAGATGGCAAGGCTTAGAGAACCGAACTGAGATTTGAACCATCTGCACAAGCATGTGGCTGGCTACTGGATGATACACGTGTGATACAGGCCAATATGATCACAGGAAATTTGAATTTGAACCACTTCCCTTAGAAAGTGTGACAGAAATTGTGGTCAGAAGCCAATTAGTTTATAAGTAAAAAAAAATAATAATCTCCAGAAGATTAAAACAGAATCCAGAGTTTACATATTTTAACATTGACAGTATCCAGGAGACAGTACCAAAGGACTCGATGTACAAAGAATAAGAAAAAAATGTAATAAATTTCCAAGGGAAAATGACAGTCAACAGATAGCAAACCTAAGAGGACCCAGATATTGAAATGACCAAAGAATTTAAAGTAGCTTTTATAACTATGATCAATGAGGTAAAGAAAATGCACTTGAAATGAATGAAAGGTTGGGAGTTCTCAGGGGAGAATAGGAATTTACCAGAAAATCTAATACAAAGGTTAGAAATGAAACTACAACACCTTAAATAAAAAAGAGTTGCTTGATGGGTTCAGTAGTGGAGTGACTATGACAGAGCAAAGAGTTAGTGAACTGAAATAGATCAGTGTAAATTATCCAATCTAAAGAACTTAGAGAAAATTTTTTTACATTGCCAGAGCTCATGCAGCTGTGGAACACGACCAAAAATTGGAGTTTCACTGAAGAATAAGAAACTCACTCAAAACCACACAACTACATGGAAATTGAACAACCTTCTCCTGAATGACTCCTGGGTAAATAATGAAATCAAGGCAGAAATCAAGAAGTTCTTTGAAACCAAAGAGAACAAAGAAAACCTCTGGGATGCAGCTAAAGCAGTGGTAAGAGGGGAATTTACAGCACCAAATGCCCACATCAGAAAGCTAGAAAGATGTCATATCGACACCCTAAGATCACAACTAAAATAACTAGAGAACCAAGAGCAAACAAACCCTAAAGCTAGCAGAAGACAATAAATAACCAAGATCAGAGTGAAGCCGAAGGAGCTAGAGACATGAAAAGCCCTTCAAATAATCAATGAATCTAGGAGTTGGTATTTTGAAAGAATCAATAGGACAGGTAGACTGCTAACTAGACTAGTAAAGAAGAAAAGAGAGAAGAATCAAATAGACACAATAAAAAAATGATAAAGAGGATATCACCACTGACCCCACAGAAATACAAACAACCATCAGAGAATACTATAAACATCTCTATGCAAATAAACTAGAAAATCTAGAAGAAATGGATAAATTCCTGGACACATACACCCTCCCAGGACTGAACCTGGAAGAAGTTGAATCCCTGAATAGACCAATAGCAAGTTCTGAAATTGAGGCAGTAATGAATATTTAACAGCCTACCCATAATAAAAAGCCCAGGATAAGAGGATTTATAGCTGAATTCTACCAGAGGTACAAAGAGGAGCTGGTACCATTTCTTCTGAAACAATTCCAAACAATTGAAAAGGAGGGACTTCTCCCTAACTAATTTTATGAGGCCAGCATCATCCTGATACCAAAACCTGGCAGAGTTACAACAACAAAAAAAGAAAACTTCAGGCCAATATCCCTGATGAAAACTGATGCAAAAATCCTCAATAAAATACAGGCAAATTGAATCCAGCAGCACATCAAAAAGCTTATCCACCACGATCAAGTCGGCTTCGTCCTTCAGGTGAAAGGCTGGTTCAACCTACTCAAATCAATAAATGTAATCCATCACATAAATAGAACTAAAGATAAAAACCACATGATTATCTCAATAGACACAAAAAAGGCCTTTGATAAAATTCAACGTCCTTTCATGTTAAAAACTCTCAATAAACTAGGTATTGATGGAACTGTACCTCAAAATAATAAGAATCATTTATGACAAACCCACAGCCAGTATCATACTAGACAAGGGGCAAAAGCTGGAAGCATTCCCATTGAAAACTGACATAAGACAAGGATGCACTCTCTCACCACTCCTATTCAACATAGTATTGGAAGTTCTGGCCAGGGCAATCAGGCAAGAGAAAGAAAGGTGTATTCAAATAGGAAGAGAGGAAGTCAAACTGTCTCTGTTTGCAGATGACATGATCCTATGTCTAGAAAACCCCATCCTCTCAGTCCAAAAGCTCCTTTAGCTGATAAACAACTTCAGCAAAGTCTCAGGATACAAAAACAATGTGCAAGAATCACAGGCATTCCTATACACCAACAATACACAAGCAGAGAGTGAAATCATAAGTGAACTCCCATTCACAATTGCTACAAAGAGAATAAAAAACCTAGGAATACAGCTAACAAGGGAAGTGAAGGACTTCTTTAAGGAGAACTACAAATTCACTGCTCAAGGAAAACAAAGAGGACACAAAGAAATGGAAAAACATACCATGTTCATGGATAGGAAGAAGAATCAATATTGTGAAAATGGCCATACTGTCCAAAGTAATTTATAGATTCAATGCTATTCCCATTAAACTACCATTGACATTCTTCACAGAATTGGAAAAAAAACTACTTTAAAATTAAAATGGAATCAAAAACGAGTGCATATAGCCAAGATAATCCTAAGCAAAAAGAACAAAGCTGGCAGCATCATGCCGCCCAATTTCAAACTATACCACCAGGCTACAGTAACCAAAACAGCATGGTACTGGCACAAAAACAGACACATAGACCAATGGAACAGAATAGAGATCTCAGAAATAAGACCGCACATCTACAACCATCTGATCTTCAGCAAACCTGACAAAAACAAGCAATGGGGATAGGATTCCCTATTTAATAAATGGTGCTGGGAAAACTGGCCAGCCACATGCAGAAAATTGAAACTGAACCCTTTCCTTACACCTTATACAAAAATTAACTCAAGATGGATTAAAGACTTAAATATAAAACCCAAAATTTTACAAATCCTAGAAGAAAATCTAGGCAATACCATTCAGGACATAGGCACAAACATAGATTTCATGACAAAAATGTAAAAAGCAATTGCAACAAAAGCAAAAATTGACGAATGGGATCTAATTAAACTAAAGAACTTCTGCACAGCAAAAGAAACTAACATCAGAATGAGCAGACAACCTACAGAATGGGAGAAAATTTTTGCACTCTATCTATCTGACAAAGGTCTAATATCCAGAATCTACAAGGAACTTAAACAAATTTACAATAAAAAAACCAACAACCACATTAAAAATTGGGCAAAGGACATGAACAGACACTTCTCAAAAGAAGACATTTATGCAACCAACAAACTTAAGAAAAAAATCTCAACATCACTAATCGTTAAAGAAATGCAAAGCAAAACCACAATGAGATCACACATCAGTCAGAATGGCAATTATTTAAAAGTCAAGAAACAACAGATGCTGGTGAGGCTATGGAGAAATAGGAATGCTTTTACACTGTTGGTGTAAATCTAAATTAGTTCAACGATTGTGGAAGACAGTGTGGTGATTCCTCAGAGACCTAGGGCCCAAAATACCATTTGACCCAGCAATTCCATTGCTGGGTATATACCCAAAGGAATATAAATCATTCTGCTATAAAGATACATGCACTTATATGTTCACTGCAGCACTATTCACAATAGCAAAGACATGGAATCATCCCAAATGCCCTACAATGATAGCCTGGATAAAGAAAATGTGGTACATATACAACATGCAATACTCTGCAGCCATAAAAAGGAACAAGGTCATGTCCTTTTAAGGGACATGATGGAGCTGGAAGCTGTTATCCTCGGCAAGTTAGCACAGGAACAGAAAACCAAGCTCTGCATGTTCTCATTTATAAGTGGGAGCCGAACGAAGAGAACAATGGATAGAGGGAGGGGAACAACCCACACTGGATCCTGTCAAGGGGGAAAAGGGGGAGGGAGAACATCAGATAAATAGCTAATGCATGTGGGGCTTAATACCTACGTGATGAGTTGATAGGTGCAGCAAACTACCATGGCACACATTTACCTATGTAATAAACCTATACTTCCTGCACATGTGTCCCGGGACTTAAAATAAAATTTAAAAAAGAATAAATATTTTGAAATATTAAAAACAATTATAGTTTCAGAGGAGCAAGAGATTAAGAGAAAAAGATATTTGAAGAGGTAATGACAGAATTGTCAATCTTTGCAAAGACACATTTACAATTTCACAAAATTCAGTGAAAACACAGGATGAAATAAAGGAAAACATGCCTAGACACATCATAATCATAGTGCTGAAAACTAAAAATAAGGAAAATGTCTCAAAAACAGTGAGAGAAGAGTGATACATTACATGCAAGGGACTATGATTTGAATGACTGCAAATTTCTGATCAGAAATCCTGGAGGCAAGTAGATAGTGGAGCACCTTCTTTAAGTGCTGAAAGAAAAGAACTTTTAAGCCAGAATTCTCTATCCAGCAAAATAATCCTTCAGGAATAAAAGCAAAAAAGAGAGACATTCTCAGATGGAGGAAATGACTGGAATTCATTTCCAGCAGACCTGCTCTATAAGACATGTTAATGGAATTTCTGCAGGATGAAGCAAAATGATACTACAGAGAAATTAGATCTTTAGGGATGAAGAACAGCAGAAATGGTAAATAGTAGGTAAGTGTAAAAGATAACGTTTTTCCCTCTTACGTTCTTCAAAATAGGTTTGATGGTTGAAAGTATAAATTATAATATTGTCTGGTGGGAGTTTTAATGTATATAGATGTAATATGTATGACAACTATACCATAAGAGGAAAGGGGAGAGGTAAAGTGACCTATATCATTTCAAGGCTTGTATATTTCACTTGATGCAATAAAACTTTGTAGAGAAGTTATGTATGTATATTTTAATTCACGGAGTAAGTACTAAAATATAATTAAAAATTAATTAAAATATTAATATTTAATACTTAATAATAATATTATTAAAAGCCAACTGATGAAAATACAATATTCAAGTAACCCAAAGGAAAGCAAAAAATGGGCACAGAAATGAATAAAAAAAGAGACAAACAGAAAATAAATAATTTTGTTGACCTGAATGCAGCTATATCAATAATTGTGTTAACTGCAAACATTCCCATTAACAGGAAAATATTGAGAAAGCAGATAAGGAAGTAAGGCTCTAATATATGCTGCTCTTAAGAGACATACTTTTACCCTTGATCTTAGCTGAAAGGCTGAGCAATGATATGGGACATGCTTTTAAATTAAGCATAGAGATATGTTGAAAGTAAATGAATGGAAAAATACATAGCATGCAGGTAATAAGCATAAAAGGCCAAAGTGGCATAGAATAAACTTCAGTGCACATAATGTAATTGGAAATAATGAGGGACATTTAATAATAATAAATGGGACAGATTATAAGGAAGATATAACAATTATAAATGTCCCTGGTAAATACTCAAGATGCAATTGATTCACTAAAGTAAAACAAAATAGACAATTCCACAATCATAGAAGAAGATTTTATCACTCTTCAGAAATTGATAGAACACCTAGACAAAAAAAAATCAGGAAAGCCATAGAAGCTATGAATAACATTATCAACCACGTTGATTCAATTGACATTTGTAGAACACTATATCCAACAACCACAGAATTCAATCTTGTCATGCGTGCACGGTCAATTCACCAAGATTATAATATTACATCATAAGGATTATATACTCTGACCACAACAAATTTAAGTTAGAAATCAATAGCAGTCTAGGAAAACCTCAATGTCTGGAAAGTCAATGATACACTTCTAGTTAAATCATGAGTCAAAAATGAAATCACAAGGGAATAAGATAATATTACAAAGCAAAATGTTGATGAAAATATATAAAAAATTTTTGAGTGCACCTAAAGTTAGCTTAGAGGGAAACTTGTAGATGAAATACAACAGAAAATAAGAAAGATCTAAAATTATCTAATCTAATGTTCTACTCTAAGAAGCTGGAATGGAAAGTAAAACTAAAATACATAGGAAGAAGAAACTAATAACCATAAGATCAGAATCAACAAAGTAGGAAACAGACAAAGCAGAAAAAAACCTACTAAGCCAAAAAGCTGGTTCTTTGAAAAGAAACAATTGAACACACATCACCAATATCATCAAGAAAAGAGAGGTGACCAAACACAAACCCTACAGGAATTAAAAAAAATAAGAGAATCTATTAACAAATTTATACCAACACAGTCAACAACCTACATGAAATGGAATAGTTCCTTAAAAAATACAACTTACCAAAATAGACTCGTTTTAATAGAAAATCAAAATAGAGTTATATCAATAAAGCAGCTGAATTAGTAATTAAAATTATTTACAGAAGGAAAAGTCCAAACACAAATGGCTTCCCTGTTTAATTTTCTCAAACATTGAGTAAGAAATAATACCAATCCTATAAATCTCTTTCAGAAAATAATGGAGGTGGAGGACAGTTCCCCACTTATTTTGTAGGTCTAGTATTACCCTGATATTAAGACAAACGTATTATGTGAAAAGAAAATTACAGATCACCATCTCCCACTCACATAGATCCAAACAAGATATCAAATCAAATGCTATGGTATATAAAATAGTACAGCATAACCAAAAAAAGTTTATTCCAGAAATCCAAGGTTGATTTAACATTCAATAATTAGTATAATTTTCCATATTAACAGATTGCAGGAGAAAAACCATATGATCATTTCAATAAATGCAGAAAAAGCATTAGAGAGCAAACCATGAATTCTCAAACTGATGAAAGGCATTTTTGAAAAACCTAGAGCCAACCTTATACTTCATGGCGAAAAACTTAATTATTTTTCCATGAGACTGGCAGCAAGGCAGTCACCTTTTCCGTTCAACAGTCAATGTACTGAAGGGCCTAGTTCTTGTAATATGACAATATAAAGAAATAAAGCACAGAAAAATGAAAATGAGAGAAGTAAAACTGTTCTTGTTTGTAGGCTATATGATTGTTTATGTAGAAAATCTCAAGTGGTCTACAAAAAATCCAGTACTACCAGCACTAATATATAAATTTAGCAAGGTCAGAAGATACAAGATCAGTATCCAAAAATCAATATATTCTCATATTCTAGCGCATAATTGGAAAATATTTAAGGAACAATTGCATTTATAATGATACCAAAACCCTAAGAAACCTAGGAATAAACCTTAAAAAAAAAGTATGCTCAAGATTCCTATACCAAAAATTACCGAGATATTTTGAAAAGAAATTTTTGTAAAAGATCTAAAGATCTAATGAAGAGATATAGTCTGTCCATAGATAAGAAGACTCAGTGTTGTTTAGTGTGCAGTTCTTCCCACATTGACTTACAGATTTAAGTGCAATTGTAATAAAAATTGAACTAGGTTTTTCTGCAGAGAATGACAAGCTAATTACACAATTTATGTAGACATTCAAAGGACTAAATTCAAATAACTAAAGCATTTTTTTCCCCAAAAGGACAACTTTTGGAGCACTTACCTGATTTCCTGACCTACTACAAAGTTATAGTAATCAAGACTGTGGTCCTGGCAAAAGATAGATATAGATTAAGGGAACAGAAGAGAGAGTCCAGAAATAGACTCTGTCGATGTGTTATGTGTTATTTAAATATACAACTGATTTTAAACCACAGTGGCAAAGCAATTTATTTAGGAAAGAAAACATTTTTTCAACAAATGGTGGTGAATCAACTGGATATCTGTATAAAACCAAAAGAATGCTAGAGTTGATTTGTAGTTTTACTCCATTATCTGTTTATTGTAGTATCTTTATAGTGATGATCTCTTTTTCGTTGTTGTTTTTGGTGACTCTCTTTCCCACTTTCTACTTAAAATTATCATTTTCTCTTCACTTCTTTGGGTTCAATTTGTCATTTTCTTAACTTACAAAGATGGATACTTAGCTTTTGATTTTCATGCTTCATATTTCCCATTGTGTATATTTAAGACTATAAATTTCCCTGTAGCTGCATCCCTCAAGTTTTCATGTGCATTTTGATTGCATTTACATTTTATTTATTCAAAATTATTTTAAATTTCTATTATGATTTATTACCTTAGTTTTCTTGACTAGTCAATTTTTGACTATTTGATTTGATTGAGAATTATTTAAAATTCTATTTCCCCTTTCCTGGCAGTTATATACTCACTCTTTTAGTATTTTTAGTGGTTTAATGTCATCTGGAGATGATAGCCTTCATTCTTAACTCATTAAGGGCCCATGTTAATTGGTACTTTTAAACTCTTCAACCCCTAATTTCTTTAAGCAAAATTCCTCTTTTACATTCAGTATCTATGAATTCTCATCCATGCGGTTTTGGGGTCTGGCTAAATCTGTTTTGGTTGTTTCTGCTCTCATTCATGCTGCTTGTCTTCTTGTGTCCCTGGAGATGCAAGACTATAATCTCATCACTTCATCGTATTCTGTGGGATTCCTGAGGGCCTGCAGGCGGGATGCTTTCCTCCAGAAACTGCTGTGTCTGCTTCTTCTGGATGCCAGGGAATAATTTTAGTGCATTTCAAGGATCTTGGCTCAATGTGAGAAACAGTGGAGCCTACAACCCTCACAGGTGTTCACACCTCCTCTGACTTCAGTGCTTGATCAGCCTCGAGGTTCCAGGCAGTTCCATCCTGTGCCACTCAAGTCTTGCCGCTCCTAGACAGCTGCAGGAAATGTTTTCGTGGGGAGAGAGATTCCTTGGAAAACCATACCTTGTCTTGCTAATCTAGAATGTGTTAAAAAGTATGTTTTATCTAGGGTCCATTTGTTTGGCTGAAGAAGGGACTCTTAGACCTCCTAGTTTATCATTTTGAAATAAGTGGTAGCAATGATTTATTGTATTGGCTTATTTCAGTGGGACAAGGATGTCAGGTCATTGCTGAATCAGCATTTCTGTGACAGACTAATGATGTTTCACATCCTGATTTATACCACACAATCATCTTTTCACTGTATAAGCTGATGAAGGAGACAAGTAATATGTATAATCTTCAACTGTACATAAACTTCACATACTGTAAAATACACATTATATACCTACAGTGTTAGGCTTGATAGATAGGGATGTGCTAGATAATTACTTTATTTTGTAAAAGAGTGTATTTGTATTTTCTTCATATTTTGATTTTTTTTAAATTAAGAGATCATTTATTTTGAGCTGAGTTATTAGGTGCAATATTCAAGTTTTTTGAAGATTTTACTTTATTTTGTCTTACATTACATAACGCAGAGCATGATATTTAGGATAATTATATGACACTAAATATGTAAATATAAATGTCTATAGGTACACATCAAGAGGTGCACACCATACTCTGTGTGCATGTGGGGGGCATATACACACACAACCATCTCTATTTGGTATTTGGCAGAACATTTTAATCTGGTTTAGGCCTCTGATTTTTCTTTCAACTGATGATATCAAACAAAATAAAAGGTATAGCTACATTCAATATTTTTTCAATTTTAAAGTGTTATTTAATAAAATTTGGATTATGATAAATTATTCGTTCTTTAACAGTGGGTGATTTTATCCCCCCTGGGAACATTGGTTCTTAACAGGGGGTGATTTTACTCCCCCAGAGGACAGTGGCTGTGTCTGGAGACATCTTTGGCTGTCACACTGGTGTTGGTGAGGTGCCACTGGCATCTAGTGGCACCAGGCCAGGGCTGCTACGCAACATTTTATAATGCACGGGCCAGCCCCACAGCCAAGAACGATCTGGCTCTAAGTTAGCAGGGCGAGGGTGAGAAACCCTGCTCTAAAGAGATTCTCCTTATGACTTAGTTGATATAAAAGCAAACTTGATGGAGAATCGTGATTGAAGACCCAACATTTGGGCTCCATAGCTTTTAAATGAAAGTCGGCTAACAACTGTACATGCAGATTGAGATTCTGAAGCTTAATTTAAACTTGGACAAGCTGGCCGGCACGTTGGCTCACGCCTGTAATCCCAGCACTTTGGGAGGCCAAGGCAGGCAGATCACCTGAGGTCACGAGTTCGAGACCAGCCTGGCCAACATGGCGAAGCCCCATCTCTACTAAAAATACAAAAATTAGCCAGGCATGGTTGTGGGCACCTGTAATCCCAGCTACTTGGGAGGCTGAGGCAGGAGAATCACTTGAACCCGGGAGGTGGAGGTTGCAGTGAACCGAGATCGTGCCACTGCACTCCAGCCTGAGCAATAGAGCAAGACTCTGTCTCAAAAAAAAAAAAAAAATTAAAAAATTAAAAGAAAAAAGCGCAGACAAGCTGCTGTTTCCAATATTTGCAGTCTTTCAGCGCGATGGAATCACAGTGAAAAGGCCACACCCACAGAGGTGCTGGGCAGCTGAGCCACCGGCACCTGTTGCTTTCCGGTGACCTCTCACAGTGGCTCGGTCGTGAGCCTCTGGGCATCCCTGTGTGGGACCTTGGCCACCTGGGCAGAAGGCTCCTGCGTCTCATCTTCTCTCTTCTACTCTTTCCTGCCTTTCCCTGAGTACAGTTTTCTGAATCTGCCTAGTACTGTGAAAATAGTTACATGTGCCAGTTAAATAGACTTTTCCTTTCTTTCTTTGAAGATTACAAAAACTGCATTAAAAATGTCTTTTAAAACTCTGTGATGTTTAACTTTAAAAAGAAATTGGAAATGCGACTTTCTTGAAAGATCTATATGGAGTGGTATTTCATTATGTACGATTGAACAGTATCTTTATACACAGGTCTTAAAGAGAGTCTTCCATTCGGATTTAAATTTAACATGGACCTTAACTCAAATCAATGAGGGATTTCTGCCACTGCTGTTGGACTTTTTCTCCATGAATCTTCGTTGTGCATATATGATAGTAAATTATTTATAGACTGTGTATTTGAGTCTGATCTTTTATAAGAAGCAGGAATCTGGGCCTACCTTATGTTCACGTCTTTTCATTTTCAAGACTTTTTTTTTAAATCTTGCATATATTTTCGGTTCTAAACTGATTCTCACCACACATCCTTTCTTCTAGGCATTGGCACATCTCCACTTAATAGAATATGTTGGAGAACAAACTGCTTTGCTAATAAAGGTAAAATAAATGCTATAATAGAAGGCACTCCAGCCACTGTTCTTTGATTTTGTGAAAAAAATTAAAAAAAAAAAGCACTCTGGTAAGAACAGGTCCCATTAATTATGTAAAAAGGCACAGCAGGGAACCTGTTCTATCCTGTGCAGCCCAGAGATGAAGGGAGACTTTTTCCGAAGAATATGTAATTACAGATGCCTGCTCTTTTGCTTTTAGCCTTTATTTAAAGCCTGTCTGAGAAGGAGTGGGATTGACACCAGCCTCAGTAAATGAGTGCTGCAGGCGCCCCAGCCCCAGGGGTCTGCCGGGCCATCAGGTCAATGTGACCAGTGTGCGCAGCCACCACATGGGGATGAGGGGCAGGGTCACTCTGCCTCCCCATCCAGGGGGCTGGCAGGTCTGGGCATGGCTGGGCTTTGCTGGTAGAAACCCAGCAGAGGCTCCTGGTGTGGGTGTGGCCCTGGCTTGCACACCTATGTCTGCCTTGGTCTCGTGATGGGTAAGAGGAAGGACTAACACCCTCGGGCCCCTCTGAGTCTCGCGGCTGGTGGGTCTGACCCTAAGTGCATGCGATGGAACACTGCAGCTGCTATTGTCCTCCTTCCAGATGGTCCCAGAGGAGCAGCGCCTCATAGCCGCCATTGTCCTGGTGGTGTGGGTCTCAGCCCTGGCGTCGTCCCTGATTGACAACATCCCGTTCACTGCTACCATGGTGAGTTGCACATGTCCATGTCGACGGCTCAACTTTAGCCTGGACATAGCCTGGGGCTCACCCTCCCTTCCTAAGGCAGCAGAGGATGAAGCCTGCCCCTCTGCTGCACTCACAGGTGTAGAGGACGAAAGTGAGCAGAGCCCAGGGCAGCTGGGTGGGGAGTGCCGAGAGCCCAGACTGCAGGCTGGGAGCCGAGGCTCTGCAGCTGCCGTGGACAGCACGTCCTGGGGTGACTGGTGATCTCGAGGTCAGCCCCACTGAGAGCTGCCACCCCTCCCAGAAAAGGCTGTGCTTGCTTGCTTGCTTTCTCTCTTTCTTTCTCTTTCTTTCTTTCTCTCTCTCTTTCTTTCTTTCTTTCTTTCTTTTTCTTTCTTTCTTTCTTTCCTTTCTGTCTTTCCTTCCCTCCCTCCCTCCCTCCCTTCCTTCCTTCTTTCCTTCCTTCCTTCCTTCCTTCTTTCCTTCCTTCCTTCTTTCCTTCCTTCCTTCCTTTCGAAAATTGTGAGACATCAAAAGATAGAGACTTGCATCTTCATTTGCGGCGGAGGCAAAAGCTATTCTAACCAGCCTGTGTGTCTCCTAGTGCTTGGCCTGGGCAAGATCTTTCATTCTCTGTGTGGTCTTGAGCCCCAGCCAGGATTGGAAGTACACATCGAAGACCTTTAGTTGGGCAGATGAGCCTGTTCCTGGCGTGACTTCTGCCGTCACTGATTGCTTGGCTCAGGGCAGGAACTGGGAATCCAGGTGTGGCAAAGTAAAGATAGGCCCAGGGGCTTGCACACAAGTCTCTGGGGTCCTCTCACAAATACTTGAGGTCCCAGGTGTGCAGGGCACAGGCCAGAAGCCTGGTGAGCACTCCCCATGGCAGGACACAGGACAGGGGAGAGCCCTCTGTTCTTCTGACTCTGAGGGTCTCCCCCTTCCCCGCAGGGAACATCCCATGCAAGGGGGTCCCAAGACATCCCACCGCCCTGTATAGTATTCTGAACAATGGCACCCCCGGGCTGGAGCAGCAGGCCTGGCTGTGTGGGGAGAAGGGCAGGCCAGGCTCATGCAGCGCCGACCTTAGGCGGATCTGGGAACCTGCATCCCTCGCTTGCAGCCTGGAATTTAGTTTCTGCCTAGGTTGGCCCTCTAGTTGCTTGGCTGTTGCTCTCCTTCCAGGGCCTGGGTGTGGTAATCCTGAACTAACTCGGTGGCTGTTATTTTTTTGGTGAAGTTCCAAATTGGAGAACTCTTGCGGCTGTTGTCAAATGTCCCGGCTGTGGCCCAGCTGGCTCCACCTCTCCCTGCGCCCCAGGCAGGCTGATGCCTTCTGGCAGGGCTGCCCTTACCCAATCCTCAGCTTCATCCTGTGCATTCATCCTGTTCTCCAGGGAAACACAGTCCACAGGAGACTCCGCGCTGTCCCAGCCAATGAGGCCACAGTTGCGGACCGAGCGCAGGACCCCGACACAGCCTCCATCAGTGCTTCCTTCTGACCCTGCGCTCACAGCTGAACCCCACCTCTGGGGGGCTCTGAGGTTTGCACCCAGATCCTTTCTGGGACTGAATTAGAAGAGCCCTAGCATTGATGATTTAAGTTGCTGCTTTTTCTGAGAATAGGACACTTTCACAGTTTTGTTCCATAAATTTTTATGACTACCTAAAATTTAACTTTAAAAAATGGAATCAGAGACAATAGTACAACAAATATCCATATGTTCACCACAGAAAGTGAGAAAGTGTCAACATTTTATCCTCTTTGCCTCAGAATTTGTTGTGTGTTTTATCAAGAAATACAACATTACAGATAAACAGGCAGGTCTCTGTTCTTCCCCTGGAGTCTCAGGACCATCTCTGCCCTCATGAATGTGGGTCCCATCCATCTCTGCAGTGGCCGCTGTGGGGGTGCTGAGGGTGGGATGCTGGCTCTTGTGTGTCCACAGGGGCAGAAGCCACATACAGCATGACCACAGCAGCCACAGGGTGCAGAGGTGGACACACAGCTCTTCAAAGCCCATGCATCTCCCCGGAGTGACTGTGCCACGCTAGCATGAGGTGTCTGCAGTGGCCACATCACGGGAGGGACATGGGGAGCCACTGGGGTTTGCTGCCTCAGGCTGGAAGCGGCATGCAGCGATGGTCACAATCCTTGGGTGGGAAGGGGACATGTGGCCCTTCCCTGGAGCAGGGATCTGCGAAGTGGGTGGGCGTCGAGGTCTCTCCACTTTCCCTCACTCCCTTCTCCCCTCTTTTCCTTTGAGTGTCTTTTCACCACATTTTTTAAAAAGCTGTATTGAAGTCATTGACAAAAATCTGCACCTATCGAATGTATAAGTTTTCATGAATTTGGACATATATGTGTATACCTGTGATAATATCACCACAATCAAGGTACTGAACGCATGCATCATCTCCATACATGTGCTTATGTGTATATATGTGTGCTTCATGGTAAGAACACTTAACACCCATCTGACCTCTTAGTACACTTTGAAGTGCATGATACCATATTAACGCTAGGCACTGTGTCATACCACGGCCCCTGGAATGTACCCATCTGGGATAACTGAAACTCTACCCATTGAGCAGCCTCTGCCCATCCCCCTCCCTCCACCCCCGACAGCCACCATTCTACTCTCTGCTTCCGTGAGCGTGACGATTTTAGATTCCACACACGATGGAATCAGGCGGTGTTGCTCCTTCTGTAACTCGCTTATCTCACATAGCATAATGCCGTCTGCGTTCATCCATGTTGTCACAAATGGCAGGATTTTCTGCTCTTTTAAGTCCGAATCACCTTTCATTGCATATATATTCATATACCACATTTTCTTTATCCACATGTCCATCAGTGGACACGCAAGTTTTTCCCATGTCTTGGCTATTCTGAGTAATGCTACAGTGAAAATGGGAGTACAGCTATTTCTTCTTCGAGAGCCTGATTTCCGCTGCAGGTGGTTAGAAGATATGGTCTATAGGGTTTAATGCTTAGAAACCCCCAAAACATCATCTGACTTACCATGTGACTGTTTTTCTCCAGCTGCACGCCTAAAAAGCTGCATGTCAGCTTCTGCACACTGCGGCTGCTTCGGTCACTCCGTGTTTGGCTTCTGCCCCTGCTGACACACAGGAGCCAGGATCCTGCCCCAGCTCCTCCCACAGTGGGCTGCTGCATAGGTGGTTACGACTTGAATTCATGAAGGCAGCTCCCTGAGGAGAGGGAAGGATGAAAACAATCCTGGGGCCTGAGGGAGGAAAGGAGCTTCACATTTATTTATAATATTTTGTTCCTTAAAAAATAAGCAAAAAGGAAATCCTGCAGCAAAGGAGATGAAATGTTCAAATTTTCTCAGTGTCTGTGAGCAGTTAACATACATATATATTGCTCATATAATGTGAGCATTAACATACATAAGCATGTCGTTGTGTTGTTATCCTCTAGATTCACTTATCTCTTTTAAATCAATCTGTTTTGATACAGCAGAGAACTTTGTTAATTGGTTTGTTTCTCCTTGCACTTCAGCACGTTTTTGCATTATTTACTTTGTGATCATATTAGGTGTTAAAAGTTCATTATCTAGTAACTTCACAGCGACTGGTTTCTTTTACCTTGTGTGAGGTCTCCATCTCTGCTCTGAGCCTCTGCCAGGTTTATCTTTTTCTAGTCCTTTATTTATTTATTTTAAATTCTTTTTCCAATTGCATTTTTAAGCAGCATGCAAGTAGATTTTTAAAATTCAAAGCAGATTATCTTTTAAGAGAATAGTTTAACATGTTTACATTTATTGTAATGACTTATCGACTTGAACTAAGTACCATCATTTCACTTTTTAATGCTTTTTCCTTGCTAATTCTTTTTTTTCACCATCATTTCCTGACTTCTTTAGATTGATACATCATACCTCCGCATCCATCAACTGGTTTTGAAGGTACTGATTTTATTCCTAGTCCTTTAGTGGAAATCATTCTGTTTGTAATGCACCTAGTGGTATCAACATTTCAAACAACAGTTGCAGTGAACAGAACCTATTTTAGTTAGTTTAAGATGAGAAGGAGTTTATCTAGGGATAGTACATAGTTCTTGGAATTTCTGAGAATTTCTCAACTGCACACTGGGAATGGGGGGCGGCTGCCCACAAGCCCCCAGCTTTTGCAGCTTGCCCTGAGTGCTCAGGATCCCTGCCCCGACGCTGGCTGCTGAGTCCAGGGACTTCTGTCAGCCTGCTCTTGAGTATGCCTTGTCACACCTCTCCTCCAAATTCTCCAGACTGGCCTCTGGAGCAGGTGTGTCTGATTGGAGGAACCCATGCCTGTTCTAGCTGCAATGCAGGTGGCAAAAGTGTGTTTCTGGCTTCTGCCTTGGAGGCCCAGAACTCACAAAACAGATCTCCGAGGAGGCTTCAAAGCCTTTCTCCATCCCTACCTCAGCGCTTTCTCCTCGATGCTTCTGTGCTTCCTGGTGCAGAGCCTCGCTTGCCCTCTGGGTCCCACAGTACTGTGCACCTACATCCACCAAGTCACTGGACAAGCGGATTGTCAAGAGTGTCTGCAGCTGTCTGGGAATTCCAGCCGTTTGTGTTTGTAGCCTCATTCACTAGCGTTATACCTGGCACCAAAAAGATATTTAGCAAGTGTTTGCAGATGAATAGGAAAGTGAACTAACTGCAGTAGATTAATTGTCCTGGAATAACTCTGTGTCTGCCTCCTCCCTGGCCTGCCATCCTCTGCTACTCTGTTACTGAGGGAGCTGGACACCCCATGCTTGCTGCATGTCTCAGAGTCGCAGACCCTAGCTGTGCACCTCCCTCCTGCCAGACCACCTGCCACTCGAGACACACCCTCATCTTCAGTGATGTGGTGCCACCTCTTCAGCACGACGCTGGGGCTCTTGTGCCTTTGACAGTGCTGTTCTTTGCCACTGGTGGCAGCTGTCCCTCTCAACTCCCTCCTTCCCTGTACTGGGAGCCAGCCACACCAACCTATAGCCCTCTACATTGCCTGGGTGGGAGCTGGTCCTTTCTCTGGATCTGCCTTCCCTCTGGCAGCCTCTGGGTACGATGGCCTGCCCTCTGGGTGGAGGTAGGGTGTCCTGCTCAGGCCCCCAGTCATGTAAGGCAACTCATTCATAGTAAATCCTCATGTCTACAGTTTTCTCCCACTGGTTCTGGCTTCTGACAGATGCAGTGATAGGAATGGCTCTTTGGGAGGTGATCTGGGTTTCCTGCCTACAGAGGGGCCCCTTTGACTGGGAGGACCTTTACACTGCACAGCTGTGGAGCCCTCTGAACCCAGGGAGTGACGAGGAGAGTATGTGGGTGGCAACGCGGGTCTAGTTCAGGCCTGAGATCTTTGCAGTCATGCGTCCCTCTGCACCTGCTGCTGATGTAGAGAGAAGGCAGTGCCGCCTCCTTGCCATTCTGTAACGTTTGTGCCCTGGCCTGGCTTATGTAGATCTACAGAATTCAGGCATCTGAGCTTCTTCTGTAGTTGGCCAGGCTTCTTGGTCCTCAGGGTTGGCGCTAACCAAACACCCTTAGAGTAACTGGTCCTCTCTGCACCCACTCGGGAGGCCTGCTCAGTGTTCAGGTGGGGAATGGACAAGAAGACCAAAGAACATTCATGAAAATGCATCAGGAGAGACAGGTGTGCCTGCCCACAGCTGCAGACACAGCATGAACACAGGGTGCAGTGCCTGGGCTCTCGCCGCCCAGTCAGCAGAGCTGCCTGCCTTCCCTGCCTCCTCGCCAGCCTCTGTCAGATGCAGAAACACACCTCTGGCTGGCGTCATTGGCCAGGTCAACAGGACACTCTTCACTGGGGATTTTAACATGAATAGAACCTTAAAAAGGGTCAGAGAGCGGGCAGGTGCAGTTGCCACCTCCAGTGACATGAATGCAGGCCACTGTGTAGGTGGGGAGAGCTGGCGGGGGCCTGAGCTGTGTGGGGCATTTCAGCAGCCTTCGCGTGGTATTCCAGGGAATTGAGTCTCAAGAGACAAAACAGAACCCATCTCTTCTCCGATGGCGTCATCTCTCCAAGCGTGTCTTCAGCTTGGGGTTGTTTCTGCTACATTTGCGTTGTCAGCTATGGCCTGAGAGCAACAGGTGAACTCTGTTCACATTTGTTCAGGATATTTCTCTTCCTATTTCTTTTCTTGGCATGGAGACGTTTAACCAATATTTCCATACAGGGAAATCCCTTTCACACCCGCCGCCTCTTCTTCCTTCCTCTTGCCCTCTTGGTGGGCAGGCGGCCTCTGTGGGTGGCGTTCTTAGGGCTCCATTGCATGGCCCTAAAGACCGAGTTGGAACCGCTGAGAAACAGCATAATGACTGAGAATTCCCTGACAGTCTTTCTCCATTTAAACCTTAACTTTTCAACCTCATGTGCTTGAACAGGAAGAATCCTCAGGCAACTTTCAAGTTAAAAGATTATTACTCTTGTCCTGAATGTTGAATTCAAAGGCTGGTAATTTATGCACATAAATCTGTGGGTTTCCTTCAACTGACTTGTTGGCACTCATCATTATCTATGCTGTCACCCAGCCTCTGGGTGGAAGGCAGTTTCTCAGGCATCTCCTTTCCCCGGCTTTCTTTGCAGTCTCGCCCCATCCCATAGCCCTGCGGGAGGTATCAGGACAGACATCCTGGGCTATCACACCTGGCACAGGAGAGCACTCTTTCAGAGGATGTGAGAGTCAAAAACATTTCATTTGAGCTTTAGCTTTACAATTTTTTAAAAAACTTAATCTCATTTTTGTTTTAACTCCTCCTGTCCTGAAACATCCAGGAACATAATTATGTGGAGGATCAAACCCAGCCTGGCGGATTGCAATTAGGTTTAATAACATGAGCAGTTGGCACTATTAGCAGCTCAGGTTCTGCAGGAGGTGGATCTGGGCTTGAATCCCAACTCTGCCATTGTGCAAGCTAAGGAGGTGCTAGAGTTAGAGAAACAGAAATGGGAGGAGCACAGAAATGCCATTTTCCCCCATTTGCTTGGTGCTGAGCCTGGTACTGATGGGCTGTGTGGGTTACAAGTCTGCCCCGGACAGGTGCACAATGGATGCCCTCTGGGTGGTTGGGGAGCAGCCTCAGAGGGGCACTGCCGGCCCAGAAGTGAGGGTCTCCCATCTTCCATGGTCCACAGACCAGCCACTACACCGCCAGACCCCAGCTCCATGGCACCCCGTGAAATCCAAGTGGCACATTTAGGGGACCAGTAGTGTGAGAGAAGATTATCCACTGTGTCCCACCGACACAATACAACAAATGATAAATTATGAGGACACTCAGAGATTTAAGCACAGCACAAAAAATAGTTTCTGGAACTAAAACCTATAATGTTTTCAACAAAAAATATTGAATAATGAATTGAAGAAGAGCAAAGTGTTAGGCCTGAGTTGCTGTGCTTGCAGCCAAGTGAGAGACATATGTGCAGGTACAGAACAAAAGCAAAGAGAAACAGAGTCGTGAAAAAGGGTGAGAGATTTGGAGGCGAGACCCAGGGGACCCAGCGTGGCCATGACAGCAGTTCCAGAATGGGGAGAAGGAATGCATTGTATTGAAAAAGCACAGCCCTTTACCCTCAGATGGGGCTTGGGCACCGGCAGCATCACAGCACTGGGAACTTCTAACAGGTCAGGGTCTCAGATGCTCAGACCCTTGAGTCAGAGCCTGCATTTGGACAAGGTGCCGGGTGACCCACTCCACACATTGGCATTGGAGAAGTGCTGGTCTAGGCCCGGCCCATCAGGAGGACTTGTGCCCCTGCCAGCTATAAATAGCTCTCCCCTGCCTCATGGCAATCCATATCTCAGCTCTCAGAATCCCAGTGAGGGTGCAGCCTTCCCTGTGCTTACCTGAGGCACTTGTACACCTTTACCAGGGGATCCGCCCGGAACTGCTGCTGGGTGGCTGCTGTGTCCCACACAGCCAGGAGCCGACTGCAGCATCCCTCACCCATGCCCCAGGCAGCTCTGCCCTCCTCCCACCGCTGCTCTGTGCCTGCCATCTGCCTAGGTCACCTCTGCCCCTGCCCAGTTAGTTGCAGCCTCAGGGGGCCTCTCCTTCCTGACCTGTCAGGTCAGCCCTGCCAGCCTCCCGCTGATGGTTAGTGCCTTCTCGGCCAGCTTCCCAGGCCCCTGAGTCAGACCCATTGCCTGGGCCAGAGGTCAAGCAGTGAGGACCATGTGCCTTCCAGCTGTCACACAGCGGAAAAGGAGCTTCAGATGTATATTTAGATGAATTATGATGTTGTGGTATTTAAATTTGAAAGTATACATTTAAAAGAATGACGGGATGCCTTTGTTTAAGAATGTTGATATAGACTATGTCCTTGGGGACTATTGTATATTGGAATGGCAAATTTGACATACGAACTTAAAATGTCTGAGGAGGCTGGGTACGGAGGCTCATGCCTGGAATCCTAGCACTTTGGGAAGCTGAGGCAAGTGGATCACCTGAGATCAAGAGTTCGGTACCAGCCTGGCCAACATGGTAAAAGCCTGTCTCTACTAAAAATACAAACATTAGCTGGGCATAGTGGCACACACCTGTAATCCCAGCTACTCAGGAGACTGAGGCAGGGGAATGGCTTGAACCCAGGGGGCGGAGGTTGCAGTGAGCCGAGATCGCACCACTTCACTCCAGTCTGGGCGAAAGAGTGAAACTCCATCTCAAAAAAAAAAAAAAATGTCTGAGGAGGTCTACTTTTTTTTCAAAGTTCTTTGGCGCTGGGCAGGCAGCATGTCCCCTTGTATGGGTGCTGTGCACTGTGCATGCCTCTTGTGCCCCATCAGGCCTCCAGCACTGCCCCTCCTTTGAGGCTGATGACCATGCTTTCTGTCCGTGAGGACTCGAGGCTGATGACCACGCTTTCTGTGAGGACTTGAGGCTGACGACCACGCTTTCTGTCCGTGAGGACTCGAGGCTGACGACCATGCTTTCTGTCCGTGAGGACTCGAGGCTGACGACCATGCTTTCTGTCCATGAGGACTCGAGGCTGACGACCGCGCTTTCTGTCCATGAGGACTTGAGGCTGACGATCACGCTTTCTGTCTGTGAGGACTCAAGGCTGACGACCATGCTTTCTCTCCATGAGGACTTGAGGCTGATGACCATGCTTTCTGTCTGTGAGGACGTAAAAGCAACCATGTGGGCACTTTCCACGTGACGCCGTGGCCACCCAGTGCATCCTGGCTGCATTCCGGGTGTGTGGGGGGATGTCTGGCTCCCAACGAAGACCGGTGCCTTCACCCAGGACCACATGCCACTGTCCTCCCTGCATCATTTATTCTTCACTCTGCTGATCATTCGCAGGCGGATCCAGACTTGCTGCCGTGTCTCCAGGCCTTCCCGCCACTCCCCTATTTCCTCAGTTTCCTGTAGCCAGACACTTCGAAAGGGAGTCTGAAACTTTCTTCACTTTTTCTTGGCTTTACTGCAATTGAGTTTTTCTTCCATAATCCATGGACATAGTTCTCTCCAAGATCACTAAGGACTAGTGCCCGCCCTCGAGAGAGACCCCCTTGGAACCTGGCCAGTCAGCAACATGACATGGAGGCCACCCCTCAGAATCTTTCCCCGCCTGGCCCTTCAGGTACTCCTCCTCCCTGCACGGGGCTCCTTCTCCTCGCCTCCTTCCATGACCCTCTCCATCTTCCAAGCCCAGAACCCTGGAATCAGCTCTGACCTCCACTCTCTAGACTCACGGCTGCAGGGGTCTCATCTGAACACTTACTCCAAGTGCCATCCACAGCAACCTCTCCTGGGCTGCTCCCCAGAGCCTAGCCCCGGTTGTCCACCTGCCTCTCCATTTCTCTCCTGGGGCACTGCAGGTGTTACAGACTTAACGTGTCCCGAACTGAAATCCTGATTCCATCTTTCCCCACTCTTCCTTGCCCTCATAAATCGTGACTCCGTTCTCTCAGTTGCTCAAGCCCCTGAGGCTGAGAGCCAGCTAACACCTCACCTTCTCTAACACCCCATGGCCAGCTGCCCCTCAAAGGTTTTGAATCTGATCCATTCTTGCCATCTATACTCCTGTCCCCTGAGGCCCCAGCAAGGACCACATGCCCTCCTGCTGTCACACAGTGGAAAAGGAGCTTCAGACGTATTGTTCCCAAATACATTCCAAATTCTTCCTTTTGTTTCCACTCTTGCCCTGCTCCTGAGAGCCTGTGGTCCACAGAGGCTCCCTGCTTTGGTATAGCCCAAGGTCTTGGCGATGGCTTGCACCTCTCCTAGGCCTGGCTGCTGCTTCCTCCCTGAGCTTACTTCTTACTGCTCTTCTCTCTGCTGACTTCACTGCAGCCATAGTGGCCTCCTTGGATTTCAACCTAGCAATCCCACTGCTGAGTGTATACCCAAAGGAGATGGAATCATTCTACCAAAAAGACATGTGCCCTTGCGTGTCCATCACTATGCTACTCACAGTAGCGAAAACATGGAATCAACCTAGATGCCCATCAGTGGTGGATTGAATAAAGAAAATGTGGTACATAAACACTGTGGAATACCACACAGTCATAAAAACAATGAGATCATGTTCCTTGCAGCAACATGGATGGACCTGGTGGTTATTATCCTAATCGAATTCACACAGAAACAGAAAACCAAATATTACATGTTCTCACTTGTAAGTGGCAGCTAAATATTGGGTACATATGACACAAAGAAGGGAATAATAAACAGTGGCGTTTTCAGAAGGGAGGAGTGAGGGATGAGGACGAGGGTTGAAAAACTACCGAGCAGGTACTATGCTCACTGCTTGGGTGACAGGAACATTTGAAGTCCAAATCCCAGCATCACACAAGATATCCATGTAACAAACCTGCAGGTGTGCTCCCCTGACTCTAAAATAAATTGATTATAAAGGCTTTTGCACTTTTGTATGCTTTCTGTCTGAGATTCTATTCACACAGATCATTAGAGCTTGGTCTTGCTCCTTCACCTTTTATTGAGTTTTGCAAAATTGCTCCTTCCCAGTGCTAAATTGACAACCTCATCCTCCCTGTCTCCCTTTTTGCTTTATTTTTTTCCCCATAACACTTAATACCACCAAGCATACTGTGTATTTTACTTATTCATTATTCTTTTGAGCTGCTTAGTTGTTCAATGTTTGCTTTTAAATAAAATTATACATTCATACAGTTTAAAGTGCTAAATCAGCCTGGAATTCTTGTTTAAAAAATAGCACCTTTATAACTTTCATCACATTTCTTTTTCTCACAGAAAACCTTTTTTATCCTTTGCCACTTTTTATTTTATTTTATTTTATATTTTGTTTCCTGAGTGCTGCTATCTGCCATCTTTTTTCCCAAGCCCTGGGGTCTTTCCATCGATGTCATGTTTGTGGAGGCAATGGCTTCCTTCCGTTCCTTTCTTCCTGTAAGAACGTTGGTATAGACTACATCCCAATTTCATCAGGAACATTGATCTGTAGTTTTCTTTTCTTGTAGTGGCTTTGTCTGACTTAGTATCAGGGTAATGCTGGCCTCATGGAATGAGTTAGGAAGTATTCCCTCTTCTTCATTTTTTGAAACAGTTTTTGGAACGTTGGTATTAATTTTTCTTTAAATGTTTGGTAGAATGCACCAGTGAAGCCATGTGGTCCTAGACTTTTCTTTGTTGGGAATTTTTTGGTTACTGATTCAGTGTCCTTACTAGTTACAGATCTAATCAAATATTCTATTTTTTCATGAGTCAGTTTTGGTAGATTGTGTATTTCTAGAAATTTATTTATTTCACTTAGTTAACACAATTTGTTGGCATGTAATTGTTTATAGTTTTCTTTTATAATCCTTTTTATTTCTGTAAGATTGGTAATAATGTTTCCACTTTAGTTTTTGATTTTAGTCGTTTGTATTTTATCTCTTTTTCTTAGTCAATCTAGATAAAACTTTGACAATATCGTCGATCCTTTCAAGGAATCAGCTTTTGGTTTTATTGACTTTCTCTATTTTTTCTATTCTTCATCTTATTTATCTCTCTTCTAATCTATCTTATTTCCCTCATTCTACTAGCTTTAGGTTTAGTTTGCTTGCCTTTTTATAGTTTCTTAAGGTGTGAAGTTAGGTTATTTATTTGAGGTATTTCTTCTTTTATAATATATGCATTTATAGCTGTAAATGTTCCTATTAGCACTGCTTTCATTGAATTTCACAAGTTTTAGTATGTTGTGTCTTCATTTCTCTTTGTCTTAGGTGTTTTCTGATTTTCCTTGTAATTTCTTCTTTAACTCATTGGTTGTTTAATATTTGTAAATTTTCTCTTTTTCCTTCTGTTACTGATTTCTAGTTTCATTCTACTGTAATTAGAAAAGATACTATGTATTATTTTAATCTTTTAAAATTTATTGAGAATTGTTTTGTGCCCTACATGTGGTCTATCTTGGGGAATATTTTATGTCTCCAAATTTTATAGTAGAAATATCTATTTCTCCTTCAATTATGCCAATTTTTGTTTCATATATTTCCACGTTCTATTTTTAGGTGTGTAAATATTTATAATTGTTGTATCTTCCTTCTGTATTGAATCATTTATAAATATATAATGTTATTCTTTGTCTTTTGTAACCTGTTTTTATTTAAATTCTATTTTGTCTGACAATAATGTACCCACCTCAGTTCTATTTTGGTTACTATTTACATGTAAAATATTTTTTCTTACTTTTAACTTATTTGTGTCCTTGTATCTAAAGAGAGTCACTTGTTAACAAAATGTGTAAGATGTATCCTGTTTCTTATCCAGTCTGCCAATTTCTGTTTTTTTTTTTTTTTTTCTTTCTTTCTTTTTGGAGGCAGAGTTTCACTCTATTCCCCAGGCTGGAGTGCAGTGGTGTGATCTCGGCTCACTGCAACCTCTGCCTCCCAGGTTCAAGTGATTCTTCTGCCTCAGCCGCCTGAGTAGCTGGGATTACAGGTGCCCACCACCACACCTGGCTAATTTTTGTATTTTTAGTAGAGATGAGGTTTCACCATGTTGGCCAGGCTGGTCTTGAACTCCTGACCTCAGGTGAACAGGAGAGTTTAATCCATTTACAATTAGTGTAATTTCTGATAAAGAAGTAATTACTCTGCCATGTATTTCTTTTCTGCATATCTTAGATTTTTTGTTTCTCAGTTTCTCCATTACTGCCTTTTTTTTTTGTATTTAGTTGATTTTTTTGTAGTGTACAGTTTTGATTACCTTGTTTTAATTTTCTGTATATTTTAATAGTTATTTTCTTAGTGGTTACCTTGGAAATTTAAATTAACATCCTAAATATATAACAACCTGTCATGAATAATACCAAATTAGTTTCAATAGCATACAGACTATTTAGTCCTTACTTCCTTTACAGTTCAGTCCTTACTTCCTTCATAGATTACATCTTTATTAGCTGAATGCCTATTAAATATTTTTCCTGTCTCTTTCTCTCCATCTTCTCTTTCTGGAAATCCTATAATGCATATGTTGGTAGATTTGATGGTGTCCCACAGGTCCTTTGGGCTCTGTTTATTTATTTTTTTTCTTTTACTTTCTGCTCCTCAGGCCTACAATTTCTTCTTTTTTTGACATTTTAAATTTTATTTATTTTTTTAAATTGTGGTAAAACACATGTAACATAAAATGCACCATCTTAATCATTTTTAAGTGTACAGTTTAGTAGCATTAAGTAAATTTATATTATTGTACAACTATCACCACGATCCATTTCCAGAGCTCTTTTCCTTGCAAAACTAAAACCCTGTACCCATTAAAAATAATTCCCCATTCCCTAGTCCCCCAAGGCCTTGGCAACCACCATCTTACTTTCTGTCTCTTATGAATTTAAATATTCTAGATAAGCCCTGATAATTTCAAACGTCGTATCTTCAAGTTCACTGATCCTTTCTTCGGCTTCCTCAATTCCACTGTTGAACTCTTGTAGTGAGGTTTCCATTTAAGTTATTATACTTTCAGGTCCAGAATTTCTATTTGATTCCTCTTTATAATTTATATCTCTTTAGTGATATTTAAATTCTGTCTGTACATCATTTTATTGATTTCCTCTAACTCTTTGCCTATGGTTTCCTGTAGTTATTGAACCTCTTTAAGATAGCTGAATTAACATCTTTGACTAATAATTCTAATGCCTAGACTTCTTCAGGGATGATTTCTGTCAATTGTTTTTCTGTGAATGGGCCACACTTTCCTATTTGTTTGTATGTTGTGTAATCTTCTTTGTTAAGAGCTGAACATTTTGAGTATTATGTTGTGGTAATACTAGAGATCTAATTCTCCCATTCCTCAGACATTGCTGAGTCTTGCTTGTTGAGTGCTGGAGCCATCCATTTATGATTTTTCCAAACATTTTTTGAAAAGTGTATGGTCATTGAAGTTTTTCTTCTATTATCTCTATAGTCAACTAGTAGACTGACAAAGATTTCCTTAAATTTCTGGCTCCCAAAAAATGTGTGTGTGTGTGTGTGTGTGTGTGTGTGTGTTAGGGGTGTGTGTTTGTGTGTGTGTACAGAAATAATTACTGCCACTTTAAATTCCCTGGAAGCTGTTCCATCACTTGGAGGTTGAAACAATGGCCAGCCTCTGTGCTGGCCCCTCAGTGATCAAAACAGTGGCCAGCAATCAACATACATAACCTCAGTTTTTGG
Organism: Homo sapiens; assembly: GCF_000001405.40. Taxonomy (NCBI): domain Eukaryota; kingdom Metazoa; phylum Chordata; class Mammalia; order Primates; family Hominidae; genus Homo; species Homo sapiens. The sequence continues at coordinate 27,856,536 of NC_000015.10, read as the reverse complement.
AGGACAAGGTCGTTATTGCCTGCCCTGATATCAGCAAGTCACATCCTAAACATGAGCTGCCACCCCCACAGCTTCCTGCCACAGGGAGAGAGATGGGGAGTGACAACCACTATTAAAAAAGCCAAAATTCACCAAAACCCTTTTTATCAGTCTTTCCTGTGGTTGCTGAAGGTGTTTGACTACACTCTAGACTTCCAAAATAGTTACTGTTTGAATTGAATTGTCTCCCCAAAACATATACTGAGGTCCTAACCCCGGGTACTTTGGAATGTAACCTTACATGAAAATAGGGCCTTTACAGAGATAATCAAGTTTAAATCAGGTCACCAGGGTGGGCCCTAATCCAATATGACTGATGTCCTTACAAAAAGGGGAAATTTTGGCACAGACGCACACAGGCACGGGGAAGGCTCCTGTGTGGCTGGAGTGATGCACCCACAAGCCAAGGATGGCCAGGATTGCCGCAGACACCAGTGGGGCAAGGAAGGACCCTCCCCTAGAGCCATCAGAGAGCACAGCCAGGCCAACACCTGGTTTCACACTCTCGCCTTCAGAGCCGTGCGGCAATGAAGTCCTGTTGTTTTCAGTACCCAGCTCGTGGTGCTTTGTGACAGCAGCTACAGGGAGCTCATACAGTAGCTTCAGACAGTTCCTGCCAGTTCAGTCATCCTTTAGGCAGAGGTAGATTCCTGGAGCTTCCTGCTCTGCCATCTTCTGTGCTGTCATTCATTAGTTTTAAATTTTTCTGTCTGCCACTGTAAAGCAAGCTCTATGAGGGCAGGGATTTTTGTGTCTTATATTTACTGTCTGTCTCTTGTATCTAGAGCAGAACCAGACACAAAATGGAATATTCAGAATAATTATTGACTGAACTAAGAATAAATGAGCATAGACAAGATAACATGGTCCCATCCAGTGGAGGAGGGATAAGTGTTAAATGCAATGATGGAAGTAAGCTCTGGGCATAGTGTGTGATAAAATAGCAGCCACATTGAGGAACTCAGGGAGACTTCTCAGAGGAGAGATGCCCAAGCCTCTTATGGGCTGAGCGGGAGGCTATGTGAGGGCAAGAGTGACCATGTGCCTAGGTGGAGATGTGGGCATGGGCAACTGCACAGAAGTGGCAGGTGGTGCTCAGGTGAAGGCCTGTGAAGACTGTAGTGTGTGAGGCAGAGGACAGCCTGGCGAGGGAGCGCTTGCCTCAGATTGAAGGGTGTGGAGTCAGGTCAGTTGCATGGGCAGACTTCAGAGATGGAAAGGTCATGGCTGGCTGCATGGAGGACAGAATTAAAGGGGCAAATGGTGCATCTATGTTGTGGGAAGGAGAGCTTGATCAAGGCAGGGCCTGGGAGGACAGGCCACAGAGTTGCGGGGAGACCCTTGGGCTCTGGAGTTTAGGGAGCTGGTTCTTATCAGAATTGCAAATCCCAGAGAGGGCTTGCTTTGAAAACAATGTCAGAGCATACTTTTTGAAGCAATCAGCCTGTAACAGAATCTGGCAGTTGTAAGTATGCAGTTTGGAACATGGGGTAGGTTTTCTCTGGCTTTGGGTGATGGACCTCGCAGCACAGGAGCACTTGCTGGAATTTCCACATCACTAAGCTTGAAGACATTGCCTCCTCCCTTGATACTGCAATGCCCCCACAAGGACCCAGGGTCCTGTGCTTAGTTGTTCTGACCCTGTCTCCTTGTTCCGGGTGGCGTGCCGTGTTCTGTAGGGTGGAGGCTGGCTTTGCACCAACAGCATGGTGCTCAGTGCCTAGGGGCCCCGTGGCCTCACAGTGATGTGTGTGTGTTAGCTCTGCTCATTGATAACTGGCTGTTGTGAGAAGTTGCACTTCGCTCACTCCTCCGAAGAACGAAGACATCAAGTCTAAAGGTGCCTCTATGATAATCGCGTTTATCATAAGACAACAAAAGCAAAGCTTGAAAAGTGCCTCAGGGACTGCATGGGAGCACCCTGCTGCCAGGAGTTTCTGATTCTGCATCAGATTGATAGACGCAGAATCAGATGCTTTTCCTAGCGTGCTACTTATTTCTCTTCCAGTGTATATTTGACGCTACTGACAACAAAAAATTGAGCTGTTCAACATGCCCCTTGTGACCCAGCAAATATGAAGGGCTCCTTCTCAGACCCTGCAAGGCAACTCTCGAGAACCAGACCCTGGACTGGTGGAGACATGTGCAGTAGCAGGCACATGGGTCAGCGGCCTGGCTGCAGCTTCCTGGTCTGGACTCCGCTGGGGCTGGGCGGACCCTGCTCCACATGTCCTCCCCATGGGGACTCCCCAGGGCAGCAGCAGTGCCCAGGCTCCATCTTCTGTTGTGGCCAAGAGCCTGAACCTCCAGAGGGGCATGCAGAAACACAAGATCTTCTGTCCAACCCACCCACATTCTATCGGTCAAAGGAAGCCACTAGGCAAGCCCAGAATCTGGGGTGGGGAGGAGGACCCACCTGCCCCAGTGGGATGCAGCAGAGGGCACACACGAAATCCTGCTGCAGCGGTCAGGAGCTGAGAGTGAATGGATCTTCCCAAGTAAGCCCTAAGGCACCTCTTTCATGACATTGGGGGACTGAGCACCCAGCAGAGGGTGGCTCTCTTGCCCCTTAATTCTCGGCATCGAATATTATTGCACATCATTCACATCTCCACACTGGGGTCCGCTTTCTGTTTGTGTTTTTGTGTAATGTTTTCCAGATCAGCCACCATTGGTGCTCTCCTCCTGCTGCTCTTTAGAGTGGTTGACATACGCAACTGCCCGGGATGGCGGGCCCAGGGGTCTCTCCTTCACACCCTGTGGGCTCTCTGAGGTGTCTGGTGGGGACAACATAGCTCTCCATTCTCCGGAGCCTCCCGGAGGCAGGCTCAATGGCTGTGTCCTTCCCAGCTCCTTCTAGCAACATAAGCCACAAGGGGGCATGCTGTTTGAACACAAATTTCTTTTTTTTTTTTTCTTTTATTATTATACTTTAAGTTTTAGGGTACATGTGCACATTGTGCAGGTTAGTTACATATGTATACATGTGCCATGCTGGTGTGCTGCACCCATTAACTCGTCATTTAGCATTAGGTATATCTCCCAATGCTATCCCTCCCCCCTCCCCCCACCCCACAACAGTCCCCAGAGTGTGATATTCCCCTTCCTGTGTCCATGTGATCTCATTGTTCAATTCCCACCTATGAGTGAGAATATGCGGTGTTTGGTTTTTTGTTCTTGCGATAATTTACTGAGAATGATGATTTCCAATTTCATCCATGTCCCTACAAAGGACATGAACTCATCATTTTTTATGGCTGCATAGTATTCCATGGTGTATATGTGCCACATTTTCTTAATCCAGTCTATCATTGTTGGACATTTGGGTTGGTTCCAAGTCTTTGCTATTGTGAATAGTGCCGCAATAAACATACGTGTGCATGTGTCTTTATAGCAGCATGATTTATAGTCCTTTGGGTATATACCCAGTAATGGGATAGCTGGGTCAAATGGTATTTCTAGTTCTAGATCCCTGAGGAATCGCCACACTGACTTCCACAATGGTTGAACTAGTTTACAGTCCCACCAACAGTGTAAAAGTGTTCCTATTTCTCCACATCCTCTCCAGCACCTGTTGTTTCCTGACTTTTTAATGATTGCCATTCTAACTGGTGTGAGATGGTATCTCATTGTGGTTTTGATTTGCATTTCTCTGATGGCCAGTGATGATGAGCATTTTTTCATGTGTTTTTTGGCTGCATAAATGTCTTCTTTTGAGAAGTGTCTGTTCATGTCCTTTGCCCACTTTTTGATGGGGTTGTTTGTTTTTTTCTTGTAAATTTGTTGGAGTTCATTGTAGATTCTGGATATTAGCCCTTTGTCAGATGAGTAGGTTGCAAAAATTTTCTCCCATTTTGTAGGTTGCCTGTTCACTCTGATGGTAGTTTCTTTTGCTGTGCAGAAGCTCTTTAGTTTAATTAATCCCATTTGTCAATTTTGTCTTTTGTTGCCATTGCTTTTGGTGTTTTAGACATGAAGTCCTTGCCCATGCCTATGTCCTGAATGGTATTGCCTAGGTTTTCTTCTAGGGTTTTTATGGTTTTAGATCTAATGTTTAAGTCTGGTACCAAAACAGAGATATAGATCAATGGAACAGAACAGAGCCCTCAGAAATAACGCTGCATATCTACAACTATCTGATCTTTGACAAACCTGAGAAAAACAAGCAATGGGGAAAGGATTCCCTATTTAATAAATGGTGGTGGGAAAACTGGCTAGCCATATGTAGAAAGCTGAAACTGGATCCCTTCCTTACACCTTATACAAAAATCAATTCAAGATGGATTAAAGACTTGAACACAAATTTCTTACAGAAACTTCACAGCCACTGTGTTTCATTGATTACAATAATGCAAAGTGCATCAACGTCAGAAAGGTGCACCAGAGGCTGGCACGGCTGACTAGAGAATGGTGCTTCCTGGCTGTAGAATCTGGTACCTGATGTCATGCTGTGAATGTTAGCAGGCTCAGGGTGCCTGGCAGGGAGCAGCCGTGATAAGTGGCTTAGCACAGGGGACCCAGCATGCAGTTTAGGGTCAGGGGACTGTGTGTGAGTTCCGGCTGGATTGCTTTCAAGATCTGTGCTCCTGTGCCTCTCTGCATCCTGGTCTCCTCATCTGTCAAAGGAAGGAGTAACAGCACACTTGAGGGATGTTGAGGATTCAAGATGACGTGTGCATAGTTAGCACAGCACTCCAGGGTTCTATGAGCTCTGTTTTAATGGCCATGTTCTCAGGCCCTGTGTTAGACTCTGTGTGCCTTTACCCCGTATAAGAGCCACAACAGCTGGCAGGGCTCAGGACCAGGAGGACCAGTTGGTGGCAGCTGGCATCAAAGACATACAGATGAGTTCAAACTCAAGTTTCTGTGGATTCCAAAGTCTGCTTTGGTTTCTTTCCACAAATCTTATGCTCCTTAGAGTTTGAATGCTGAGAAAGCATTTGGATTTTCTAAATTGGTCACAGTATGGCAGCTTCTCTGAGCGTCCATGGGACGTGGCATCAATGTCCTCTTCCTCCACAGATTCCCGTGCTCCTGAACCTGAGCCACGACCCTGAGGTTGGCCTGCCCGCACCGCCGCTCATGTATGCCCTGGCCTTCGGTGCTTGCCTGGGAGGTAAGGGGCTGCTGACTGCATGGGGGTGGGGGTGCACGCCCACACTGTGGTTCAGCCCAAAGCAACAGTTAGTGTGTATCAGATTAAAAGCAAATGAAGGAGAGTCTGGATGATTTCCTGAGTGGACACACATATTCAGCTTTGACAGAGCAATTCCAGAGCAACTCCGTTCCTTCCCATTCTCTGCAGAGCTGCCCCCGACTTCCCGGGCCCATTGCCTGGGGATGACTGGTTCTGATGCTTCACAGCTAATGTGTTCCCGCCGTGTGCCTGTGTGGGTCGTGCTTAGGTTTAGAAACAGATTTTGAATCAGAAGCCATCCTCAGTTGCAGTTCTCTTTCTCTCTTAAGCAGTGGAGGGACAAATGGGTCAGCTAGAAGGGGAGACTCTAACCCATAAGAGTGGGAAGAAAGATTAAAGGATGTTTTTGGGGTGGGCATTGCACTTTGGAGACAGTGAGGAGTGGATTAGAGAGAGTGTTGGGAGAGACTGACCTCTGGTGAGCAGACACAGGGTTGTGGATGCCGTTGCTGTGGAGAGAACAGCGGGGGAGTCCTTCTCACAGCTAAGAAGCCTGATCACCTTTGGGAACACAGGGGGATTGTGAAGAATCTTAGATCAACACATCAGATACGCTTTAAGTTTTTATTCTTATATCCAGGTATTCTTAGATAATCCAGCTTTCTTTGTTCTTTGATTGATTTCTGACTATTAAATCAATACCTCTCTGGTTAGTTTATCTCCTTGGCTGAAAAGGGGGATTAATGTCATTCAGTGAAGTTTCTGTAATGTCAGCAGCCAGCTAATTCATGTAAGTCAGTGACTGATGCCTCAAGTTCTTCCGAGAGTGTAGAACTTGTTGAAATTGAGTGCTGAAATTGCCCCTAAGAACCAGTCCCGGGAAGGCAATGCAGAGCTACATTTAACATCAACAATAAGGAACAGGATCCAAGGACACCTGGAAATGCATCCCCTATGAGGATTCTGTTCATTTGAACTTGCTGAGCATCTGCTATACCCTGACATTGTAACAGACAGTGAATTCACCCCCCTGCTGTCGAGTGGGGAGGATGGTCACCTAAACTAAGGTTACAGCATAGACTGACACGTCCTGTAACGGTGGTGTGCCCTGAGTGCACAGGGCCCTGAGGAGAGACTGGAGACATCGGAGGAGGTTCTGCAGACAGGGAAGTGTGAAGCCAGGTCATACAGAGTGACAGGCCTCGTGAGCTAGTTTGGATTTCCCCAAAACATGTAGGATCAATGTGGAGGAGATTTCTCTAGGAGAGACATCAATGTGTGCCATTTATAGGCTAATTCCTAAAATAGGATTAGACACTTATTAACTGAGCACACTTTGGAAGCAGGGATGCAGCGAATAATGAATGTTTTCAGTCTTGGGAGCGTTTTAATCTAGTAGCTCTGGCGATTGAAAGGCACCTGTTCCTGGCACGGCAGGAGTGCAGTTGTGTTGGGAGTTAACTCTACACTTATTCTCTCAAGGCCCTTTCTCGTTGACTCAAGATTTAGCATTTTACAGAAATTATGGTAAAATATGTGTAACCTAAAATGTACCATCTTAACTGTGTGTAAGTGCACAGTTCAGTGGCATTAGGGACATTCACAGCGTTGCGCAGCCGTCACCACCGTCCATCTGCAGAGCTCTTTTCACCAGCCCAGGCTGAAGCTCTTTCCCCATGAAACACCAACTTCCCATCCTCCAGGGCTGGCATTCTGAGGAACACTTTAAATAGAAGTTTTCATTTGGTTTTAGAAATGTCATTTGCTCTATAAATTGGAGGTGATTCACTGGATACTTTGAAACAACTTTTTTTTTTTTTAACTGGTCTGACCCCAGTATTTTTTGGTTGCTCTTTTCATGAAGAGCTAAGAACTATTCAAATAAGCCTTCAGAAAAACCTGCCTTTGCCTGAGTTTCCTGGAAAGCAGAGGTGGAGGCAAGTGCACGTGCTAAGGTGTTACTGGCAGGTGCAATCCTAAGGCAGAAAACCTGTGGGAAGGAAGTGAAGTGAGCGTGGAGAGTGAAGAAGTCTTCCCTGCTGCAGTTATCTAGAGGCTGTGGTCAATCCAGGCAGCATGTGACTATTTTCTCAACAACTCAGGCAGCACGTGGCTGTGTTCACACCAATCCAGGCAGCATGTGGCTGTGTTCACACCAATCCAGGCAGCATGTGGCTGTGTTCACACCAATCCAGGCAGCATGTGGCTGTGTTCACACCAACCCAGGCAGCACGTGGCTGTGTTTAGATCAATCCAGGCAGCACGTGGCTGTGTTCACACCCACCCAGGCAGCATGTGGCTGTGTTCAGATCAATCCAGACAGCACGTGGCTGTGTTCACACCCACCCAGGCAGCACGTGGCTGTGTTCACACAAACCCAGGCAGCATGTGGCTGTGTTCACACCAATCCAGGCAGCATGTGGCTGTGTTCACACCAATCCAGGCAGCATGTGGCTGTGTTCACACCAATCCAGGCCACACGTGGCTGTGTTCAAACCCTAAGGCTGCTGCTTTCCTTAGGTTATATCCAGGTCTTGAAGGACTGGTGGCTCTTCAACTCGACAAAGGGAATGTCCATGCATAGAGTTAATTTATATGTGTTCTGTCAAGTGGAAAATCTCACTGTTCTGAGAGTGTGGCCTATTGAGTGGAATGTATACTGCAGACACAGGAGTTACCCTGGAGGTTCGATTCTTTGTGTGCAGCATTCATCAAAAACAGAGCCAGGCATGGTTTTGAAAATGCCCTTGTTCTGCCTCTGGATCCATGCATTGTCTTCCCATGCAGGATGACCTGGGTGTGCCAGGACAGGCAGGGCTGTTCATGTGCAGGCCCGACCCCCCTGTGCTTCTCCGTCAATGGAAACTGGGAGGGAGGCTTGAGCTGGGGAAGTGACACCTGGGGCCTTGTTCTCCCTACCACATGGAGCCCATGCCACGTGGAATACCCTTAAAACCCCACTGGTATCTTATTAAATGACTGCAACATCGTTGGCATCTGAATAATAGGCTCACATTCTTAATCTCATGTGAACCCCACAACCACCCCAGGAGATGCTGGGGAAGGTGGTGATGGTCCTCATAAACACAGAGGAAGCAGACTCCCTGCATTTCTGCCCCTGCCCATGATAGGGAGGGATGGGCAGCTGGGTTTCTGGTCCTGGCCAGGGACTGGCATAGGGATGGGCAGACCAAAGCCATGTGGAATCCAGGTGACATGAGGGAATGTCTTCTGTGGGAGAGGGAGGAGCTCTGATAATGATTTTCCTGGCCCTGAGACCAAACCTCAGAAAACATAGGGGTCCCGCTCCCTCCTCTGGCCATGGTCATGTCTGGATGCGTGGTGAGGAGATGCCTGCGGCATCTGCAGCTTGAGTGTGGGCCGGCTCTGTGTGTTGCTGGCAGGTGGCAGAGCGCACAGGTGCAGGGAGCAGGTCCTGACGGCGCCACAGAGCTCTGCTGTCGCTGTGTCTGGACTTGTGCCACCTGGGACTGCCTGTCCCCAGGAGGTAAATGCTTCCTACGGCTAACACCGGCTGGTTTTGCATCTTCCTTTCCCTACTATCACAAATACCTCAGTTAATGTAACAGAAATGGTGGCAGATTTGCTCAGCTTACAGAGCTTAGAAGGTTTGAGACTTCAACTGAGGTCTTCTGAATTTAAATATAGCATTCCTTCTGTTGCACTGGCGGACACACTTTATTTCCAATACATCTGTGCAGAACCTGCCAGGGCTGACCCATAACCTCCAGGCCTCTCTCCGGGGCCTCTCCAGGGCCTCCTTTCCGGAGGCTCCTCTCCGTGGCCTCCTGTCTTTGGCCTCCTCTCCAGGGCCTCCTCTCTGCTTTGGTATCAGCCTTGCTTGTCTCATTTTGCTGACCAATAAGACAGGAGGGGCCTGTGTAGGAGCCTATGCCATAGCCTTTGCCTTCGTCATCAAAATGTGTTGGTGCCAGTTCTCCTCCCTGCCCTCCTGTCTTAGATGTGGCTGGGAAGCCATCCTGTGAGGGGAGGGAGAGGCCGAGAACAGTGGAGACCTGCCTGACAGTAGCAGGCCTAGCACCAGCTCCCCGCCCTCTGTCTCCAGGCTTCTCCTTACAGGGGAGGAGGTGGTCGCACACGTGTCTAAGTGCTGTTCATCAGGTTTCTGTTGCCCGTAAAGCATTCTTTAAAGAAACAGGGCTCTGTGCGACTTAACGAGTTGATGTCCTGCCTCCCAGGCTATGAGTCTGTGAGAAGGCTGAAGGACTTCTGCAAGGGGATGGCTGAGAAGGAGGGCCCTCAGGGAGGGAGGCCAGGCAATTCAGACACATCTGGTTGCAGGAGGGCCTCTGGGGGAGAGCAGCCCCTCTGGTGTCACCCACACGACACTCCTGAGAAGATGGGTGGATGTCTGATGTCTGAAGGCTGAGCAGTCACCCCCATGACATAAGCCAGCCCTGCCCTTGCCTGTCCTCAGCCGCATCTCCCTTTCCAAGGAAAGAGCTGTGCTCCCCACTTGCCCCCCATCCTCACCCAGCCTTCCTCATGCAGGCCCCAGGCGGTATGCAGCCCCTCCTCCAGATCCTTCAACATCCTTTCCTCCTCCCCATTCCTTTCCCTGAGTCCAGAGTGCTCAGGACCAAAATAGCCTCCTGAGCAGTTCACCTTGGCAACCTACAAAAGGAAATGGAAAGATCCTTCTGTTTCCTGGGAAGTGGTCCCTCGCAGATCAGGAATCCACGCCCACAGCAGACAGGGTGAAATGCTCTCCACCTGGGCAGGACCTGCCTGCAAAACTATCATTTTAATTGGAAAATGGGCATTTTTTTCAATCACTAATCCTTAATGGGAGAGAAAATAAGTGGAGTCTTTTATTTTCAGCACTCACGCAAGTTGCTGACTGTAAACTTGGACCATGGGTTGGGCTCCACTCATGATGTCCTGGAGTTAGTAGGGTTTAGGGTGCAGGCTGATGCTGTCCTGGTACCCAGGTGCATTCTTGGGGCTGAGCAGGGCAGGGCCTGCTGAGGAACATCGGCTTCTTTGTGGGAAGAGACTTGTCGGACAGTGAGAAATGATGGCCACATTAGATGGCTTGGCAAGGGTGTGGAGTCTCACTGGGCAGGTCTCCTGGCCAGGGAAGGAGTGGGGTTGGCAGGCAGGATGATGGGATGGAACCGTTGGTGCAACAGTGCCCAGAGGGGGCTGTCTGGGCCAGCACTGCCCCGAAGACTCGCATATCGCAGCTGCTCCAGGCCTTTCAGACACTGCATGGCTGTCTACAGAAAGGCCTGGGGCAGCCTGAGCCCCACCTCTCACTGATCTTCCTTTGGAGCCAGAATGGTTCACGGTCAGGACTTGCCACTTCCCGACCTGACACCTGGGCACACTGCTCACCCTGTCTGTGCTGTGTCTTCATGGGGACGTGGGGCCTCCACCTGCTCTGTTATTCATGTTGTCCAGCCTCTGAAAGGTTGCTCCCTCACACTGACATGCTGTAGGCAGCTCCAGGGCAGTGTTGCACAGTTCACCCATCCTCCATAGAAGGAGAGAGAGATGGAGATGGAAGGCGACTCTTCCTCAACCGTGTGTGCACGGACATCAGGACTCAGCTAAACTGGCTGAGCCCAAATCACGCGCCTGTTCGTGAACACTGACCACGATGGCTGGGAGCGACGGAGGAGGCTCCTGGGCCTTCCCTGGGTGTGAGTGTGTGTGGGGGGTTGGATCTCATGACCCAAGTGGCCACCTTGGCCCTATTGCTCACCAGGCTGCGAGGATGGCACGCATGCATGTGTGCACGGTCATAAAAGCTTACCCAGAGAGGTGTTTTATGTCAAGGAGATGCCATTGGTGAAGACGTGAAGGAAAGGGGTTCCACCTGGTTGTTTTTACCTATCCTTTCATCCACTGAAAGAGTTTCCTAGTGTGTGGGCCTGGAGTCCAGAGGAAGGTGGTTCCTGTCTGAGACTGCATTCCTGAGGGACACACGTTCTGGGCTTTGGTTGTTGGCCCCACTTGTGTTTTTCTCTGAAAGACACACAGCCCCACAGTGACTTGCCCATTCTCCTTAGCTTTCCTCCACTCTGTTAAATACAACAGCCATGGTCTTATCCATAAATGAATCATGGTATTTGTAATCAGTGAGCTTATTTTTTGCTTGCTTGCGTGTGTGTGTGTTTCCAGATATTTACAAAGCGGTCACTTTGACTATAAAATAATAATCAAATCAAAGCCTGTGAGATGATCTAAATATTACAAACCAAAGAGAACAGAAGCTTACCACCAAGATGAACTGGGATTTTGTTTTTAAATTTTGACTTTAGGTAACGGGACACTGATTGGCGCGTCGGCAAACGTCGTGTGTGCAGGGATTGCAGAACAGCATGGATATGGGTTCTCCTTCATGGAATTTTTCAGGTACTTTTAAATTCCCTTTAAATTTTCTGTTAAACTGTCTAGTTCCTAAGCTTACTTAATTAAAAAAATAACACATTAAATGCTAAAATAAGCATATTTTTAGCAAGTAGAGAGACTGTGGTGTAGGGGAGATTAGCTCAGAAAAAAACACATTAAAAATTTATTGCTGGTGGCTCACGCCTGTAATCCTAGCACTTTGGGAGGGCGAGACGGGTGGATTGCCTGAGCTCAGGAGTTTGAGACCAGCCTGGGCAACATGGTGAATCCCCAACATGGTGAAAACACAAAAAAAATTAGCTGGGCATGGCAGCATGTACCTGTAATCCCAGCTACTCAGGAGGCTGAAGCAGGAGAATTGCTTGAACCCGGGAGGTGGAGCTGAGATTGCACCACTGCACTCCAGCCTGGGTGACAAGTGAGACTCTGTCTCAAGAAAAAAAAAATTGCTGGGATTAGCTCCATAACACAGAGGATGGTTCAGATATCCTGGATGACTCAGGTTGAGTCAGGGGGCCAGGAAATGACTGTGGGCTTGCCAGATATTTCGTGTGGCTGTCCTCTTGAATATTCCAGTGGGAGCTTGTGCCCTGACTGTCCACGAAGACGGTGCTGGATTGCACAGTCCCTGCTAGCAAAGACCCCGTAATGTTGCAGACTGAAGCCAGGGTGGCGGAATGGGGGCAGCCTGGCAGTGGCGTCCCTCTCTTGTGTGGGCACCTCTCAGGAGGACTGTGCAGAGATGAGGCCCTCGGTGGGGGCGTCCAGCGGATGCCTGCAGAGTAGAGCCTCCTCTAGGAGGAGCTGAGTCCGCGCTGGGGCCCTGACTGCTGACACGTCTGTGTGTGAGTAGCACACTGCACATTGCAAACAGGTGAGGGGGCAGAATGGAGGCTGGAAACCCCTGTCAAATGGTGCTGTTAAAATGAACTTCATTTATTTGGTGTCGAGCAAGTTTCCTGTGGAGTTCTTTGTACATTTGCACAGGGTGTATGCACAATGATGGTTCTCAGAACCAGCCTCGGGTAAAGATTTGGAACCTCAACTTTGGTTGAGTGGCAGAGAACCCTGTAGCCAGTGGAGACAGCGATCCCTGCACCAGGCACTGCTGCCTGGGGCTGGCTTGGGAACAGAACCCTGGCCATCATACCCAGGTGAGGACCCACACACAGCAGGCTCTTTGAACACTAGCACGTTGGATTTTGCCAGACTTATTATATTGGCCATTTCCATGGTTCGTAAGAAACTAGTAATACCTGGTAATTTTGCTGAGGCATTAATTTGAATGACACTCCTGGGTGACTTGGGTGTGAGCCTCAGGGGACGCTGAATGTGCGTCTCCCGGTGGGACTCTGGGCATATCGCTGACCCTGCCGCTAAGGGACAGGGTTCAGAACTTAATGCCTGACCCAGTTCTTTCTGTTTGGACTCTCATCTGCCTCTGCTGAGCATAAAAGAAATCATCCTGTCAGTTAAACAAGAATTACCTTAATGAGAACAGCATTGATTACAGCAAATATAGCAGTGGCCTTTGCAGGGTGGCCTACCACACACTGCCATCTTCTCATCTTTGCCCTATGGTCAGTGAGGGTCAGACCCAGAGCACAGCCAAGAGAGGGGATCAGAGACAAGTGTGCTGAGTGGGCAGCAGGAAGAGATTCAGTTCACCCTCTCTACCAGCTCTGCCTCCTTCATTTGGGCCGGGCTCCTAACTTCTGCAGCCCTGGAAGGCCGTCGTTCTCACATCCTCCATCTCCTCTTCTTTGGTTGGCCAAGCATACTATACACTGGCTCCTCTACTCTCTGGCAACCCATAGGCTGGATTTCAGAGAGCAAAAAGCATGGCTTTTTGCAACACCAGTTGGTCTCACAAGTAGGCATGGGAGGCCTGGCATTAGTATTTTTTTAAAAAGAAGGTTTTTAGGGCAACCCCAGTCTGATCTTTTCCCAAGTAGCACTTTGGAATAATAACCAGGGCATCTGCCCAACTGAAAGGGTTTGCGTCCACTCCACCTGGGACATGTAAAGTGCCTGAGGTTCAGCTCCAGTGGGTGATGCATGTGGGCACTGAACTTTTCACATAGTTCTTGCATTTGGTGTGCAGTGTGTGACACACCTATGCGTGTGTGTGTGTGCGTGTGTGCAGTTACTGTGGTGAACAGCTAGTATGACAGGAAGTCGGTGGCCTCAGAAAGCTTGGGCAAGACTGCCAGTTGTCTCCTTGAAAGCTCATTAGTCCCAGCCTTATGAATCACATGCATCTTCTTGGATGGAGAGTGTGTCCTTGTGGTGAGTGGTCAACAGAGTTCCTTCCTTGTTTTTGCCTGGTTCCAGTTCTTCCAGCTCTGACCATCCTTCTTGCCAGGTCCTTGCTGTGCAGAAATCAGAGCAGTTTTTGCCCAGGGAATGGTTATCTAATTGTAGTAGGGCCTTTATTTGCATGAATTTCTTAATTTGCAATTGCACATGCACTGATTTGACTTTTATCTAACTCAAAGATTTATTTTCACAAAAGGGGGCTTCCTGTGATACACATTGCAGAATGTTTTAAAGAATTACCATTTCTCTCATGATGTAGATAAGTATTTAATGGAAAATATGTAAACGAATAAAATACAAAAGTAACCTATAATTTTGCTACCTAGAAATAGCCACTGATCGTAATTTGGTGTGTTTTCTTACATTTTTCCTGCCTACCATAGATTACATATTTTTTACAAAGCCTTTGAATCACATTGTGTCCTACCTTTTATACTTTATACTCTATTGTGAGCATCTTAACAAGACATAAATTGTCCTTCCAAAATAGAATAGCTATGCCTCCAACAGGCAGATGTATCCTGGTTTATTTTACATTGAGGCATTGAGGTTGCTTGCTGTTTCTTGTTATGGTGTGATAAATATCTTTATAGATAAAACCTTGTTTCATTTCTGATAATTGAAGATAAATTTTCTGACATAGAACCGCTGGTTAAATGAGTGATGTTTTAAGAATCCAGATAAATATTGACAAGCTGGCATCCAGAAATGTTGCTCTCCACGCATTTTATTGAACTTCACTGCTGAAACTCGTCACTGCCATTTGAAATGCTCAAGGTTCATCTGGCTGGCTAACAATAGACTCATGTTTTGTTTTAATTAATTCTACTGAGATTATACTCTTTCTGTATAAACACTGAATATTTGCATTTCTTATTTTGTAAACTTTCTATTCATATCCTTTGCCTTCGTCTTTCTCTTGAGAGATGAATTTTCCTATTTTTCAGAAGCTCTCTTGCATCTACAGAAATCAGTTCTGATATATATGTTGTGACTATTTTTAAGCTTATTTTTGTATTTTAAATTTGGCAAAGGAATTTTAGATATTCTATAGTCAAAATGGATAAACTTTAGCTCCATTTTTATCTATACTTTTTGCTTTCATTAATTTTTTAAAACTTTTTCTTTCAAGATAATTGTAGATTCATGTGCAGTTGTAAGAAATAATTCAGAGAGATTCTGTGAGCCCTTTGTGCAGAAACCCCTGGTAGTAAAATCTTGACAAACTATAGTAGAAGATCATAGCCAGGATGCTGCCATTGATGCAGTCAAGGCACAGAAGAGTTCCATTGCTACAAGGCACCCTTATGCTGGCCTTTTCCAGCCAGCTCTGCATCCCTCCCACCTCTACCCCTGCCCCAATCTCTTCTCCATCTCTAACATTTTGTCATTGCAAGAATGCTACATAAATGGAATCATACAACATGTGACCTTTTTGTATTGGCTGTTTTCACTCGGCATCATTGTCTAGCAATTCATCCAAATTGTTTCACATGCCAGTATTTGATTTCTTTGCATTGCACTCCATGGTATGGATGGACCACAGTTTGTTTAGTCATCTCCTCACTGAAGAACACCTGACTTGTTTCCAGTTTGGGGCTCTTACGAATAAAGCAGATAGGACATTTTCTCCCAGTCTGTAGACTGTTCATCCACTTAACAGGTTCTTATACAAATCAAAAGTTTTGAATCTTAATGAGGCCCAATGTGTCAAAAAAATTTTTAATGTGTTGTGTTTTTGGTGTCAAAAGCATGACAACAGGAGACCTTTTTGCCTAGCCCTAGATGTTTTTCAAAGATTATCTCCTATGCCCTTTTTTTCTCCCAGGTTTTACTGATTTACATGTTACATTTACGTTCATGTTCCATTTTGAGTTAAGTTTCATATAAGGTGTGAGGTTTAGATCAAGGTTTTATTTTCTTTTATTTTTGCATATGGATATCACTGCACTCTAGCACCGTTTGGTGCAATGGCTATGGTTCCTCCGTTGAGTTGCTGTTGCAGCTGTCACTCATCAGCTGAGTGCATCTTTGTGGATCTGTTCCTGGGTTCTCTGTTCTGGTGTATTGATCTGGATGGCTGTCCCTCCCCAGTAGTGCACTGTCTTGATTACTGGAGCTATGAGAGACAACATACTGGATTACACTTTTATTAGGATCAGAAATATTGGAATAGACACATAATTTAAAATTACCCTAAAAATACTGGTATCGAGAGGTCTGCAAATATTTTCTTAGAATTATTTTTAAATTTTGTCTGTTTTGGTGGTTATTTCCCCCTTGTCATTTCTTATCTGTGGATTTGTTTTTGATTAGTGGCTTGTGATTCATCTAGTTCTGTTTTATTTTTCAAAAAATAAGACTTTGATGTATTTCTTAGGTCTAGTTTTCTGTTTTCTGCCTTGTTCATTGCTGCATTTTTCTTTATCATTCCCTTCCTAGTGCTTTCTCTTGGTTTACTTTGCTGTTCTTTAGTTTTTTCAAATTTCAAATTTATTTCATTTATTTTTATTTGTTTGTTTTATTTGCCATAAGTGTTTAAGGCTAAGCTCTTTCCTCCGAACACTGCTTTAAATGTATTCCATGGAGTTTAATATATAATGCTTCCATTGTCATTATTTCTAGGATTTCTGTATTTTCAGTGTGGCTTTCCTTTCATCTGAATTGGATGTTTAATAACAGTTCTTCTCAATTTCCAGTTTGAAGAATCTTTTTATTTATTTTATTAATTTCTATTTTGATGGAACTTACCTCTGGTTTCTTTGTGACCAAATTTGATCATATTTTATGTGTGCATTCTCTGTTGTTATTGTATAAACTTACATATTTCTCAAATCTACCCAATGATTATACTAGGTCATTTATATCCTTACTTATTTTTTGTCCACTAAATCTGTCATGTACTTTAAGTGGCATGTTAAGTATTTCCTGTTACAAGTGTGTCTCTTTATTTCTTCCTTGAATCTCTTACTATTTATCTTTGAAAGGTGGTTACTATGTTATTTGGTGGATACATATTTATCACTGTTCTGTCTCTACTGTGAGTCGGAGGCTTTTAGCACTATTAAACATCCCCTCTGTCATGCTTAATGCTCTTTGACTTGATTGTACTTTATTCAGTATTGGAATCACAAATCACTTGCTCAGCTTTTAGCCTTTCTAAATCACTTTGTTTTAGGTGTGTCTCATATAGACTGTTGGGACTTGCTTTGTGAATCAAAATAAAAGTATTGTTTTCTTTTAATAAATGAACTTAGTCCACTCACATTTATTGATATGACTCACACATTTTCCATATTATAGGTTTTATGTATATTTTAGTTGCTGTGTTTCTCTATGTGTATATCTTTTTTGCTCTCTTATTTTCTAAAATGTTTCTTTGCAATTTGAAAGATTTGTATTTTGATCTAGTGATTACCTTTGTTCTTATGCTTTTTCACTTGCCTTTAGTCTTCTGTTTTCTTACGTAGTCTTTTATACCTTGTTTGTCTATCTTTAATGATAACCTTTGACTTCTACCTCTTGCCTAAATGACCACTGATAAGTTTATTCTACAGTACTTTTCTCTTCCCTTCTTTCTCCACGCACTTACTAATTGAAGTATTTCTGCTTTCAAAACATATAACATCATTCATTTTTTCCTCCACCCCCCATTGTTCTATGCTTGTTTCTCTTAGATCCGTGATTAAGTTTATTGGATGCTCACCATTGGCCCTTTTGCTGAAGTGTTCCTGCCTTTTGACAGGTGAAGCTAATCTTTGAGAGCCCAAGATCAGCTCCTGGGTACAGTACCCCTGAGCTTTCGTAGGTTTAAAGCTGCGTTCTACATCCTTAACATTTGACAAGACACTTTGCTTCCTAATACACCCTTGGTTCACACGTACCTTCTCTGGGTTTCATGAAGGTGTTACTCCATTGTGGCCTCAGCTGTATGTGTGTGTGGGATGTGTGATGGCAGCCCCGTTCTCTTACATTTGAAGTTATTTGATCATTTTGCTACAGGCTTGGAGGGTTTTACAAATTTATCTTCAGAGTCTAATAGTTTTACTAAGATATTCCTAGGTATCCCTTGGGTATCCATGGGCCTAACATGTAGCATTGTATCTTCTTTTGAGTCCAGAAAGGTTTCTTGGATCAGAGTTTTGAGTATTTGTTATATTTTACGATTTCACGGATCTCTTTATGTTGAGTCTCACTGGCCTGGCTTCCATTTCAACCACTTTCTTTCTGGCTTGTTTTTACTACTCAGCTGTTTTTGGCCTCCTGTTTGCCTTCTTTCTTTAATGCCCCTGATTACATTTTCATTTGATTATAGTCTTCCTGGAACACCTTATAATTTAATCTTCATTTCTTACATGATTTGGTGTTTTTCTTTGGCTTTTCATTTTAGTCTTCATGGTTTTGTCGTTTTCTGCTCTCAGCATTTGGGTTTTGGATTCAGGTTGTTTTTGCACAGCCCCCAGTGCTTATCTGAGGGTATGGAATTCAGTATAGAGTGTTGTATGTGGTTTTGTGTTTCCTGGTTTACATGTGGCTTGTTGGGGAAATCTTTACCAGCTTCCGTATTTAGATTCTCATGCTCTGTTTTATTATTAGGAAAGCCTTGCACGGGGCAGTCAGCTTTCGGCTATGTACTTGTGGACAGGGTGGCCAGCCGGAGTCAGTTCCAGGGTTCCTAATTTGAGGAGATTCCTATTCTTTGGTCAGTGTGGTGGAGAGCAGTCTCTGTAACAGCTTTTTTTCTTTTTTTTTTTTTTTTCAGTCGTGGGGCATTTCCATTCATTTTTGGTTCCTTTTGTCTTACAGGATTCTGCATTTCCCCCCCTGCCCTCACTGTTTTTCCCCTTCCCCTGCCAGGCTTTGATGGGCACGCCTGCCTGCCTGTTTGCTGTCTTCTCTTGCGGGTGATGCATGCCTGCCTGTCACCTGGAGCCCAGTGTATGTCAATGTCTTTTCTCCGTAGTCTATACACAAATCCACCAGGATCGTTTTCCAGTGGTTTTATGCTTAGGTTGGCCTTCCTACTTCTGGCTGTTACTTTCCTCAATTTTAGAATTTTTATTTCTTTCTTCTCTTTTTCATGAAAATTATCTGGATTTCTCTGGCTCCTTGCAAGGGTGTGGGGCAGGGGCCTGAGAGATAGCTTGGCTGGGAATTGGTGTTTTCTTCTTTACTGCCAAGTAATAATGTGGAGTTTATGGTGCTCTCCATCTTCTAGTTATGTCGAAAGGCAGGCTGCCCACGTAGCTTAACCTACATTTCTTGTTGATCTGTGGAGTTTATTGTGAGCAGATGCAGTGATGTGGCATTGGGTGGCTGTCAGTACCTTGCCTACCAGAAGCAAGACAGTGGCATCGCTAATCCACAGTCCAGAACTCGTTCTTTCTGCCATGCCCAAGGAATCTTATTTGCGGCACTTCCTAGGGAGGATATGATTTTATTTGCTCCATTGGAGAAAATGATTTTCTGACTAGAGATTATGCTAATGTTAGATTCCCTCACTGGGCAGAAACATGGTCTGCAGGACATTCCTCCATGGGGACCAGGGCATACCGTTTCAGTGCCACCCACGTAAGATACACCAGTCAATTAAAGAGTGTCTCACTAATTGATAATGCTGATTTATACTATTTCTTTAAACATAGAGACACATTAAGTTGAATTTTATTGTGGAATTTAGCTTCCAGTAAAGCTTTTGTCACCTCATTTTGTTTTCTTTTGTGGTTTCTTAGAACATAGCTAATTATTGTGAGGCTTTAAAAACATCAAGTTAATAAATTAAATGAAAAAGTGAAAAAAATATCTAGAGAATAAACCATCTAGAAAATACTGTATTCGAAGCAATATTTGAAAATGACCTGGCTTTGTTCAGTGTGATTCAAAGGGATCATTACCATTGACTAACAGTAAACATAATAAAATTCTTTGTAGATTTATAAAGCCCTCATTCTGTCTGCTGCTTCAAGGGTAGCCAGGCAGACATTCATATTTTCTCAAAGGTCAAAACAGTTGCTAATGTAATATTGGGTGCCTTTTCAAAGGTTAATCTCTGTATTGATCACAGTGCTGTAAACTCACTGAACCAAAGTCAAATACTTTCTTTTCCCCTGAGGGTTAAAAATCATGAATGTGAGATCAATATTTTCTGAACGTAAATTTCAAAGTTAGTCTCATCCACATGTTATATTTGCTAAAGAAGAAAGAAAGAAAGGAAAGAAGGAAGGAAAGAGAAGAAAGAAAAGACAAGACAAGAAAAGAAAGAGAAAAACAGGCTATTTTTCTTGCAGCTCTCATCTGGTTAGAGCAGAAATGGGCCTTAGGCTTCTCAAAGCAGGCTGATCCTCCGTGTCTGAAGGAAAACTTAAAGCCACTCACCCCCTGCCCTTTTCCCTCCCTTAATGTAAACTCAAAGAACCTCTCCTGTTGGTTTGCACCTCGACGTAAAATCTTCAGCCTTAGGATAATGCCATGTGGGTAGATTTGTATATTGAACCCTTCTAATCAGTGGCCCTGAGAAAGGTTACAATGAGTGGGGCAGGAGCTGAGAGCTAGGAGCATCGCAGGGCTGTCTGAGGCTCCTGAAGGCCAGAGAGTCCTGGACAGTCTGAGAGAGCCACGAGAGCCGTAAATACTTGTCAGGAGGGTGTCAGGAGAGCTGGTGCAGAAGAGGTTCTAGTTAACCATGTAGTGATTTTGTTATTCAAAATGGCTCCACTTTGATTCGGGGTGACCACCCCCCCTCCACTGTATACTTTTCAGGAAGCAATGCCCCACAACCTCAGTACTGGGAGAGGCACGCAGACCACTAGGGGAGAATGGGAGGATGGCACAGAGCCCAAGAGAGAAGATCGACCCAGCACACTGTTACTGAGGTGCTGGAGAATGAGGGCCTCACACTGACGGGGGTGATGATGAGAGGCCAACGCCATTGCATATCATTGCCAGGAGCCTGAGAACAGGGCCTGCGCCTGAGGCACCAGAGCCAAGGGGAAGGCCCTGGTAAAGTCACCTGTCCCACTCACTATGGCTGCCTAACAAGTCATCCCAAAATGCAGGGACTTAAAGCAACAGTGACGATTTCACGCCTAACTCTACCATCTTCATGGAATTTGAAAGGGCAGCTGGTACTATTCCACTGGGGATCACCAGAGCTGGCAGAGGCCAAGGCCAGAATCATCTGGAGGCTGCTCACTTATGTCTCCTGTCCAGGTTGTGGGGGCCCAAAGAGCACTGCTGGGATGGCGGTGGGGGCCTCAGACTTCTCCCTGCATCACAGGCCCTAGAAACAGGGGAAGGAGCTTCTTGATGGGAACGTGCGCTGTCAGGGCTGTGGGATAAATCATGTGGGATGGAATATATTAGTGCTGGCGAATTTGGGAAATGCAACCTGCCGCATCATTTTATTTGCCCAAGACTTGTAATCCATATGATCTCATAATTGCATTTTGCTTTAGCCATTCTGGGTTGGGTTTTCTGTCACTTGTAGCTGTAAGAGCCCTAAGTGGTACAAAGGCCCAAAGAAATGTGCTGCCCTTCTTGATCTTTCTCAAGGACTCATGTTAACTGCAGTCGCTGCAGCAGCAAGTGTTGGATCATAGACTGATCTTTGCTTTCTGCATCCCATTACGTCCGGAAGGCCCAAGTTCCTATTGTGGAGGCTGTATCAAGAGCCAGGCCTCCTTGCTGCTGAATGTCCTAGGTCTGAGATGAGCGTGGTGCATTGTCCCGTTGGCTTAGCTTGTGGTTCACTTATCAGCAGTTAGGAGATGGCGCTTGTCAACATGAGGAGCAGGTGCCTGTGCAGCACCTCGTGTTTACCGCGGCTGAGTCCCCAGCCTTGACAGGAGCCACTAGTTACCATGGAAGGTGGGTGACAGGCGCTGACTTAGCAACATTCTGCAAGCACCAGCAAGTGGCTTTTTCTACTCCTTACTCCAGCTGATCCTTTAATTCTCCAACACCAAGTAGGTATCCCACAATTCAATTCAGTTCTAATACCAATTACCCGGAGCTATTGTCAGAGCACAGGCTAAGGGCTCCATCCCTCATCAGTGCCCTCAATTCAGACACAGCTATCAGTCACAGGTATCAGGCACTCACACTTCTGTGCAACTTGGCTACAAATCAGGGTTCCTGCAACCCCTCACCTCAGGTTCAATAGTTCGCTGCAATGACTCAGAGAACTCAGGAAAGCATGTTACCTACCTTTACTACTTATTTTAAAGGGTATTATAAAGGGTTCAAATGAAAAGCCAGATGAGGAAGTGCATAGGTGAGGTCTCTGGCAGGGTCCCAAGTGCAGGAACTTCTGTCCCCATGGAGTGCAGATGCACCACCCTCCTGACACATGAATTCGTTCACCAACATGGAGGATCCCAGAACTCCACTGCTTAGGGGGTTTGAGGCTTCATTACATTGGCATGATTGATTACATCATTGGCCATTTGTGATTGGCTCAATCTCCAGCCCTGGTTCTCTCCCTGAGGATTGGTGTGGGGACGGATGGTGGAGCTGTCAGTTTTAACTTTCTAATCATGCCTTGATCTTTCTGGCAACCAGTCCCCTCCTGAAGCCATCTAGGGCCCCCAAGAGCTGCCTCATTACAACAAAAGGAATTCCTGTCACTCTTATCACTCAGGAAATGCCAAAGGTTTTAGGAGCTCTGTGCTAGGAATGGGGACAAAGACCGAATATTTTTATTCTTCTACCATCACTAGTCAAAGGGCCCTCGAGGTGCCTGCGTTGCTTGATGGTGGGTCAATGGGGTGTTTACGGATGAAGGCACAGTTGCGTGCAGAGATCCTCCATGGATGCTGGGGTGAGATCTCCGGAGAAGCCATTCACTGTCAGTGTTTCTTTATACGCTTAGACTATAAAGTTGAAAAATGATGCTATAGAGTCGTCTAAGGGGAAATTTCTCTCTGCCTTTCCACGGATCAAATTTCCTATAACTGGGAAGAAATCCATTGGAACCACTTGTGGCCTAAATGATTGCTTTTATGTAACTTGTTTTTGGTATATTATTAATTTAATGGCAGAGAATCCTTAATTTCAACCATTAGGGAACCCAGAAAAAAATAAGTACATTAAAATAATGTAAAACGACTTAAAAAGCCTTAAAGCGACTTCAAAGACTTAGAAGGACTAAAGAGTAAATGTCCTGGTAAAGTGCAGTAAGCTGCAGTGGGGTCAGGAGAGTCCCAAGACATCTTTAGTCTTCTTCTAAAACAATCTCAGCAAACAAGGTGCTTATCTCATAACCTCCAGACAACATAAACAATGGAGTGCAGCTCCGCATTTATGGATGACCCAAATGTGGCCAGCTCCACATGTGTACTGTCACGATAGCATATTGATTGGCTAAATTTTTGAAGTAAAGGAAGCTTGGCCTAAACTTTCCTCTATAGGATATGCTATTTTGAAAAACAATAAGATAAAACTTTTTTTATAATGCATTTAGACATGCTGACACAGATGGACATTTCTTTACAAGGTTGTATATTTAGGGGTAACTAAAGAATTTATCAGGCTGGGTATGATGGCTCATGCCTGTAGTCCCAAAACTTTGGGAGGCTGAGGCGGGCAGATCATGTGAGGTCAGGAGTTCGAGACCAGCCTTGCCAACATGGTGAAGCCCCGTCTCTACTAAAAATACAAAAAAATCAGCTGGGCGTGGTGGCATATGCCTGTACTCCCAGCTACTGGGGGAGGCTGAGGCAGAAGAATCACTTGAACCCGGGAAACAGAGGGTGCAGTGACCCGAGATCGTGCTGCTGCACTCCAGCCTAGGCGACCAAAAAAAAAAAAAAAAATCAGATATTTAATCCGGCCATATTTCATGAATAGTCAGTGTATTAAAATGTTTGTTCTTTTATAGTCATCCATGAAGTCAACACAGCTTTGTAACTAGCAAGAAGTAGGCCTCAGTGGCGCAGTGATGAAGCAGGCAGATACTGTGTGCTGAACTTGGAGACTCACCAGGGAGGAGCAGCAAACACAGCTAAACGTAGACCCCATAAGCCATCCCCAGTGTGGGTCAGTGGTACTGTGCTAACGGCACTGAGGTTCCCAGATGGCAAACAGCCCTGAGCAGGTGAGCTGTGTGACTTCCCCAAGGAGGAGAAACAGCCAGCATCCCTGATGGCCGGGCAAGAGGATGGCGCTGAAGATGGTGGAAGGCACCCGGGGGAGGGAGACTGTAGATGGGCAAAAAGGCTGGATTTCACTCCAGGTGGTGGGAGTGCAGGGAAGGGCTTTAAGCAGGAAAGCTTGCAATGCGATTTTTCTTTTACAAAGCCCATTCTTCCCTGCAGTGGAATGGACAGGTTAGAGGAGGACCGAGTGGCCCCGGGGAGGCCAGGTTAGAGCCTGAGGCTTGGGGCCAGTGTGTGCAGGGCAGGTGGGGAAAGGGGGCCAGTGGGGTAGGGTTTGGAGGTGGACAACGTGGATGTGAGCCATGAGGGGATGAAAACTCAAAGGCACATCAGGTGCAGGCGCAGTTTAGAGGAGAAATGCAGAGTTTGGTCTTGAGTATGTTCCAGTCCGCAGTTGGTGAGGCTGCATGAGGGACGTTGGATTGGCAGGCGAGTGTGCAAGCATAGAGGTCTGGCAGGAGTCTCTGACGGAGCAGGGGGTGGTGAATGCTCAGGGAGAGAAGGCGCCTGAGCACGGGGGGCTGGAGACGGCCTCGGGAGCGGGCACTGGACGTCAGCCTGGGTGCTATCTATGGGGATAAAGAGGAGAAGGATGCAGACACCCTGCTGGGGCTCTTGGCTGCAGGTGACAGATGCCTCAATCAAATTCGCTTGGGTGGAAAGGGACATGGACCAGAGGGTTCAGCAGCCTGGATGGGCAGTGTCTAGCTGGGCCTCGGAGGCAACAGGAGCCAGGCTGTGCTCTCTCCACCTCTCATCTCTGCCTCTCCCTGCATGGGAATTCCTTCCAGTGATAGAGAACGGCTGCAGGCAGCTCCGGAGACAGACCCAGACACGCTCCCTCTGGAAGGGCTCTGGCTGGTCTGAGCTGGGTGCCCACTCTTGGCTGGCAGAACAGGCCTTGACTGTCACAGTGTGAATCTAGCCCAGTGCCTAGGCCAGTCACCATGGCACCACGTCCGGTGTGTGGCACAGGAATGCCTCCCAGGAGGAGAGGGCTGAAAACAATCGGGTTACGTGCGCGGCAGGTCCGCAGAGGGTGGGGTAGTCTGTGCCTGCTCAGCGCTGTCGACGCCTTTGCTCTGTGTTCCCTGGAAATTTCCGAAATGCAGCTACTTTGCTGGAGCTCCATTACTGAGCTTTATTCCAGGGGCGAGCCTGGACTCACTGGACTCAGACCGATTTTTTTTTTTTTTTTTTTTTTGAGACGGAGTCTCGCTCTGTCACCAGGCTGGAGTGCAGTGGCACAATCTCGGCTCGCTGCAACCTCGGACTCCCTGGTTCAAGCGATTCTCCTGCCTCAGCCTCCAGAGTAGGTGGGATTACAGGCACGTGCCACCACAGCCAGCTAATTTTTATATTTTTAGTAGAGATGAGTTTTCACCGTGTTGGCCAGGATGGTCTCCATCTCCTGACCTCGTGGTCCGCCTGCCTTGGCCTCCCAAAGTGCTGAAATTACAGGCGTGAGCTCAGACCCATTTTATTGCATTTTTATATCTATACTTATAAGTAAAATTGGCTACAGCTTTTATTTTTGTCTTATAGTTGAGTTTGAAGGTTCTGTAGCTCCATCAAATGAATTGGGGAACTTTCTATATGTATGTAACTTGGAGCAGGGAAATTATAGCCCCATTTGAATCTGACATCTTCTTAACTGGGAGATTGTTAACCAGTCTTCCAGTCTCCTCACTGGCTATTGAATTTGTCAGGTTTCCTGTTTTCTGCATGGATCAGTTTTAGTTATTTATATTTTGCTATGAAATGACTTGAAGCTTTTCACTTGTCCTTGTATCTGTGATCAAATCTCCCCTCTCAGTTGATATACACACAGTCGCACACACATACACACACATTCTTTTTCCCTTAGTGAAACTTCCCAGAAGTTGATATTTGTATTAGAAATTTCAGAAAAGAGACTTTTGGCCTTTTACTCTTTATGTAATTTGTTATTGACTTTTTAACTATATCACTTTCAGTTTTTTATTCCAATTCATCCTTCTTATCTTTAAATAATATTTGTACTCCTTTTCTATCCTATTATTTTAAGTATTTAATTTATTTATTTTCAGCTTTTTAAAAGTGAACATTTGGAATCTCATCCATTTTGATTTGGAATGCATGCTTATGTATGGTGCGACATGGATGCAGCTCACCTATAAAACATGGGTCTCCAGCTCTCCCAAAGCTCTTCATTACTACGTTTGACTTCATCTCACTGACTTCACAAACCACCTTTATGATGAAAAAATCCTCGTGGGGTTTTGAGTATGTTGGTGGGCCATCTGTTGTGTTTTGTGGGGTCAGTGACATACCATCATGTTTAAATTATTTGGACTTTATAAGCTTACTCTGTGGTAGGGCAAGTACTTTGCCTTATCAGTGTTTTTCTGACTGTTCTTATTTATATTTTTATATGAATTACAGAATCATATCATTTCAATTAATTAAAAAGCCAATTATTATTTTGATTGGGATTGTAATAAACCTTAAAATAACATCAAGAGAATTAACATCTTTATAATATCTTTGCTTTATAGTATTCTTTGCTTATGAGAGAAAAATGCATTTGCCAGTTGAAATAGTGTGTGATAGTCCTAGAGGGTATCAGCTATTTTCAGTAAGACAGTCTTTTATATTAAAATAGCTGCAACTGGATTCCATAATCTACTTTTTCCAGGCACTATCTATCTTCTGCACCAGCCAAAGTGGCGAATCAGGTAAGGATGTGACAGGCAAGTTCTCCAGTGCTTCCTCTCTGTAGATTAGCGATGCTGAGGGAAGATGCTGATTGAGGTTGACTTCCCAATTTCAGTACGGATGCTAGGGATCCCAGTACAGGCACAAAGGCCATGTTGGCCACAGCCACAGCTCACACCTCCCATCCTACTCCTGGAAACTCCATGTTGCTGTTGTGGATGCTGAAGCCAGCCCCCTTGGCAGTGTGTCTGTGGCCCTTGTCACTGCATATCTAGTGCTACAAGTTCTAGGCAGGTGAAGAGTTGAATGGACAAAGCCTAGACCATGTATTCTGCTTTAGGTGCAAGGAAGTCTAGAAAGTAAGTGTCTTATGCTTCAAATTCTAGGTGAGGTGTGGTTGACTCCCACCAGGTCCTTAGGTGTATGCTCTGTGTCCTTGCATTTCTGAAAGTATCTTTCATTTGTTCTGATCACTCTATCTATCTATCTATCTATCTATCTATCTATCTATCATCTATCTTCTATCTCTTGTCTCTATCAATCATCTCTCATCTAGCTGTCTGTCACCTATCTATCTATATCTACTCATTTAGCATCTATCCATCAGCTATCATCTATCTGTCATCTACTCTAAAGCCACTTCTGCCCTTGTTGTAGGTCGATTTTATTCTTTCTTCAAGTCAGTGGAAGCTGTCCGTTCACATCCGAATCCTGGTTTTTCCTTGGCTACTGCCTCCCCAAGTGTGAGCTGCTGTTTCTCTTGGCCTGCTCCCAGCTTCGAGTCCTGTTAGAAGTCACATCAGCAGGATGTCTTCAGGACAGTGCTCAGCTAGCAGCCAGGGTGGCCCCTTTCTCTGACTTTTCTGTCTCAGCGGCTCTTCTAGCACGCTTGAGAGGGCGGCAGAGCCCCAGCATTTGGCCTTTGCTCTGACTTCATGCCACGGAGAGCCAGGTCTTCTTCCTGAAGCGTGCAACCCCAGACTGACCCTTCAGGAGCTCCCAGACCCTATCACTTGCCACCGGTTTACCCCAAGCCACATCTTCCCAGACCTGGAATAGGAGTTTGTCCCAGATAAGTAATCACCATGTTTTCTACAATCATAGTTGGTGGATATTTTTCATAATACAGATTTTCGGAGGTTGGGTCAGCTTGAAAAACCTGTGATTTTTACTGTATTTGTCTCGGCCATGGGACTCTCTAGCTACACTCAACAGGACCTCAAGAACTTACAAAGAACAGCTGAGAGTTTGAGGCAAAAATTGAATTTCTCTGTAAATTTTTCCTCTGCCTCTTTCCAAAATGCTCTGCAAAACTCTGAACATAAAAGTGAGGAGTGCACAGGTATGCCTCGCTGTTCCCAGGGCAGCTGCTTTTTGAGTGAGGACCCATGAGGAGCCCCTGCCCTCAGAGGGGAGCCCCACAGTAGCTAGGGATGCCGGCACTGAGCAGTCAGTCCCTAGCCCGCATCCTTTGGAGAGTTTGGATTACAGTGGAAATCTCCTTGGGAACATTGGTACTATAAGTCCCCGACAGGGACAGCTGGCCAAGAGCGAGCCCTTCCAAAGAGGGCGACTTCAGCACTGGGAGGAAGGCCGGGAATGGAGTGGGAGCTGGCAGGGGGTAGGGGTTCGGGAGGTAGGAATCAGGGCAGACAGGGCCCTGGCGCCAATGCAGGGTTGAAAATTAGGTGCTCCAACCTCACTTCACCTGTACTCAAGTTAATTTTCTACTCTGCCATTCACAAGAACGATATGAAATGCCTAAGAAAAAATCGTCACAAGATGAAGCTGGAAAAATCTATTTATAATTATAGAATTTACCATAAAAGTAGTGCCTTGTGCTATAGATCGTCTTATCCAGTGACCTTATTTCAAGTGTCTTCGTTTCTATATATAAAGAGATTATGAAAAACCTGTCAGTTTGTAAAAAGCAAAAACATGGATGGAAAATAATTTTCAGAAATTCGAATTTACATTTTTAAAGATAATTTACTTTCTTCCTGATTAAAACAACAACAGTATGATTATGCTTATTTTAAATACGTCTATATTCAGCTCTCACAATCTTTTAATATTGCATGAGTTTTCCACTAAGCTTAAAATAAAATATCCCCCTTTTCCAGAATGTAAATTATTTTGTTTCTGCCTTCTAGTAAGCTGGACATTTCAGGCAAACCCACAGCATCATGATGGTTTCTGTTGTATTTTTCTCAACCTAATGTGTTTTTTTTTTTCCTTAAATGACTCATGAGAATTACAAGGAACAAATAAAATACCCAATAGTATGATGACTTGCACATTGGATTTGGCTGGTGTGCTAATTGCACTCCCCAGCTCCGTCGGCACTCTGTGGAAGGTGGTGTTGTCCTAAATTTGCTTTTCCTATATTAAACCCGGAATTACCTGAGCACCAGGCTCTTCCTTCCAGAACTCAGCTTAATCCTAAGCTTTGAGAGTTAATTTTATGGTGCTTGCCGTTCAGCTTGTTTCCCTCATTTAAATCAGATGTTGATTTCCCAGTCCTGGCTGTCAGCCCCTCTCGCGTTGTGTGACTCCTGCATGACTCGATGCTTTCCATTTCTTGGTTTGTGTAATTGTCAGATGTGCCGGCTTCCTGTCTTGTTATATGTTTCATATCCGTGGAGAATGAAGCTGAGTTTAATAGACTGATGAAAACATCGTGGGATCTCACTCTAAGGCGAACGTTTGTGAGAGGCTGCTTACTGTCTCACGCTGGTGGCTCTGTATGGATTGCTGAGCCCCACAGGGCAGGCTGCTCCACTCAAGGGAAGGGCATCTTGCCGGGAGACCATGCGGAGGGCAGGAAGCTGCCCAGTGAGGATGGTGCTGAGTTCTCCTGTAGGATGTTAAGGGAAGAATCACAAAATGAGGGTTTTGTGCTTTCAAATAAGTTTGGGAAGTATTTGTTACGCAAGGCTAAATACCTTCTTGGTGCAAAGCACCCAGTCCCGCACTCCGGTGTTTAATAGCTAGTGTGCCTCAGGCATCATGCAGTGGGGAGTCTCGATGCCTTAGGCCGCTGGGGTTCATCTGGATGGCCTCATCTGCCCACTGGCCTTGCCACCCCCATTTGCAAGGTAATATCTACAGAGTTGTGGGCCAGCCTGAGTTTCTTTCCTGGGAATGTGGAGCTGGGCCTGAAGAATCTGGATCCAGCCACAGAGGAGGCATGAACGCAGGAGTCGGTGTGCTAAGAGTCACCACATGCTGAGAAAGGATAGGTCAGCAGTGCAGGGAGCTGGGGAAAGGAGGGGGAGGCAGTGTCCAGGCCTGGGTTCCGTCTACACAGAGCACCAGTTGCATCCCTGACATGGCACAGTTGGCTGTGGGAGTGTAGTGGTTGAGGGCCGTGCCTCTGCGCTTGAAGCTTGAACCCTAGTCCTACTGTTTACTGCTGTGTGTGTGTGTGTGTGTGTGTGGGAAGTTCCTTGACTTCTCTGTGCCTTGTAAAATGAGACTGCAATCAACTGCTGCCTCATAATACTGTTACAGGCATGGAATGCAGTAACTTTCATTTAGGTAAAAGCACTCAGAAAACTGCCTGATACACAACTCTGCACCTTCCCTAACAGGGCGCCTGGGGAAGTTTCCACTGTCTCCCAGAACACTGTGCCGGGCAAAGGGCAGGCCATTGCTTACCATTTTGGTGGACTGTAGCCCAGTTTCCTATGGACCTATGTAAAAAAGCTCCTAATGGTGGCTCATGGGTAGTCCTTGTATTTACTTGCTCAGTTCTAGCTGGCATTCTCTGCAATCTTCTCAGCTCTCACACCCAGTCAATAGTCTGGAATTGAGAAGCTGAAAATCATTTTATTTCCTTAGATATGATCTAATTTAGAAGGAGAATCTATTGCACAAATTCAGATAGTGCACTGTGAAGCTAAAGTAGAAATGGTTCCTCATTATCTCCCTGGTCCTTTTGGTCCTGGCCGGCTGCCTTCCATGGGGACTGGGGCATAGTGGGCTGGGCACTGGCATGGGGCCAATCACTGCGGGAGCTGGACACTTCCGGGAGGAGCTGCGAGGAGCCTCAGAGGAAGAAATGGGAGCAAACTGATGTCAAAGGTGGGGTTGGGAGAACCAAAGGTAGCCCCATGGAGGCCGGGGACATCACCCTAAAATGCCTGGTTGGCGTCTGTCCTGTGCGAACTTCTCAGGTTCCCTGGACTCTGCTCACGGTCAAGTCCGCAGTAGCCTGTGACCCACACCATCACTCCACCTCCTTTCCTAGGGGGCAGCTTGGCCCAGGCGCCCAGGCTGGCCAGGAACCCTCTCCCCGCCACTCCCAGCCGGGCCGCTTCCCTGCCTCCCTCAGTGCTCCTCAGTCCTGAAGACTTTCAGGACCTCCTGCCTAAGGTTCCTTCTGTGTTCCAGCAGGGGCAAGCATTTCTGCTGTCCCTGCTGAGTTGAAATGGCTTGTCTACAAGGGGGGAGCCCTTCAGGATGGAAACTGTGTCTACGTGTGCTTCCTGACGCGTGGGCTTGGGCACACAGCAGCACACAACAGGTACCTGCTGGGCCTGGCAGCTCTGGGGCGGGAGGGCAGGTGCACAGCGGGCTGCCCTCCTCCGTGTGGGCCACGTGGCTGGAGGAGGCCGGCTGTCCTTGGAGAGTCAACTCACCAAGCAATCACTTTTCAATTAAGAGCATCACCCAAAGCCATTTTTTAATTGTGTCTAATGTGATAATTTTGTCATGTAATGATAATGTAACGATTGCCCATTATTCAAGTCACAGATCAGACCTTAATTAAAACTGCTAAGTTCCTAATTAATTCCCAACAAGGCCATTCATGAGTGTGGAGAAAAAGCATTATCTTGGCAGATGGAGATTTTTGTGCCTATGCCCCCTGTGACTAGCAGGGTTTGTAGGTGAACTGACCAAGCAACCCCAAGCTGAATTCACTGTTGGCATCCACGGAGGCCTGTCTTCGGCAGAGGGACGGGGAACAGCACCCTTCCACAGGCCTTACGTGTGTGCACACCTGAGTCGTGTGCGAGGCAGGCTTCAAAAAAAGTTTGTTGCCTTTTAGGCGAGTGTGCTGCGTGCAGAGCAGAGCTAGCAGCTGGCCGGAGATGTGGCCTTAGACAGGCTGGTCCTTAGAACTGGTCTTTTGACAACCTAATTTTTTACATATATATATTATATTATATATATATATATATATAGAGAGAGAGAGAGAGAGAGAGAGAAATTGTATTTATTCAAAAGAAATTAGGTTTTGCCAGTTTAATTTCACATAAGTGCCTGCCCCTCTGTTTTAATTATTTTCTCCCTTTATATCAGCAGATCTCCTTTTACTTCCTTAAACTTGATGCCCTTGATCATTATCTCTTATTTTGTGCATCATGTCATAGGCTGCATACTTTCTTTCTTTCTTTCCTTCTTTCTTTTGTTTTTTTGAGACAGAGTTTCACAGTTGTTGCCCAGGCAGGAGTGCAATGGCACCATCTCAGCTCACTGCAACCTCTGCCTCCCAGGTTCAAGCAATTCTCCTGCCTCAGCCTCCCAAGTAGCTGGGATTACAGGCACCTGCCACCATGCCCAGCTAATTTTTGTATTTTTAGTAGAGATGGAGTTTTGCCATGTTAGCCAGGCTGGTCTCAAATTCCTGACCTCAGGTGATCCACTGGCCTCAGCCTCCCAAAGTGTTGGGATTACAGGCATGAGCCACCGCGCCTGGCCAAAGGCTGCATAGGGCTTTATAGCACTTTAAAGTTAACAAATATTTTAAGATTTTATGATGCATTTCGATAGTAGAACAGCTAGGTTCCCCCTGAGCTTGCAAAGTTTGAGAAGTGTGTGTAGATTGCTATTTGTAGTCTTAAGCTACTGATGAGCTTCATATATAATTCACATTCTTATATGCTTTAAGCTCCTTAGTATTGCAATGTAAATCATTTTGTTGCTTCAAAATGCTCTTTAAATGAGCATTTTGATTAGAAAATAAGTCAACATTGCATTTTATTTTTATTGTTGCAGCTACATGACTAATTTATTGAAAGTTTCAAAGACAATTAGCAGTGCTGTGAGCTAATATGGAATTTAGAGTTTTTTCGGGGAGGGAGAGAGTGTTAATTTTGCTAATTGAATAAGTTGTTTCTCAGTACCATTTATCAGTCATTTAGATTGTATCTAGAAGATACTAAAATAACTAATTGAAAATGTAAAAAAACTCAGTTAAAATGTTTTTGATTTCTTTTGCTTTATGATTAAGTTTCCCTGTGTCAGCTGGTTGTTTTAGCATGAGGTAAACATGGCATTAAATCAAATTTTATCTAAGCAGATTTATTATTTCGGGAAAATCTTATTTATTATTTGGGAAAAATTAAATAACTGCAGTTATAACAGCAAATAACATAATCACTATAATCGGCATATGACTTATTTATACAAATCCGTGACCTATCTTTCTTCCTCCCTCCATTCTTTCCTTCCTTCCCTCTTTCTTCTTCATTAGCATATAAGTAAAACAATGCTTGAGGACTTAGATGAGCAGAGGTCAAGAACTCTAATAAAACTCTAATAATTAGCACAGTGTAGTCTTAGTGCAAAGACAGAAAAACCAGTGGGAAAGAATGGAGAGCCCAGAAACAGGCTCAAACGTATAAGGCTCTCCGATTTATGACAGAGGTAACACTACAATTCAGTATCAACGAATTTTATTTTGAATATACGGCACCATGCCAATTGGCACCCATGTGAAAGAAAATGTACCTTTATCCCTACCTCATTCCGTACACACAGATCATTTCTATATGGACCGTAGATCTAAATGTGAAAAGCAAAATGTAATATTAGTGAACTCACGATAGGACAACATTTGATAAACAGGACCCCAAAAGCACTGAAGAGTAAAGGATAAAACAAGATCAGACTATATTTAAGACCTTTTGGTCATCAAAAGTTACCATTAAGGGCCTGAAAAAACAATTTACCAAGTGGGAGAAGATTTTTACAGTATGTATTCCAGTAAAGGATTCATAGTGACACCATGGAAAGAGCTCCTACCAATCAATTAGGAAAAACCCCAGACCACCCCATAGAAAAATGAGCAATTTCACTCTCATTTCACTAGAAGAGGATACCCAGTAGACAGTAATAATATGAAAAGATGCGGAACTTCCTTAGCTACAGGGAAATTCAAATTAAAACCACAGCGCCATTTTACACCATGCCTATCTGGATGATGAAATTGAAAAAGATGAAAAGAAGCAAACATTGGTAAGGACATGAAACAATGGAATATATACACTGCTAGTGGAAATGTAAATTACTTCTACCACCTGAAAGATTCATTTGCATGAACCCTCAGTCTCACTCTTAGGCGAGCCCCAACAGAAATGCCACTCTGTTTTCACTTAAGAATGTACTAGAGTGTTCATAGCAGCAGTAAAAATTAGATATACAATATATAGCAGCATGGAAGATTCTCAAGAACA